>NC_000016.10:22728910-23031940 GCF_000001405.40 Homo sapiens
TTGGAAGATGAAGAGACTAATTGATTAATTGCCTTCAGTACTTTTCCCAGGGTGACCTGGGGAAGATATCATACTACATCACTGGTCACTTTGGAGAGTGGACAATTTTTCATAGTGGAAGGTCATCTAGACCCAAACCAGGAGGGTATTTTTAAAGAAAAATAATTTTTTAATTAAAAGTTTTACTCATTGCCAAATTAGTAAGTGTTCCTTTTACATGTTGTAGTTTGGCTAACCTGGAAGGTGGACTCTAAGAGAGGAATTTGCATACAGTTTACTAGGGAGTACCCTTGGAATCACACAACTCAGGGAGGGAGGAAAGCAGGCCTGGCAGAGGAAGAAATTGGGCTGTGATGCAGTTGCAACAGAGGCTTAAGCTGATCGCGGGAAAACTCGGGAACTGGGATTAGGGAAAGGGACCAGTTATTGGATGTAGATATCCCCAAGAAAGGTGTGTGACCCTGAGTGAGGCTGCTCTCAGCTGAGGACAATTCTTGGAAAGTGTTTCGGCTGAGAGTTGTTAGTGGCTAATGTTCCCAGCAGCTGAGGAAGGAGTTCATCAGGCCAGCAGTGGGGATCTGGGTGGCACACCACAGCATCCACCAGAATAAACATCTTAGAAAATAGAAGCAAAAGGAAGGAAATAAAAATGACTCCAGATTGCACCATGTTGAGAAGAGGATTGTTAACTTTTTGGTGTGTATCTTCTAAATCTTTTATATCATAAATATATAGGTAAAGGCATAGATACCTATATCTATATACAGATACATATATAGGTATATACATAGAGATATATGTACATATATCAATTGTGTATTGTGTATTTTCTTTATACATATGCAAAAATGAATCATGTTATTTCATCTTGTTTTTTCTTAACATAAACTTTTTTTCTGTGTTAATGTAGATTAAAACAGATACATCTAGTTCTTGACCCAGAATTTCACAGCAAAGAATTTGCACTGGGGAAATAATCCGAGATGCACATACAAGATGTTTACTGCCGTATTATTTATAACACTTAAAAAATCTGGAACAACCAAATGTCCAACAGTAAGGGTCTAATTAAATTACATTATAGGATATCCCTACTGTGACCATCAAAGTTTAGAACAGGGGTCCCCAACCCCTGGGACCGGTACCGGGCTGCATAGCAGGAGGTGAGCGGCGGGTGAATGAACACTACCACCTGAGCTCCGTCCCTGTCGATCATCAGCAGCATTAGATTCTCATAGGAGGGCAAACCCTGTTGTAAACTGTGGATGCGAGGGATCTAGGTTGCACACTCCTTATGAGGATCCAATGCCTGATAATCTGAGGTGCAGTTTCACCCAAGAATCCTCTCCCAACCCTGCCCCAGTCCATGGAAAAATTGTCTTCCATGAAACTGGTCCTTGGTGCCAAAAAGGTTGGGGACCACTGATTTAGAAGTTTATTTTAATGATGTGAGAAACTGTGACCAATATATGGTTAATTTTTTAAAGATATACAAACATTAGCATTTTGTAGAAAAAAGCTTATGTGCATTGAAAAAGAAATAGTAGAAGCCAGGCACAGTGGCATGTGCCTATAGTCCCAGCTACTCTGGAGGCTGAGGAAGGGTCACTTGAGTCCAGGAGTTCAAGGCCAGCCTGGGCAACATAGTGAGACCCGGTCTCAAAAAATATATATACAGAAACAGTAGAATATCAACCAAAATGTTACCATGGTTAAATGGTTATATCAGGTCTTGAATTCCTGGCCTCAAATGATCTGTCTGAATCAGCCTCCCAAAGTGCTGGGATTACAGGCATAAGCCACTGAGCCTGACCCCAATGGTTCTGGCTAGTGCCTTTTCTTTTCTTGTTTTTAAAAATTGTTTTGCATTCTTTTTCTTTGTCAGAATGTGTTCTTATTATTAGAGTTTATAGATTTAGGTGGTACAAATGCAGTTTTGTTACGTGGATACACTGTGTAGTGGTGAAGTGTGGGCTTTTGGTGTAACCATCACCTGAATAATGTATATTGTACCCAATAGGTAATTTCTTATTCCTCACCTGCCTTCCCACTCCTCCTTTTTGCGTCTCCATTGTCTATGATTTCACTCTGTATGTCCATGTGGACCCACTGTTTAGCCCCCACTTATGAGTGAGAATATGTGGTATTTGACTTTCTGTTTCTGAGTTATTTCACCGAGTATAATGGCTTTCAATTCCATCTTTGTTGCTGCAAAAGACATGATTTCATTCCTTTTTTAGCCATATATGTATCACACTTTCTTTATCCAGTCATCCACTGATGGACACTCAGGTTGATTCTCTATCTTTGCTATTGTTAATAGTGCTGTAATAAACATATGAGTGCAGATATCTTTTTTATGTAATGATTTCTTTTCCTTTGGGTAAATATCCGGTAGTGATTGCTGGATTGCGTGGTAGTTCTATTTTTAACTCTTTGAGAAATCTACGTACCATTTTCCATAGAGGTTGCATTAATTTACATTCCCACCAATAGCATATAAGCATTTCCTTTTATCTGCATCCTCGCTGACATCTGTTGTATTTTTTGACTTTTTAATAACACTCACTCAGAATGTATTATTTTGTAATTAGAAAAAAGCATTTAAAATATTTTCGGTTGGTCCCCAAATATTTTTAACACTACTTAAAAGTTAAACCAGTAATTAATGCACATGGCACAACAGTCAATAAAACAAAATGCCATACAATGAAAAGTTGTCTCTCATTCCAGAAACCTCCTTCTTCTCCAGTTCTCTCCCCAAGAGGCAACCGCTATAAGGAGTTTCTCATCCATCCTTGTGGAAACAGCATATGTAACATATACACACACAACAGCACAGTCTTTACACTGTTCAACACCCCCCAACTTAATGTACCTTGGAGAACTTTCTAAATCACAACATATAGATCAACTTTATTCTTCTATTGCCTAAGTAGTATATTACTATATGGCCATATCATACTATGGATAACTTTTTATTTTTGCAAATATTGTTGTAATGACCATTATTCTACAATGTTAAAAAATACTCATGTACGGGTTTTTGTTGGACAAATTCCTAGAAGGAGAATTGCTGAGTCTGTTGGTAAGTGTATTTTAAATTCTGAGAGGTATTTTCAGACTTCTCTCCAAAGAGGCTGCCTCATTACCAGGAATGTGTATGCCTATGACTTCACACCCTTGGGATATCTTGTTCTATCAAAGTCTTTGTTTTTGTCAGTCTGGTGGGTGAAATGTACAGCTTGTCAATGTTTTAGATTGCATATCTTTATAAACAATCATCTTTAAGGGAAGGACAATAAAGTAAGGTTGTGAGAGATTTTGTATTTTAATTTTCCTTTCTTTCCTCTCTCATCTCCGCTTTCCTTCTTCCCTCCCTTTGAGTTTGAGATGAGAATGTCTACAGAGGATGTAGGGAAAGGGTGGAGGAAGAAATAGAGTTAGCAAATAATGAAGAGAGAAGTCCTGTAGGTAAGGAAGGAGGGAATGGAATTTTCTCTTACCTCTGAAGTTAGCTCATTCATCCAACAAATACTTCTTAGGGAGTATATTAGGGAGTATCATTTACCCTCATCTGCCTCCCTCTGTTGCAGGGGAGTTTACTTTTCCACCTCATTGATGTTGAACTTGACCATGTGACTTGCCAATGAGGAAGTAACAGATTTGATGTAAGCTGAGGCTCCGTACTTGGTTGCACCATTGATGTGACTGCATTTGACTGTGTCCAGTGATTTACCATGACAAGAGCTTTCTCCCACATGGCTGCTGCCCCTTTTTCCTGGGCCCCAGTACAAGTACACTTGGTCAGACCTAAACTCATGCACAGCCTGGAGCCAAGCAAGGCTGAGCTGCAGGCTGAAGCAGAGCTTTCCGGGTAACCTGAACTCCTGTTGCAGATTCATGAGCTTGAGAATAAATGTTCCTTGAATAAATCATTGAGCTTTGGGGTAGTTTGTTGTGCAACATGGTGACTGTGGCAGTAACTGACTGAAACACCCACTCTGTGCCCAATGTTCTTTTAGAATATTCCAGTAAACAAAAATAAATAAAAAAACTTTCTTCTACCACTGAGTTTACTTTCTTGTAGGGGGAGATAGACACTAAGCAAATATGTCAGATGGCGATAGGTGTCATGGGCCTCTGCTGTCAACACAACATGTTCATTATTCAGGCCTCCTTAAGGCAGTCTCTGGTTTCCGTCTGAGGACATAGTTGGGCTATCCCTGCTATGGCCTCCAGGTTGTGGACAAACCGATCCTGTAGTTCCCCCCCCTTTCCACTGTGCCCTCTCCTTCCTGTGCTCGCTGTGGTCCTGCCAATTTCTTCCTGGCAACACAGGGCAAGAGCTGGCATGAATTAATAGCCACCATTCATTGAGCATCAAGTTCTATGTGCCTGGCACTGTGATAAGCATTCTATATGTTTGAATGTGCACAAACTTTTATGAGATAGCTACCGTTATTATCTCCATTGTACAGATGAGGAAACTGAGAATCACAGAGAAGAGGAGGAATCAGAACTTGAACCATGGCAGACAATCTCAGGAGTCCATAATATCTTAACTGTGATACTATAAATGCGTGTCAACAGAAAGCAAATCTTTCTGTTTCTTTTAAAAAGTTGGATATTTTGACTTTTGGAGTAAATATTCCTAGGGTCACTGATTTTTCACTCACTGGCTCTTGCTTTTTTGCAACAGTTAAAGTCATAATCAATTAAATTATTTAGCATATACACCTAATCTGTTCCAGGAGCTCTCTACACTTTAGGGATATAAAAATTAGGATAGACTTGGTATTCTAGTGAGTCTAGAAGTTCACAGTCTAATAATAAAGATGTAAACAAATGACCACAGCAGGCTGCAGATTGGATTATATAAAAATATAACTAATAATAACATAGCAGATAACATTTGTCGAGCACTGACAACATGCTAGACATTGTGTTAAGTACTTTACAGACATTATCTTGCATGAGATTCTACAGATGAGGAAACTAAGGCTTAAAGAACCATCCCCTGCCCACGGTAGTGCTGCCAGATGAAATTCAAATTTCAATTAAACTTGTCCCATACTTATACCGAAAAATTATTCATTGTTTATCAGAAATTCAAATTTAACTGTGTATTCTGTATTTTTAGTTGCTGAATCTGGCAACCCATGTCCAAGGTCACCTTTGAACCCAAAGCTGTTTCACGCTGGAGATGAGGCTTGCCATCCCCACCACACACTGTACCTAAAACACCCACACAACCAACAGGCAGCATGCTTTCAAATGCCCCTTGGAGCCGGGTAATCTTCAGACCTTACTGGCCTTCTAGAGTCAATGCACCAGAATGGTATAGGCACTCAGAGAAATTAGCGGTGTGTGTGTGTGTGTGTGTGTGTGTACAGAGATGGAGACAGGAGGTAAGGGGGAATCTTGCCACCTTTGCCCTCCAGGTGCCGAGGAGACAGCAGCTAAGCAGCAAAATGAGTGCTCATCTCTGGGCTGCTCCTTCCGGAGGGAAATCAATGATTTAGTTAAAGCCTCGCCTGCCCAGTGCTGCGGATTGGGGCCATCCCGAAGGAGCTGCTCTGCAGAGCCTTTTTATAAACCGGCATCAATTTACACTCCAAATGAAGTCCTAATAAACTGCTGCCGCAGCCCTGCCAGGAGTAGGCCGGGTAAACACTTCCTTTTAATAAAACACGTGCACACTGGTCTCAGCAGGGCTGGAGCTTTTGTGCACACAGCGTCGGAGCCTGGACCCAGGGGCCTGGGGGAAGAATCCCTGCACAGCCCATTGGTGTAAGTTCATCTGTTCTCACTCGCCCAGGTCGCTGCTCCTGGTCTTTAGATTCCCAGTGTGGGAGAAGCCTTAGATTTCCACCAGGGCAATCCCACATTGGATGCTGCTGGAACTCTAGTGTTTCCCAACAATCCGTCCACCATTCCTCACCGCTTTCCTTGGGGGAACAGTGAAGCCATGCTTGTTAGGAACTCTGGTCTAGAGTCAGGAAGTTTGAATTCACGTACAGATTCGATCTCTTGCTAGCTGTGTGACCTTGAGTGTATTTACTCAGCTTCTCTGTGCTTTGTTTTATCATTTATAAAATAAAGATAATAGCATCTACCATTTAAAGTTGTTGCACAGTGATTGGCATAAATACTTAGTTACAACTGTTATTGTGATTTTATTACTAAACTGGCTTTATATATCATGATGTGACATTGTTAGCACATAATGAGTGCTCAGTAAATGGTATAGTATTTGTATTATTATATTTAATATGATTACAAGAATTGGTAATCCATATCAGAAAAACCTTTATAACTTTGAGACAAGGTTATGTTGCTATAAATTCTATCTGTTGTCCTAACTCCATCCTCCTGAAACTAAACAAAACAAATTTAATCCTAACAACCTTCACATATTTGCCCCACTCCCAAATGTGTCCTAAATTCTGTTTCATTTAGGTGAAACTGCACCAATTACTTCAGCTACTGATCCAAAGATGCCCTAGTTTTTTTCCTAGGAAGCCTCATGTTTAAAATGAGGAATCAAATACTTATCTTCCAGGAAGGCCTAAGTTAGTGCTCATTAAAGCTCTAAGTTTGTAGCACAAAGTAAGTACTCTTTCCTTCTGCCTCCCACGTGAAAACAGAGCGTCCTAGTCCCACCTCCCGAAAGCCAGCCTAGCTAGTGATTATGACTGGGGTAGTTTGCCTGGGTGCAAAGCTGGCTTCATCAAAGCCGTCTGACCTTGGGCAAGTTATGTAACCTCTCTTTGCTTCACATATGTCACCTGTAAGATGGCAATAATAACACTGTGTGCTTGTGTTGATTTGCTGAGACAATCCGGGTAAAGCATGTAGCACAGTGCCTGGTGTACAGTAGGTTCTCAATCCATCTTGGGCGATTATTATTCCAAGTGAGCCACACAGAACTAAAGGTAGTGCTCAAGAGGAGAGCACTGTTTCTGCCTTAGTCCTTTTGTGTTGCTGTACAGGAATCCCAGAGCCTGGGTAATTGATAAAGAAAAGAGGTTTAGCCGGGCACCGTGGCTCACACCTGTAATCCCAGCACTTTGGGAGGCCGAGGCGGGCGGATCACGAGGTCAGGAGATCCAGGCCATCCTGGCTAACATGGTGAAACCCCGTCTCTACTAAAAATACAAAAAAATTAGCCGGGCGTGGTGGCGGGTGCCCGTAGTCCCAGCTGCTCGGGAGGCTGAGGCAGGAGAATGGCGTGAACCCAGGAGGCGGAGCTTGAATTGAGCCGAGATCGTGCCACTGAACTCCAGCCTGGGCGACAGAGTGAGACTCCATCTCAAAAAAAAAAAAAAAGAAAGAAAGAAAGAAAAGAAAAAGGTTTATTTGGCTGATGGCACAAGAAGCACGTACAAGAAGCATGATGCCAGCATTTGCTTCTGGTGAGAGCCTCGGACTGCTTCCACTCATGGTTCAAGGGAAAGGGAACTGGTGTGTGCAGGGACCACATGGTGAGAGAGGAGGCAAGAGAGAGGGGAGGGAGGGTCCAGGCTCTTTTTTAAATAACCAGCTCTCATGGGAACTAATAGAGCAAAAACTCACACCCCTCCTGCCCTGCATGGAGGCCATTCAACTATTCATGAGGGATCTGTCCCCATGACCCAAACACCTCCTGCCTCCAACATTGGAAATAAAACTTCACCCTGAGATTTGGCGGGTCCAAACATCCAAACTGCAGCAGTTCCCTAACCCTTTCTTTGGTCCAGCATCAATCCACCCTCGTTGGCCATTCCAGCATCAATCTGCCCTCGTTGGCCATTCCAGCATCAATCTGCCCTCCTTGGCCATCTTCTCCCACTGTCGACTTGTTTCAAGCTTATAGTCTTTTCTACACAAGCCATCACTAAGTGTCAACACTCCTACCTTATCCTCTACCACCTGTTATTTCCTTTGGGCTCAAATATAGTCCTTCCCATTAATCTGTATTGAATTTCATCTTGCTAGCTTTGTGCCATGATTCCAATTGTTCAAGAAGCTTTTGGATGCTCCGTCTGTCACCAAACACTGGCCAGCACTCCTAGTGTCCTGGCTCACAAACAAAGTGGATGTTATAAAACCTGGAGGAAGAGCCAGAGCTTGTAGTGGACTTCTGTTGCTCCTGCCTGCCCAGAATTCATGCCCAGTTTTTGCTAACTGCCCTTCAGTATTTCTTTAGTAAACCATCCCTTTCCCATGGAATGTGGTTTTGGTGGGGTTGTCAGTCAAGGTGCTGGAGGAGGGTGCAGGTCCCAAGCTGGGCCAATAAGAGTACTTCTCTGGGGTTTAACTGTTGAGAATGACAGGAGGAACACTCCCAATCCCAAGGAAAAAAGAAAAGAGGCTGGGCATGGTGGCTAACACTTGTAATCCCAGCACTTTGGGAGGCTGAGGTGGGCGGATCACCTGAGATCAGGAGTTCGAGACCAGCCTGGCCAACATGGTGAAACCCCGTCTCTACTAAAAATACAAAAAATTAGCCAGGCGTGGTGGTATGTGCCTGTAATCCCAGCTACTCGGCAGGCTGAGGCAGGAGAATCGCTTGAACCCGGGAGACAGAGGTTGCAGTGAGCTGAGATCACACCATTGCACTCCAGCTTGGGCAACAAGAACAAAACTCCACCTCTAAACAAAACAACAACAACAAACAAACAAACAAACAAAAAACAAAAGAAAAAGGTAGAGCTGGTTTATTCTGAGGACGGTAGACAGTGGACAGGAATTTGTTGACTATTTCCTACCTGTGGATCCTTTGTGCTGTCTTTTTCCTGTCCTTTTAGGGGCCTACTTCTTCAGTTTTGCCTTGATGTCATATATCAGTTTTTATTGCCACAAGAATGCTGTGTAACAAACCATCACCCAATCTAGTGACTTAAAACACTAAGCGTTTACTTAGCTCATGAATATAAGGAACACCAAGTGGGTTTTTGGGTCTTGGTTAGGTTCACTCATGAATCTGCAGTTACCTGAAGGTCAACTAAACAACTCTACTGGTCTTGGCTGGACCCTATCACATTTGTAGGGGGTCAACTGGGAATTGGGTCAGCAGTTCTAGGATAACCTTCACTGGGACACCTGGGGTGACTCAGCTGTGTTCATCGTGGCATCCTCTAGCAAGTTAGCAGGGCATGTTCTCAGGATGCAGGCAGAGGAGCAAGAGAAAGGACTGCCAGGGCCTTTCCAAGCTCCTGCTTGTATCACCACTGCTAGCATTTCATTGGCCAAAGCAAGTGAGAGAATCCACAAAGTCACAAAAACTGTGGATACAGAGAGGGGCTGGGAGTTGAACATGCTGTTGGATCAACCACATGCCATGAGCTACTTCAAAACCTGAAAAGTTTATTTTACACCCAGTGTTTGTTTTTGTTGCTTGCAACTAAAGAGCCCTCACTGATGAAGAACTGGAAGGTAAAATGGACTTACATCCACATCCTAGTCTTGGAAGCGAACAGAAGAGAATGTTTCAAAATAGAAGCCATGTCAACACCTTTGGCTTCCCTTGTTCTGGGGCTCTTGGACCTGGACTGAACCACACAACCAGTATCCCAGGTCTCCAGCTTGCAGATGGCCTGTTGTGGAACTTCTCAGCCTCTGTAATCATGTGAGCCAGTTCCCCTAATAAACCCCCTCTTTATCTATCTATCTATCTATCTATCTATCTATCTATCTATCTATCTATCATCTATTATATCTCTCATCATCTATTATCTATCTATAATATCATCTATTATATCTGTCATTATCTATCATCTATGTATCTATCTATATATAATAACATCTGTTATATCTATCATCATCTATCTATCTGTCATCTATCCATTTAGTCATCTATCCTATTGGTTCTCTCTCTCTGAAGAATCCTGACTAATACACCTGGTAAACTTAGAAAATCAGAAAAGGAAAACTTACCTCTTATGTAACCAAATTACATCTGGGGAGCAGCCCCTCTGGAGGGCAGAGTGGAATGAAAGCCAGTTCTAGGGAAAAGAACTAGGGAAGGGAGGACAAGGTCTTAATTTGTGTCGTCTGTGACAGCTGGAGCCAACTCACGTAATAGGGTCATTTAGCTCCACTAGTTACTTCTGTGTGACCTTTCATGGGTGAATTGACCTCTCTGGGCTTCATCCTCAAAGGATTATGAGACTTGAATAAAATTCCACCCGTAAAGGATTTGTAAAGCATGATGCTTGCCTAGTAAATTGCCCTTTCTTTTTTCATCCACTGTGCAGCTACTAAATTACTGTCTCTTGGCTCCAAACCCAACTTTCTATATTCAGCTTTGTGCTGCTGGGACTGAGACTCACATTTCTGCAGTGTCAGCTGCTCCCTGTGAGGCTTAGTCCATAAGGGGCACTAGTGCGAGACCATGAAGTGGGAAGAGGAAGTAGAGACCTGCTTCTTTCTGTTGGCTTCCTGATGCTGCAAGCATGTTCTTAACAAGCTTCTTCATCCCAGGTCCAGCCTATAGTTGCTCCTAAGCTCACAAAACCAGTCTCATTGGAGACTCTAACACCGGCACCAGCTGGCTAGCTGCCCCCTCTCCTCAGAGATTTGGGTCCCAGACCCAGAGGAACTCTCCTCTGAGTTTCTGAGTTTTTTTTTTTTTTTTTTTTTTTTTTTGACAGTTTTGCTCTTGTTGCCCAGGCTGGAGTGCAATGGCGTGATCTTGGCTCACTGCAACCTCTGCCTCCCAGATTCAAGTGATTCTCCTGCCTCAGCCTCCTGAGTAGCTGGGATTACAGGCATGCACCACCATGCCTGGCTAATTTTGTGTTTTTAGTAGAGACGGAGTTTCTCCATGTTGGTCAGGCTGGTCTCGAACTCCCAACCTCAGTTGATCCGCCAGCTTTGGCCTCCCAAAGTACTGGGATTACAGGCATGAGCCACTGCACCCGGCCCATGTCTGAGTTTTAATAATTCCTATCTCTTCTCTTGGTGCCCCAGTCTCTGGTGGCAGCTGCTTCCTGCAAGGGCTACTTCTGTGATACCTCAAGAGTTTTGTTTATCTTCTTGCAGTTACCTAGTCATCACCTTTATATCCTGTTGAAAATACATCACCATGTACCCCATAAACATATACAGTTATTGTATGTCAATATAAAAGAAAATATAGCATGAAAGATTTTTTACACTAAATTCCTCCTGTTCCAATAACTAGTATGACTCCTGTCTCCTGACTGGACCCTGACTGAGAAGCCCGTTTTCTCTTTCACAGAACCTCATACACAGGGCTACTAAAGGATCCTTTCCATTGTCCTGAATGTTTCTTTCCTCCTATTCCCATTGATACAGATTTTTGTCTTATAGTGATCACTAAACTTGTTTGTGTCAGAATCCACTGGGACCTCTGTTAAAACATTTTTGGGGATGGCACCTCTAGAGAATCAGGTGAGAATCTGGAATCTGTATTTTTATTTTTATTTATTTATTTTTTGAGACAGGGTCTCACTCTGAACCCAGGCTGAAGTTTCAGTGGCACAATCTCGGCTCACTGCAGCCTCCGCCTCCCAGGTTCAAGTGATTCTCCTGCCTTAGCCTCCCGAGTAGCCGGGACTCCAGCACATACCACCACACCCGACTAATTTTTGTATTTTCAGTAGAGAGAGGGTTTCACCATGTTGACCAGGCTGGTCTCTAACTCCTGATCTCAGGTGATCCACCTGCCTTGGCCTCCCAAAGTGCTGGGATTACAGGCATGAGCCACTGTGCCCAGCCTGGAATCTGTATTTTTAAAAAATGCTCCAGGGAAGTCTGAGGCATAGTTTGGTTTGGGAAGTCACTTTTCTGCAGGCAGAGACCAGGTTTTTCCGTCTTTGTTTTCAGGACTGTGGCATTGGGCAGTCCTCAACATGAACGCTTATTGAATGAGTAGGTACATGTTGTAGTTGCACGACTCCGTAGCTATTTCGTCCCCATAAAATTGAGAACCAAAAAGAACTGAAAAGGACTTTGTTTTTCTCTTAATGAAAGCATGTATAATGGTGGTCAGTAGAATAGAAGATACACTCAATCCTGCTTGCTTCTAAGATAAGATGCTGGACCAAAAGACCCAGGCCTGAGTTTATTAAGAATAATTGTAACAAATATTTTGAGAAATTATCCTGTAAAATAACAGATCATTGTTTTTTATTAGTATTCATCTTTTTTTATTATCATACTTTAAGTTCTGGGATACATATACAGAATGTGCAGGTTTGTTACATAGGTATACATGTGCCATGGTGGTTTGCTGCACCCATCAACCCGTCATCTACATTAGTTATTTCTCCTAATGCTGTCCCTCCCCTTGCCCCCGACCCCTGACAGGCTCTGGTGTGTGATGTTCCCCGCCCTGTGTCCATATGTTCTCATTGTTCAACTCCCACTTATGAGTGAGAACATGCGGTGTTTGGTTTTGTTCCTGTGTTAGTTTGCTGAGAATGATGGTTTCTAGCTTCATCCATGTCCCTGCAAAGGACATGAGATCATTCTTTTTTATGGCCTTAGGAAGTACTGAGCACTTAAATGGTGGGCTAAGCTAAACTTCTTAGTTAATTGATGTAAATAATGCTGTTGGGAAAAGGTCTTTTTTGTTTTTTGAGATTTATTTTATCCAATTTAGTGAAATCAGGTGAAAGTGGATTACTAGTCCCTTCACCAGTAAAAGCTGGTTTGGAGGCAGCTGTTGGGGAAGTTCATCATGCCATGAAAGTTGGGAAGAGGAAGATGGTTTTTCAATAGTTCGCCTCTCAGAAGGGAGAAAAGCTCTGAGAGGTTAAGAATGAACCAATATGCAATACTTATCCCTAAGTTAAATAGACGGTGTGTATCCAGCACTTGTTTCAACTATATTAAATGAATCTGTAGGGAAAGTGACTATTAATTGATGGATCAATATTACTTTCTCCTACAGAAGTGATTCTTGGAGATATAACAACCCTCCACGTTCAGATGTCTCCAGGTAAAGCTTAGCCAATCCTGGAATGTTGGACCTCAGGTGTAATTATGAGAGTTATAAGTACACAGACAATATAGGGGCAGAAATTATCAGTTGATAGTAGCTAGAAAATCTCTATTTAGCAACTGTGATAGGAGGAGGAACACATGTTGAAGTATATCCATACTATTGAGGCATTGACCCAATAGGAAGAGTACATTTCCTAGCATAGGGTATAAATCTAGGAGTTCAGAACTGGATACACTAACATTAACTGGGATTCCTTTGGTTGGCCCATTTCTCAAATATGTTTTTTCCTTACTGTCAAAGAAGAATCTTGACAGACAATTCATTTCCTAAAACCTAGCCTTTTGCGGATGAACCTGACAGATCAATGTCTGTTTGTAAAACCTTGTCCATCTTATACATTACAAGAGAGGCTTGTGGGTCACTGGGAGGTAATATCTAGGAAGTTACCATGTCTGGAAGGAGGTTTAGGATTATAGAGCTGTCATTGCTGCCTGAAGGACACCATGGGAGTTGGGTAAGGATCATTCTTCTGAATTAAGTTAATTCCATGTGGTCAACTAAGTCTTTGTGTGAGAAAATCTGCAGGCTTTTTTGGACTTGGCTACCTGCATAACGAGAAAGCTCAGTGTGAAGCCAAGGAAAAAGAATGTATAGTATGCCTGAGGCAGAAGGAATAAATGGCAAGGAACAGCCTCAGGGGCCAAGCATTTGGCAGAGGGGAAATTTGAAAGGCATCATAACTGAAAAACAAAAGAGGCAGGGAATATGATCCGTTAGGGGAAGATAGTTGAGTAGATTCCACAGGCGGATGAAGGATGGCTTAATTGGATAGCACATCATTAGGCTGTGGAATTGGCACAAAGGCCTAAATCCGTTTAGATATTATTTAGCCCATGATGTAAGGACTCACATCTGCCTCAGATATTAATAATAGTCCCTGCCCCCTCAAGAGCCACACAAAGGAATATGGGCAGAGCCAACTGTACTCCAAGGAAAACACTGGGGCCTAATAACCCACTCTTGCCCCTAGAAGTTGAAGCTTTTGCTCTCAGCCAATCTTAGTCATGCCATTTGCCTAACCTTGATAATAAGAATGTGCTGGTATTTCAGTCTTCTTAGGAGATGCACTTTGAGGCACGGGGGAGGGTATTTCTGTTGCAGAAACTATTGAACTGGTCATTGTTGTGTATTTACTTAGAATAAATGAAGCAATTATGTTTGTTGCCAACAAAACACAACCAAATATGTAAGTAGTTTGATGATAGGGCATCAATGGCTTCCCAAACCTGTGCCTGTGTGAATTGGCTCTTTGGACTGGCTTTGGGGCTCCTGATCACAAATGGCCCCCATGAGAATTCTCCAATGTCCTGGCATGGCACAGATCAAACCTATACAATGTGCTGTTTGTTTCTACCAGGTCAGGTACCAGACTACAGGAGTAGTTGTGGCACTTTATAGGGAACATTGATCATGGTAAGAAAACCAAATTACCTGGTGTATTAGTCTGTTCTCATGCTGCTATGAAGACATACCTGAGACTGGGTAATTTATAAAGGAAAGAGGTTTAATTGACTCACAGTTCTGCAGGGCTGGGAAGGCCTCAGGAAACTTACAATCATGGTGGAAGAGGAAGCAAACATATCCTTCTTCACATGGCGGGAGGAAGAAGAAGTGCAGAGCAAAGGTGGGAAAGTCCCTTATAAAACCACCAGATCTCATGAGTACTCACTCACTATCACGAGACAGCATGGGTGAACCACCCCCATGATCTAATCACCTCCCACGAGGTCCCTCCCCGAACACATGGGACTTACAATTTGGATTATCATTCAAGATGAGATTTGGATAGGGACACAAAGCCAGACCCTATTACCTGGGCTAGTGAGTGATAAGAAAATAATAAGTTTATACTTGTAATAGGGCATTTTTGCTAGCTAATGCTGGTAAATAAAACATTCAATCTCTCCTTAACCACCCTCTCTCACCACTCTGTCCCCATCTGTCTATATCAATTCACACCCATAGAAGCTTGTTTTATTTTTTATAATTTCAACTTTTATTTTAGATTCAGAGGGTACATGTGCATGTTTGTTACATGGGTATATTGCATGATGCTGAGGTTTGGGGCATGATTAATCCCATCACCCAGGTAGTGAGCACAGTACCCAATATGTAGTTTTTTACCTCTTGCCCTCCTCTTGCACACTCTCCTCTAGTAGTCCCCAGTATCTATTGTCATATTTATGTCCATGTGCATTCAATGTTTAGCCCTCACTTATAAGTGAGGAGATGCAGTATTTGGTTTTGTGTATCTGCGTTAATTCACTTAGGATAATGGCCTCCAGCTGCATCTATGTTACTGCAAAGGACATGATCTCATTCTTTTTTATGGCTGTGTAATATTCCATGGTGTATATGTACCATATTTTCTTTATCCAATCCATTGTTGATGGGCACCTAGGTTGAGTCCATGTCTTTGCTATTGTGAATAGTGCTGCCATGAACATATGAGTGCACGTGTCTTTTGGACAGAGCAATTTATTTTCTTTTGGATACATACCCAGTAAAAAAAATTTGTTTTAAATAGGAGGTGGGGGAAGGAGTTGATATGGGAAAGAGGTCAGAGAAAGGAAGAGGATGGAGGAAACAGAAGTCCCCCATTCTAAAGTTAGGAGTTGGATTTGGGAAGTCACAGGGCTGTGGAAATGAAATAGGTCTGGGTGACACCTGAGGTCATGCATTTCCAACAAGTCCTCAGAAGATGCCCCTTCTGCTGGTTCTTGGACAACATTTTGCATAATTCTTTTTCAAATAATTTTTTGATCACATGCCACAATAGGCATATGTTTATATTTCTGAATTATACAAATATGATATTATGTATATTATAAAGCATACAAAAATAGGAAAAATTAAAATGAGATCATACTAAGTAGAAATAGAAATCTGCATGTTTCCTTCCTATATCTCAGTTAGTCATCTTGTCATTCCTAAGGATGTGTGCACAACACTTTGAGGGGGGTCACTGCTCCAGAAGGGAGATGTACAAACTCACTATGGAGAGCCCTCAAATTTTCCTGACTTCTGTTCTTGCTGGGGATTAGATGTCTGAAACATCCATGAACTGCCTGATATCCCAGTCGTTTTGTGATGGTTTCCCTACTGGGTTTTCTGTTACTGGCACCCAAAGGAACTGCAATGGACCGAATGTTTTTGTTTCCTCAAAAATTCATATGTTGAAATTCTAACCTCCAATGTGATGGTATTTGGAAGTAGGGCCTTTGGGAGGTAATTAGCTCATAAGAGTGGAGCCCTTGTGAAAGGGATTAATGCCCTGATAAGAAGAGACACAAGAACTAGCTAGCTCTCTTTCTGACATGAGAGGATACAAGAAGATGACCCTCTGCAAACCACGAAAAGGATCCTCACCAGACACTGGATCTGATGGCACTTTGATCTTGGACTCTCCAGCATCCAGAACTGTGAGAAATAAATGTTTGTTGTTTATGCTACCCTGTCTGTGTTAATTTGTTATAGCAACCAGAATGGACTAACGCAGAAAACTTGACTAATAAATGGGCAATTGGAGTCGTCACACAGACAGAAGGAAAATATGAGTTATAGGCAGGGAAGAGGGCAAAAGAATTCCCAGGGTCAGGTACAAAGAGACATGAGGCTGTACATGGGAAATTGAGTCAGGGAGCAAAACAGGCTATGGAGCATGAAACTGGTTAGGATAGGTGATTTAGTTCTAAGGACCTGGACAATGCAAAGATGTCAGAGATTGTTTTCCTGCTTCCTTCTGCTTAAAGAAATGGGCAGTAGCAGCAGCAACCAACAGAAGAATCTGCCTCTGTTCTACAGGAAACCAATTAGCGATAATACCAGTATGGGCACACCTATCCTTAGCTTTCATAGTCAGGGAGGAGGTATGGGACTCTGAGTGTTAGGGATTCCACACTTACAGAATCCTCTGAAATGATGTCTGGTAGGAAGGTAAATCAGTTTGATACTAATCCCACAAGAGGTGGACTGGTGTGAAAGAAATTTTGAAATTTAAAAGGTGAACAAGCATGTGAAGAGGTGCTCAAACTCATTAGTAATAAGAGAAATGCAATGACCGGGTGTGGTGGCTCACGCCTGTAGTCCTTGCATTTTGGGAGGCTGAGGCAGGAAGATCGCTTGAGACCACGAGTTTGAGACCAGCTTGGGCAATGTAGCAGACAAGACCTTGTCTCCACAAAAAACAAACAAAAAAAAATCCAGGTATGGTGACATGCACCTGTAATCTCAGCTACTTTGGAGGCTGAGGTGGATAGATTGCTTGAGCCCAGGAGTTTGAGGCTGCAGTGAGAAGTGATCATGTTACTGCACTCTAGCCTGGACGATGGAGTAAGACTCTGTCTTTAAAAAAAACAAAAAATAAAAACAAGAATTCCAGAATATATCACTTTATACTCTAGACTGGCAAAATTAGAAAGCTGGGTTATACTAAGTTTTGGTGGGGAAGGGTGGTTTCTAGGAGCCTTATGTATGTTGAAGGAAGTACAGACTGGTACAGCTCTTCTGCAGAGCATTCTGGCAATACTGAAGCAAACAGAATATTCACTGAACCAGTGGGCCCTAAAGGTGACATGGATGATAATGATCCGCACAGCATGAATGGTGGCAGCAGTCCTGGTGTCACTGGCAGGATGGAGAGGCAAAGCCTGGAGGTCTATACAGCAGTTAGAAGACTAGTCACACAGAAAGCAATATGGATACATCTTAAAAAGAGTGCTGTGTTGTCTATGGTGTGGAAAGGCAGTGGGGTTAAAAGGGGATACCCCAATACACAGGGGAGGGGCCTTCCATAGATCAATGATAATATTTCAGGCTGAAAGATTTATTTATTTTCTTATTCTTTTTATATTTCAGAGACAGGATCTCACTCTGTCACCCAGGCTGGAGTGCAGTGGTATGATCACAGCTCACTGCAGCCTTGAATTCCTGGGCTCAAGTGACCCTTCTGCTTCAGCCTCCCACATAGCTCAGACTACAGGTGAGCAGCACCATGTCTGGCTTCAGACTGAAAAAATTTTTTAATCTAGAATTTTTTTTAGACTAGAAATTATTTTTGAGACCAGAAAAAAAATTCTTCTATCTAGTTAAGCCTTCTTTGTTGTACTTCTTCTGCAGAATAGTGGTGGAATTCAACAACTTGACTGTTAGTTCAAACTAAACCCAGTGTATAAGATGTAAAATGGTGAGTGGGTGATCTTCCCAAAAGGATTTCCTTGGCTCCAACTTCACCACACACCACACACACACACACACACACACACACACACACAAACATTCACACACACACACACACACACAGGCCATTTCTTCCTCTATTTCTCGAATGCTGTTGCTTCTAACATCCCATTTTTTTGTGTGTTAATACACCATGTGGACTTGTCTTCCTAGGAGAGGATTTTAACTTGTGAGTTAATTAGATCAGTAGTCCCACTGGATATTCTAACTGTCAATTCCCAAGGTCCATCCCAGACCTGTTCCATCAGCATTTTTCATAGTTGAGGACCGTGAATCTGCACTTTTATTAAAATAGATGGTAAAATTGGTATTTCAGCACCCTACGTGATTGTGATCATCTGGCAACTCTGGATGTCAGGATACTAGCCAGCATTTCTCAACATGGATGGCATGGTACTGTCAGCAGGAGAGCTAAAACCAATCAAGCAACCTAAGGAACAGCTAACCAAAGCAACCAACCAACCAACCAAACAAGCAAGCAAGCAAGTAACCAAACAGCTAACCAACCAATCAACCAACCAACCAATAAACCAACCAAGCAAACAAACAGCAAAGCAACCAGGCAACTAACCAACCAACCAACCAACGAACCAACCAACCAACCAACCAACCAATCAAACAAACGAACAATAAGAACTGGCCCCAGACCAATCAACTAGAATCTTAATAAATGGGTCCTTTCTAGGGGATTCTACTGTGCAGCCGGCGTTGAGAACCACTGTCTCTGGGCAATATTCCCCAAACTTCTCTGCTGATGTGAATCACCTGGGGTGCTTGTCAAGCTTACAGCTTTCCAGGATTCTCTGGAGATTCTGACACCCATGCATCTGGTTTGAAGCCCAGGAATTTGTGTTTTTAACCAGTACAAGGCTTGATCTTGCCTACAATAGTGAGATAAAAATAATCATCTTCTACCAATGTGAAAAGGAATCCCCTTCACTGTTCTCTTTCTTCCCGTATCTAACTCTGGGAAAATGTCTCACTCAAAACAGGTGCATTTTTGGTAGTTTGTTTACCAGTGTTCACCACTGAGTAATAAGGTATTTAGTCTTTAGACCTGTGCCTTTTTATGCAGCGATGGCTTTGTTCATTGTCCTTAGGGGCTCTCCTCTGTATTTTTCTCCCATGTAAAATGTACATTTTAGAATGTAGCCCTACTGCATTCCCTGGAGTTGATATGGTATTGACATTCCCTGTCTGTAGATCCACTAGTGTGGAGGTTAGGAAAGCAATGTGACATGGAGTAACTACTGTCACTTATAAGGAGGGTCCCAGGATGCTCTTTGAATGGCTCTCCTGGCTTATGTCAATCCTTTTTTTGAGACCAGCAGGTAAGGACTCTGGATTAATCCATTCTCATCAGCCATATCAACATATCTGGGAGATCTCCATTCTCTCTCTGGACCAGACATTCTTCTTGAAATTCTTTTGGGGGTCATTCTCAACTCTTGACCTTATCTGAATTAAACTTATCAATATATTTGATAGATACTACTATCTATCCCTTCTCCCAAATGGGCAAAGGACATAAACAAATTATGGGAGACAAACTATAAGTGATCAGTAATGATAACAAATGCAAATAAGAGGACCATAATCCATTGAGTTTTCACTTGGTCTGGCAAAGATTAAAGATTAATAATAGTATGCATTGTTGATGAGGTTGCTGTGAAAAAGGCAATTCCCATTGGTGGGAACTCTGAATTGGTCCAACAACTTTGGAGGAAAATCCGGCAGTAGCTATCAAAATTTAAAATATACATATCATTGAGAAAGCAATTCTGGCTTTAGTAATTTGCTTTATAGAGCTATGCACAAAAGTATGCAAAGACAGACAGATAGACGGACAATTTATTGCAGCACTTTTCATAATAGGGAAACATTGAGAAACAACCTAAATGTCCAGTTAAATAATCTATCGTATGTCCAGATACTCTGCAGCTGTTAATGTGAGTGAGGTGGATCTGTAGGTGCTGATGTGGAAAGACAACTATGTCATTCACTAAAGAAAGCAAAGCTTCTACTAATTAAATAGTGAGGAATACCCAGCTTGCTTATAACTTCTTAAAAACATTTGTTCTGAGGTTATAAGAAATAAAGCTATAAAAGCAAAGGCTTAAATCTCATTTCCATCACTTATGAGCTGTGTGATTTTGGCCAAGTTACTTCTTTGAACCTCAATTTCTTTATGTGTAAAGTGGGAGTCATAACAGCCACTTCACAGAATTCTGACGATGTTTAAAAGAGATCATGTATAAAACCCTTGTCACAAATAACACTCAACAAAGGTTATCTCCTATTCCTTTAAAAGCAAAAATTAAGGTGATATACATGAAGGTCTGTATAAACGGTAAGAGTAGATCAGCTCCTTTTATAGTTTGGATATTGGCCCATGCCCAAATATCATGTTGAATTGTAATTCCCAGTGCTGGAGGTGGGGCCTAGTAGGAGCTGTTTGGAGCATGGGGGCAAATCCCTCAGGAATGGCCATCGCACACCCCCCATACCTCAAGTGAGCTCTTGCTCTGAGTTCACATGAGATCTGGTTGTTTAAAAGTGTGTGGCACCACCCACTCCACACACTCTCTGTTGCTTACCCCTGTTTTCACTATGTGATATGCTTGCTCCCCCTTCACCTTCTGCCATGATTGGAAGCTTCCTGAGGCCTCCCTAAAAGCTGAGCACATGACAGCATCATGCTTCCTGTAAAGCCTGCAGAACTGTGAGCCAATGAAACCTCTTTTCTTTATAAATTACCCAGTCTCAGGTGTTTCTTTATAGCAATGCAAGAACAGCCTAATACACTTATCAATCATAGTTATCCTCTATAAACTATGACAAAGTTTTCTAGAATTGGCCTAGCTTTTTTTTTTTTTTCTTTTCTTGGAATCTGGATTTCAGGGAGGCTGCAGCTCAGGGGTGGGAAAATGTGGAGTATAGATGGACTTATTCTAAGACCCACGTAGCGCCCCTTAGCCTGATTCAGTCTTAATTCATTTATTTTCTGTCATTCTGAGCTCTTATTTGAAGCCTTTAAGACAGGGATTTAGCTAAAGCTGTATTTCAAGGCCCTAAATCCAAATGCTTGCCTGAGTTTGAAAGGTAACACAAAAATGAGTGAAGTGGGCAGGAAATTCAATATTAAAAACTAGGAAAAGTCTATTTCTAAAAAGAAATCTGTTCATTCTGTCCTCTGCCTATCCCCATCTAGTTTTTATTTTCCTTTTTTTTTTTTTGTACTAGATATAGGAACAGAACATGTTTTCTTTCTTTTGTAACTCTAAGAAAAACAACACGAGTACAATGATAAATGAGAACTGAAATGCAGTCTCAATATCGAGGAGACTATAGGGAGTGGTGGAGGCTGCAGCAAACAGGAAATGCTACATCCTGGCTTAGGGTGGGCCGCTGACACTCAGCTGTAGCCCAGTGATGCCATGCAGAATCATAGGCTTAGTGCTGCCAGCATTTCTACTTTTCAAGAGAAGTTGGAAATTTGTTTTTTATGTAAAACATCTTGATTATTTTTTTAGTGGTGACAACTATTCTCTCAAATATAAAAGCATATGAGATCCCAGCATGGAAAGCCCAACAAGACATATCTGTGGGCCAGATGTGGCCTGAGGGACCGAGCTTGCAACCTTGGTTTTTGCTTCTTCACAGAGAGTATGAGAGAAAAGAGCGACGAGAGTGAGTTTATTAGTCAGATTGCACTCAGAAAACAGATGGCGCACCCAAGTTAGTCTAATTTGTGAAGGATTTATTAAGAAGGAGACTGAGCACAAGAGTGTGAGTAGGGTGGTGGGGGATCTGAGGCATGGCGCAAGACCTGGGACTGGTGGTGGTGGAGTTGCCACCTCCCACACATCAAAAGGATGAGGGGAGCAGGAGTTGAGCAGAGCAAGCCTCTTTGAGAAGTACAGTGACTTTCTCAGAGATGGAACCAGATAAATAAATATCCTGACCACCTTCCTTCCTGCTCCTGGTGCTTCCCATTGGCCAAATCCAACCGGAACATGAGGACATGGCAGCCCATGGATGTAATGCAGCCAGCTTAGCCCCTGGGGCAGAGAGGAGGATGCAAGGAAGTGGAGAGGAGATCTGGTGGGACAAATGGAGACATCTGGCATAGGGAATGCAACCAACAGATGTTTGAGGATTCCTAAGGCTTCTTGTGAGTCAGGTCCCAATTCTCAGAGTCAAATCAAGTCACATTCAAGTCACCAGCCCTTCCCACATTTTAACTAAGGAGAAGGAGAGCCTGGGAAGAAGCCGTCACTAGGGGCAGCCCGGTGGACAGCTGCAAGGGAACTTGGCTGGGGGTGGGCAGTGCAGGCCTTCGGAGAGGATCCATCCTCTGCTGCAGGAACACAGGATTGGGAGTGCATTAGGCTTGTTGGCAGCTCCGCAAAACAGAGATCTGAATCTGCCTTGTTCCTTTGTTCCTCAAGCAGAGTCTGGCATAAGCAGTTGCTCAGTAAATGCTTCCTGAATAAATGAGATGTTTGGGTAAAATGTGGCAGTCTGATTATATTCTCAATGTAGAACCATCCTGCTGCATTTCTGAGCAGATAGACCACCGGGGACTGTTGGGGTATCCTGGTCTTTTTAGGAACTACTCTTGGGGATACCCCAACATCAGAAGGGCCCGGATGGAGCAGCTATATCCCTGTATCACTCTGGGATTTCCTGGTTCAAGGAACAAAACCTAAAGTCTCTTCTCCAGCTGCCTCCCACTCACCAGCTGGAAAGAACTCTGGGAACAAGTGGCTTGTGTCTCTGCATATTCCTCACTTGGCAAATCAAAAAACAGTTGGATTAGAGGATTAGGCATTAAATGAATGGCTAATGGCTTCTGTGAGACACTGCACAGAGGCCATAAAGCAGGTGGCAGGGCACAAGCTGAGCTGTAGAGTTTACAAAGGCAGGCCTCAGGCCTTCATCCTGGAGAAACTCTGAGAAGAAGGAGAACATGGGAGAAGATGAATCTATTCCTCCTTCGTAAGGCCCAGCTGGGCTGTTATCTTAACCCCTGCTCTATGGATTGCTAAATCAAAACAAAGGATTCGGGTCAGAGGCTTGTTTTCCTTCAGTCAATTGATATTTTTTAAACTTATACCATGTGGTAAGCTTGTTCCAGGGTCTGAAGACAGACATGAATAACATTGGCACTCTTCCTACCTTTACCTGAGCTTATAGTTGAGAATATATATCAGAATTACATGGAACTTATAATGCAGAGTCCAGGGCCTCATTACTAAACTATCCTGACACAGATCTGGAGCAGGTATCAAGAACCTGTACCTAAAAAAGACAAACATCCTGGGTCCTTCTAATGCAATTGGTCCAGCCATATCTTGAGAACCAACTGGTCTACCAGGAATCTTACACATTGAAAAAGAGTTCCCTGGCCAGACAATTAATACCCAGCTCCCCCAAATTGGAATTCTGCTTCACCTTAGGGACTCAGGTAAGCAGAAGAGAAAAAACATCTCAAGTAGGAAGAAAAAGAAAAAAAACCCCACTTACAATGTCAAAATTACTCTTGAAAATCACTTAGGAAGGTACCATGTTGGAGGTTGTTCTATCAATTTTAAAAAGACCAGCCCAGTCATTTTCTCTCCACTATAAGAAGAAATCTGTTTCTTCAGTTGGACACCAAATGAATGGCTAGATTAGAGGTCCTGCTGTTTTAAAAAGTTAATAAAGCTGAAAAAAAAAGCACCATTCTTTAAATACTCCATATGGTGTGGTATTCTGTTTGTAGGAGGCACACAAACAATAGCAGATTTGAAGCCCCATTTCAGGCTCACTATGGGGTCTGCACATATTGAATGAAGTGGCAGGCAGAATTGCCTGTATTATTTAAGTTATTATTTCTTTTTCTTAATTTTTTTCCCCAAATCAAAGTGGTTGGATTTGCAGAAATTAAATGTGCATGTGATACAACTCCACAGTTCTAGACAGACCATGAAAAGTGCCTGGCACTTACATTTTCCCATCCTGGGAAAGCCCAGCTTGCCTCCGAGCCCATCACTGTCTTTGGAGGAATTCTTGATGACTGAGTCCCTATTCTTTGCATCACGTGAACAACGGGTTATTGCAACCAGGTTGTATACTGTACAACCTTTGGGGGTGCCATTCACAAAGACTGTAGTGTGAATGGTGTCCCTGGAATTATGCAGTACACAACCTGCACAGCCTAATGTGCTGGCCCTTATTGTGCCCAAAGGCAGTCAGGAAGCCCCAAAAATCTGCTCCAGGCTGTTCACTGGGTGTGTGGAAGGTACACTTACGTTATTGTTTTCAAATAACACAGCAGTGAAAAGCCAGACAAATGAAATACCCAAGAGAATCCGAGTATCTGTATTTCCAATTACACTGAACATGCATTCTTCACCCACATAAGTGCCAATTTGTATTATTCTAAGTTCCACTGAAATTGGCCCAAGCCCCTGGGGCACTTCTTGCCTAGTTTCACTTGTTACCCTGGGATAATTGGTTTAAAACTGATTACTGGGTCACTAATTATGGAGCCTATTGACAGTGTATTTCAGCTTAGGGAAGCAATTAAAAAGTTCACCCTAATTAATCAGGGGTAATTAACAGGTCTTAAATTTCATCAAGAGATTAATTATCAAGAAATCCAGAACAAATCAATGTGCATTCCAGGAGGGTGAAAGAGGACTTTATCATTGGAGCTGGAGGTTATTTGGATTATCCATTCATTCATTTAACAAATGTTTACTGAGCACCTACACGGTGCCAAGCACAGAGCCTAGTGGCTTTGCAGTTCCAGTGGCTTTGCTGATGTGACTTCCCATTAGACAGGGAATGGTGGAACATGTGACCAGGCACTTTTTCAAATGGTTGCAGAGAGGCTCCCTGAAGGCATAATCACAATATTTCAAGTTAATTGTTTTGAGCACTTATTACGTGCTATGTGCAGGACTAAGAGCTTCTGTCTATTATTTCATTAAACCTTCACAATGACCCTATTATGTAGAAGCTATTGGTTATCATCATTTAACAGGTAAGGAAACTCAGGCATAGCTGGGTTAAGAAACTTACCCAAGAAGACACAGTTAGGAAATAGTAGGGCTAGGTTTTGAATCCAGGGAGAGTGACTCTATGCTTTGGTACACCTCTCAATGTGTCAGTGTTCTGAGAAAGGATCAGGTTAGCCTTTCCCCAAGGGAGGTTAGTGGAAAGACAGCCAAATAAAGTGAAGTGTGGGGCTCTAGAGTCAGACTACCTGCGTCAAATCCTGGTGCCACTGACTAACCATATGAGCTTGGGCAAGTTCACCCCACCTCTCTGTGACCCCACTTTCCTCTTCTGTAAAATGGGCATGTAATGGTACCAACGACACCATGCTAATTTAAGGTGATGCATGTAAAACATTTCAGATCGTTCCCGGCACCTGGTAGCTGTTGGGGCCATTTACTACTGCCTTCTTGCTGAGCCAGGAAGTTACTGTCTTAGCTTTTTTTCTATCAGCTGGCATGATTCTGCCATACAGATCCTTGTTTGGGTTTTAGGAATGATTTTCTATTTAGTTTGGGAGTGTGCTATGATCTGAATTGTGCCTACCCAAAATATGTTGATGCCCTGATCCCCAGTGGGATGGTATTTGGAGACGGGGTCTTTGAGAAGCAATTAGGTTTAGATGAGGTCATGCAATGGAATTCGTGTTCTTATAAGAAGAGACATCAGAGCATTCACATTAATGTTCTCTTTCTCTCATTCCTGACCATGCTGGCACTCTAACCTCAGACCTTCAGCCCCCAGAACTGTGAGAAAATACATTTTTATTGTTTAAGCCACCCAGTCTAGGGTATTTTGTAGTGGCAGCCTGAACTAATACAGAATGTTTGCTAATTTTCCAGAACTGATTGCTTGGGGCCACTTCAGAGGTTAAGCTACCAGACATCAGAGTGTCATTCCCATCACTCTAATACAAAAATGATCTGTTGCCTGCAAGGCAACTTTGATAACAGGGAGTATGGCAGTCCTAGAGAGTGACGCTTCTGTAAATTCTATCCTTGCTTCTTTTCTGGGGCTGAAAAGTAATAGATCAGGCACACAGAGGTGGAGGCAATGGGCTCTTCCCAGTGCAATGCTTTGGTGATGTCCAGAGACCTATAGAGGTGAGAAATACTGAAGAGGACATCCGCCATTTTTGTCTGTCTAGCATCAATCCTAATTCCTGTAACTACACTCTGGTTTTTCTCTGATGATGTTAGAGTACTATCAGTAAGGAGATGTGGGCTGCAAATAGAGCCCAGATGTCCTTGTGTTCATCTCAACCACCAGCCTGAGACTACAAAAATAAGGATGCACTTCCTAGGTCTGACCGACGGCCACAGAAAGTTTATACAAGTTATGGTGGTCAGGAGTGTGGCAACTGGAATCAGATGGCTTGGGTTCAAATCCTGTCCCTGACACTGCCTAGCTGGGTGACTGGGTAGGTTACTTAACCTTCATGACTTAGCTTCCTCCTCCATCAAATGGGGATTCAGTTTGCCAAGAGGATTCAATGACACTGAGTATGTAAAGTGAATAACTCAGTGCTTGGGACATAGTGATCACCCCGGATAGCCTTTGTTGTTATATAACAATCCCTAGAACCACTTGCCAAGATGAGGTGAACATTCAATTTACTCCTAGAGTTCCTTTCCCAAAACAGTCCTGAAGACTCTTAAGGTCTTCTCCCCACTGTTTTCTGCCTTATATATCAGGGAATAGTCAGAAAAATACTTATGAACAGAGAAGGTCAATAAACTTGGAATGACTTTCAGTTCTGTAGTCTCTGAATCTTTTCCCTTTGGTCTTGCAAAGCAGCAATTTCCCACCTTCCCCTAACTCCTTGGTGGAAGTGCTTTATATGAATATTGTTTCTATATTGAATTAAGACATTACTATAGTGCTAAGCTTCAGTGGAAGACTTTCTGTAGGGGCAGGGAGTGTAGTTACAGGGTTTTTCCAGGGCTTTGCACCTGGAAAAGAGGTATGTCTTGCAGACCAGAAGAAGAAACTGGGAAAGAACTCAAAGGTTCATTCAGGGCTGGGCTCAGGTTCTCTTGTTATGTACAGTGAGGATGTCTAGCAAGATGGTCCTTGGTGAGGGAAGGAGAGTCTGAGTTGCACCAACCTCTGTGGTCCAGAGACTATCTTGTTGTGTCAAGACAGTGTGTGAAATGCTATAAGGCTTAAGAGTTCTGGGAGCAAGCTAACTGTGGCAGGATTATACACTTTACTTGTTTAGCTAGAGTGTTTTTCTAATTTTTCGGGGGAGTAGGGGTGGGAGTTTCTTAGTGTTTGCTTCTCTTTTGTTCTCTCTTAGCACTTGGCAATTTGAATATCCCAGCTAGCTTAGCTCTGCTACAGGGCTGGGGTGGTTATATCCATGTTGGAGCAAAGCTTTAAAAGGCAGCATGATTTTTTTTGAGATTAGAGGTGAAATTCTTTAATTCTTCCTTTCTTCCTTCCATCCATCCCCATCCATCCATCCATCCATCCATCCATTTGTGTACCCATTTGATAGCCCATTTATCCTTGCATTCATCCATCCATTTACCCATTTAATAACCCATTCGTCCATTCATTATTGCATTCATCCATCCATTTGCTCATCCTTTTATTTACCCATACATTTAGCCAACAAATATCTCTGAGCACCTGCTGTGGGCCAGGCACTGTTCTAGGCATTGGAGATACAGCAACGAACAAAACAGAGACTTGCTCTTAAGGAGCATACTTCCTAGTGGTAAAAGATAAATGACAAACAAATGCAGTATGTAGTATACCAGGTGGTGACAAGTGCTTTGGAAACTATAAATCAGGGAAGGGAAATAGGGAGTGTTAGGGGTGAGCAATTAGAAAAGGAATTTGAGAGGACAAAACCATGGCCACAGATTCTAGCAGTTCTTCCCTACCAAGAGACTTTTAAGAACATGTGATATTAACCTAGCGACCTCCTGAGGCTTATTACATTATAGAAACAGAGGCAGCTCAATGGCAGGTGGTTGCCCATGCACAGAGTCATTTAGCTTGTGCACGCATACTTGAAGAGGACATCTGCCATTTTTGTCTGTCTAGCATCAATCCTAATTCCTGTAACTACACTCTGGTTTTTCCCTTGGGGAGCCAATCTGCTCCCTTTCTCATGGACCTTCGTTTAGAGGGGGCTGATCTCCCTCCCAAGCTTTATAATGAACATGTGACCCAGGATTGGCTCAGTAGGTTCATTTTTCCTGGCCACGTGGATGGTTTCAGGCATTACCTGACCATGTAAATCTAAGGAGAATTCCCCTGGACTTTGATGGGAGCCAGTGAAGAGGAGGATCTCTCTTTTTTGATGGTTATAAATATATTATAATGAAATGAGATATAATTTAAACATCTACAACTGCCAGTGGCCACCTTTGCACCTAGGGAAGAGGCTACCTGAGAATGAAGCCAGCACAAAGGTGACCTGGGAGATGGAAAGAGATTAAATCTTGGATCATCTGAGCCTGGTCCACCTGTCCCTAGACCATCAGCTTTGTGAGCCAATAATTTTTTCGATAAACTTATGTCATTTTTGTTTATAACTTTTAAGTTCAAGGATACAAGTGCAGGTTTGTTAACAGGTAAACTTGGGCCATGGGGGTTTGTGGTACAGATTATTTCATCACCCAGGTATTAAGCCTGGTACCCATTAGTTATTTTTCCTGATCCTCTCCCTCCTTCCACTCTCCACTTTCCAAAAAACCCCAGCATGTGTTGCTCCCCTCTATGTGTCCATGTGTTCTCATCATTTAGCTCCCACTTGTAGGTGAGAACATGCAGTATTTGGTTTTCCATTCCTGTGTTAGTTTGCTAAAGATAATAGCCTTCAGCTTGATGCATGTCCCTGCAAAGGTTATAATCTTGTTCTTTTTTATGGCTGCATAGTATTCCATGATGTATATGTACCACATTTTCTTTATCCAGTTTATTATTGATGGGCATTTAGGTTGATTCATTGTCTTTGCTATTGCGAATAGCGCTGCAATGAACATATCATTGCATGTGTCTTTATAGCAGAATGTTTTATGTTCCTCTGGGTATGTACCTAGTAATGGGATTGCTGGGTTGAATGGTATTTCTGTCTTTAGGTCTTTGAGGAATTGCCACACTGTCTTCTACAAACTAACTTACACTCCCACCAACTGAACTAACTTACACTCCCACCAACTGTGTGTAAGTGTTCCTTTTTCTCCACATGGAGGACTGATGCTCTACCTCACCAGCATCTGTCATTTTTTGACTCTTTAATACTAGCCATTCTGACTGGTATTAGACGGTGTCTCATTGTAGTTTTGATTTACATTTCTCTAATGATCAGGGATGTTGGGCTTTTATTCAAATGACTGTTGGCTGCATATATGTCTTCTTTTGAAAAGTGTCCCAAGAATCCTGATTAACATGGTGCTCAGTGAATACTTATTGAATGGATAACATCAGAACTTTGCTGGAAGGAATCTTAAGAAATTGGAATTCTGCTCCCTTTGTCCCTATATTTCACATTGAGAAGTTCAATGTGACCTCTAAGGTGACATCAACTGGCTCTTCGCAGGTACCTTTAAAAAGAAGTTTCATTTATGTTCAGAATCATGATGCATAGGAATTAGACATGCCTTCTAAGTATGTTTAGGTATGATTTCAGTGTATTTCAAAAGTAATACATGCTCAATACAGAAAACAGAAAAGCGCAAAGAAGAAAATAAAAATTATGTATCTATCCAGCCCCTAAATAACTTGGCACACCAAGTTTTTGCTTTGCATCCATGTTTTTAAAATAAAATTTAGAATATACTCAATAAATCTGTATTTAAATCTGTATTTATTTTCACTGAAAATATATTTTTACTATTTTCCATGCCAGTGATTACTCTCCCATAACAACATATTTGACCACAATCTGGAAAGAATTTAAAGTTCTAGAAAAGTGCAAAGAACAACTTAATAGACATCTATACTCCCACCCTGTGCTGTTAACAACTATTAATATTTTATTATGTTCACTTTCAGTCATTTTTCAAAGGGAAAACAGTACATAGGTAGCTAACGTCTCCTACCAGTGAGTCTTTATTTATTTTTCACAGTTGTAAAGGCACTCTGAAGAATATCATTATTGAGCCTGTACACAATACAAAATTATACGACCTTTGTGTACATCCACCACTCCCTCAGGGTGAAGTCTTGGAAATGGTGGAACTGCCAGATCAGTGGGTGAATTTGTACTCCTGCCTGCCATAAATGATAACTCCCTTGTCCCTATATTCTAGCCAACACTGGCTCATTCTAATTCACTTCAAAAAAAAGTTTCATTTGAGAAAGGTGACATTTTATTATTGCTTTATTTTGTATTTCTTTGATTTCTAGTGATGTGACATATACACTTAATATGTACCAGCCAGTTTATAATTTTTCTATTATTAATTGCATTTTCACATCCTGTGTGCTTTTGTTTGTTGGGTATTCATTGTTTCTTTTTGAGTTAAAGGAGCTGCTTCGATGTTAAGGATATCATCATAAATGGCAAACATATATTCTGCTGTGTATCAATTGCCCTTCAGTTTTATTTATGATGGTTTTTGACATAAGTTGTTACTGTTTTTTATGTGTTATAATCAAGTTTGACAGACTTTTCCTTTATGTTTTCTGCATTTGGTGTCATGCTTAGAAAACCCTTCTCCATCCCTAGTTTCTAAAATTGTTCACCCATGTTTTCAGTGTCCTTATGGTTTATTTTTACATAAAATTTAAAAAAAACTAGAATTAATTTTGGGGTATGGTATGGGCTAAGATTCTAACAAATTTTTCCCAGATGGGTATCATGTTGTCTCAACATAATGATGATTGATTAAAAATGCCATATACTACATTGACTTTTATAGATCTATGTCAATTTCTGGAAATTTTATTCTGTTCCATCAATGTGTATGCCTTTGCTACACATCACTACAGTGTTTTATTACGTCTTTATAATATAGTTTCCTATCTATTTTAATGAATCTCTCTTCTTCTTAAAACTTTGGTCAAACTTGTGTTTTCCTTTTTCTAAATGAGATTCTTAACCAAGGGTGAGCATAAAAACAATCTGTGGAGGACTTTAATTAACCTGCCCAGGGCTCACATCCCAGAAAATTCTGATTCATTGGGTCTGGTGTGGGAGCTGGGCATCTTTCAAAAATAAATAAATAACACATGCATATATACATAATATATGCATTATACATAAAAGACTCCCTAGTTGATGGGGAGGCCCCTAGATTAAGAACCACAGCTCCCACGTGAGAACACATGGACACATAGAGGGGAGCAGCACACACTGGGGCCTATTGGAGGGTGGAAGGTGGGAGAAGGAAAAGGATTAGGAAAAATAATTAATGAGTACTAGGCTTAATACCTGGTGATGAGACAAGTTTACCTATGTAACAAACCCGCACATGTACCCTGAACTTAAAATAAAAGTTAAAATAAATAAATAAGAAGACAAAACCAAATAAAAAGAACCACAGCCCCAGCTTCAAAAGATTTTTATAATTTCAGAATCCTGTGTCAGAGTTCCCCTCTTCTCCCACTTCTATCCTGTTTCCAAGTGCAAGATGCTCCCTGGGGGCCACCTGGGGTGCTCTTATGTAATTGGTCTTGAGGATTTAGCTCAGGCTTTGGGGTTTTTGAAAGCTTCCTCAGTGATTCTAACGTGCAGTCAGGGTTGGTGATGACTGGTTTAGAAACTCCTTCTCAGTCCTGACCACTAAATCCTTGCTCTACTGTACAGATAGAATTCTATCTGTGAATTAGTATGGATTTCAATCCTGGTTATACATCAGAATCATCTGTGGTTCTTAAAAAACAGACTGAGCTGAATGTATACATTAAATATTGACCATCAGCATTAAAAAAATACAACTGGGTGTGGTGGCTGACACCTGTAATCCCAGAACTTTGGGAAGCTGAGGTGGGAGGATAGCTTTAGGCCAGGAGTTTCAGACCAGCCTGCACAACATAGCGAGACCCCTGTCTCTACAAAAAAAATTTAAAAATTAGCTGGGCATGGCGGCATATACCTATGGTCCCAGCTACTCGGGAGGCTGAGGTGGGAGGACGGCTTGAGCCCAGGAGGTTGAGGCTGCAGCGAGCCTATGATTGAGCCACTGCACACCAGTCTGGGCAATAGAGTGAGGCCCTGTCTCCAAAAAAAAAGAAGAAGAAAGAAAATAAGTCCAATTTCATAGTTGATTCTGATGCACAGCAAGACTAAATAGCCATTCTCCAGGTAACTGTCCTTTTTAAATGACTAACTCTATTTTTCAGGTGAGAGACCACCTGTTTAAATACATGCATATAGAACTGATCCTTATTGATATAAATGTTTCATCGTGTTTTAATAGAAAGTGGTTCTCAGACTTAAGCATCAGAGCCACCTGGAGAACTTGCTGGGCCCCAGCTCCAGAGTTTCTGAGTTAGTTGACATGGGCCTAAGAGTTTGCATTTAACAGGTTCCTTGATGCTGCCCCAAGGACCACACTTTGAGAAACATTGAGCTGTGGCATTCATACAAATTTTAGACTTGTTGTGTCACGGAGAAATTACTCCATAGCAATGATCTTAAGCATGCTCTCCAAGCTTAAGATCTGAAGCTGTGATCTGAAGACCCCTGAGAAGTGATGGCAAGGGGTATCCAAAACTCTCTGTGCACCTATCACTGCTGAGAGTCACTGCTAAAGCATCTTATTAAACTCCTAGGGCTGTACCTTCAGTCTGACTTTATTGAGCTTCTTACACATCCCCCTCCAGTTCCAATGTTGCCCTCATTATTGTGAGTGTGTAACCCCTGATGCATGACCTCAGTGGTTGTGGTGTTGCATGACATGGTGTATAGGGTGAATGACAAGTTGTTCCCTAAAGGGTAAGACCTTGCCAGGATTATCTGGGGAAGGGAACATGTCTTAGAATGGGTTGAGGACACTTAGACGGCCAGAAGAACTGCCTCCATACCCAACTCACTTGGAAGCATCATCTTCCAACCCATTTTCTCCAGAGGAGCCAATTAAGTGTTCTACAATGCAACTCCAATCATGTCACTCCCTTGCATAAGCCCTTCAATAGTTCCCCAATGGCTCCTAGAATAAAATCCAAAATTCTGGACATGGTGGTATAGGTTGGGTTCCCCAGAAAACAGATGGAGTTTGGCATGAAGCATGCTCATTCTTAATCCCTTGGGACAAACACTCATGGATGCAGGAGATGGAAACACAAATGGGCAGAAAGAGTTAAGCCACGATATGGGCCCAAAGACAGCCTCAGCTTGTCCCATGGGGAGCTCTGGAGTTGGACTGGTCCATCACTGTTTTCTTGAGTTGAGTAAAGATGGTTACGCCTTTACAGCCCCACCGGGTATGAATTGCCCCATAAAGGGTGTGACAATGGATGAGGCAGCCGTCTGCAGTTGAGACAATCCCTGAAGGTCCTGACCATGGACAGCTGGCCACCACAACATGCCTAGCATCTGGAGTAACAGGTTCTTCCTTAGAATAGGGCCTGAGTGGTAGCAGTGTTCACCACAGATGGCCACAACATTCTTTGCAATCTGGAAGTTGCCTACCTCTCTAATCTCATCTTTTGTTATTTTTCCCCTTATTTTGTCCTCTTCAGGCACATGGTTTTTTCCTTCCATCTCTCAAATCCACCATGTGCCTTTCTGCTCCAGGACCTTTGCCCATGCTCACCTTCCTGCTTAGAATGTCCTCTGCATTTCTGCCCTCCTCACCTCCCATGCAGATATTCAAACTCCTTTTTCAGGTGTTTGCTCCAGAGTTGCTTTCTCTGGGGGAACTTATCCGACCCTCCACCTGTGTAGGATGCTTGGTATATACTTGCAAAGCTTAGGAACCTACTGGACTTGAGCCAGGAAATGAGGGACTCATGCAAAGCTGCCTCTTTCCTTGGGGTTCCATGTTGAGAGAGATGGGCCTGAAAGCCACCGTGAGCTGGCAAGATGGGGTACAGTTAGATTCTTTGTAAGCAGTGTGCTGACTTGCCTTAAAATTTAGCAAAACTTTTTGAAAATTCTGCCCTGTTTTCATTATGCTTTTTTGGGGCTGGAGCTGACCAGGAGAGGCAGCAAGAGCCAGAATCAGAGTGAGGGTCCTCAAATGGAAAGTGACATTTAAGAGGCTCAATTCAAGGGCCCTTGATCAGGCATCCCTCTAAACCAGGGGATCCCCCTTCTTGTATTAAATTGTGGAGATTCAGAGTTTTGTGTTGTTGAATAATAGCAATATAATAACAGCAGCCATGATGCCCTGTATTGAGCATTTACTGAGTAACACCATGCTATGTATTTGCTTGCCTTACCTCACTAATCCTCATATGACCTCTAGGAGGAGGAAACTATCATCTGTCTCTGTTGAAGAGATGAACAGAGGTTAAGCGATTTGCCCAGGATCACACTTGTAATTAGTGGCAGAGCTGGGCTATGAAGCAGTGCTACTGTAGGAACAGAATCGCCAGGCCAATGCAGCATGCATCTGGCCTTTTTGACACAGGTGCCTATCTGAACCTTCTCAAGGGGGTGGCGCCTGTGGCCCAAGTCCCTGGTCCTTAGCAGTCTGCGGAGACCCAGCCTCTGCTGCTGGTTCCATGTACCCATCCCCCATCAGGGCTTCCCCCTCCTGCCAGCTCAGCCCTGGCTGCTTAAGTCCCAGCATGCCTCGGGCTGTAGCCAGCCTGAGTTATGACATAACTCGCCTGAAAATTTCCCTGTAAAGGGAAAGGGGCCAATCCAATGTGAATTATTCTTATCGTAAGCTCCCCAAAGCCAGGGACCTTATATGATTTATCTTGGTATAACCCACAGCACTGGGAACAGGGCCTGGCACACAGCACACAATAAATGTTTATGGAATTGACTGAAGTTTTCAGAGAGACGAGGGCAACACACACACACGCACACACACACCCTGGCACACAAGTAGTATATGCACAAGTGCACACACACTATACCTACAAATCCTTCACACCCACACACTCTCTTTACACACAAAGACACTCTGCACACACACACACTGATTTTGTGTGCTCTCTGAGTGTGAGTTTGTGTTTGTGATCTTTCTCTTCCTGTGACATGTCATGTGTATGGCTCCATCACTCATTTTAATTACATTATTGTGGGCTGTGTTTGGCCTTTGGCTATTTTTGAGGCCAGATTAGAAAATTTAAAAACATCCATCTTTCTTCAGGAGAAACTTATAACAGCAATTGCCCTGGGGTGGGGAATTGGGATACAAAAGTAGGGATGGGGGAATTTACTTTTCATGGTCTTCCCTTTTGTTCTGTTTACATTTTTTAAAAAACCATGTGCATGTGTTATCTTTTCAAAAAATAAAAATAGAAACATTTAGGAAAAAAAATAAGAAAGCTACCTTGCTTCCAAAACAACCACTCACTAACATAAAAGCTTTTTATAACTGGGTTAGTTAGAGATTAAAGTTGAGGCCGGTTCTGGACAGGTTCACAGGCCCCTGGAAGCACGTCACCACCACCCATGCTGCTGGCAGCCCTCTAGGGCTTGGGCTCCGGACGTTGTCCAGGATGAGCCCAGAGGGATGTTTCTTCTCCCAGGAGCTCCCCCGTGGTGACCCCCAAACACTCATTTAGTTATTCTCTTTGCTAGGTCAGTGACAAATCTGCAAGGATTAGGCGAAGTAAGCTCTGAAATCTACTCAGTAAGATGAAAATCTGTCCCCTCATTCTCAGGCTCAAGGGGAAGTGATTAAATCTGAGGAGTTGGGCTCAGGGGGCAGGGGGCTTGCTGTAGCCTTTGAGTTCGAAGTTCTGCTGCATCCTTTCCTGTGATTTTAGAATCACTGGCATCTGGTCTCCAGACACAGTGGCAGCTGTTTGGAGCCCCAGAGTCAAACCCAGGGAGGATTGGGGCCTCCGAGGTGGACTGGATACTTAAAACCAGCTAATGAGAGAGCTGGGGCTTTCTTCTGAGTCCAAGATATTCCTGGAGGGATTAATTTTTATCAAATGACTTCTTAATGAGAGTCCGCTTACCTCCAAATTTGGAGACTTTAAAGCTCCTGAAATTTAAAACTAATCAGCAGGCTGGTCTGCCTTGAATGTGAGGAGTTCACACAATTAGAAACTCAAAAGGGAAGAGAACATGTTAGTAACAGCCAGGAGCTAGCAGAGTGGAAAATATTAGCTTGAAATTCAGCAAGTGGCCTTGCTCTGTATCCTTGCAAATTCAGGATAGGTTGCTAGGTTGGGATCTGAAACTGAGGTCCTGGGAGCTGGATCTGGCTGGCAGATATGTTTTCCTTAGCCCACAAATAATTTAAAATTTTGGGAAATTTCATGGACAAATGTGGTTTAAGGAGCTTCTTTGTAAAGTCAGAAATTCTGGCAGGAATAGGACTGCATTCCTGCATAGACAACAAACTCCTTGAGCTGCCTGGCAGCAGTCCCTTTATGATGGGCCATGTGTGGCCCAGTTTGCTGCAGTCTCCAACTTTCCTTTAAGAGGAGAACTGTATGGATTATGTTACCTGCTCAGCCCTTGTGGATATTTGAGTCTGAGCTTCCTGCCCCAGATACACTATACTCATGCTTAGAAGAACTCATGGGATGGACCACTTTGCAAATTTGGGGATGATTTTTTTGACAGTGAGGCCAAGACAATGCCACCGGCCTCAGTTTGGGGAATTCTCCATCCCAACCCACACCTTTGATTTGGCTTCCCCAGTGACTCAGCTTCAGGGAACTAATGTTTCTCTCCTTTACCCTGTTGTGAACAGACTCTAGGATTGTTTCAAATGATCTCTGCCTCCTGGTGCCTTTGTAGAATCTTACCCCTTGCAGGATAGGAAGGACCTGTGACTTCCTTCTAACCCATATAATGGCCATGGTGACAGGATGACACTCTCATGATTATATGACAGAAGACCATAGCATCTGTCTTGCTAGCAGACTGTCTCTCTTTCTGGCTTTGATGAAGCAAGTGAGTATGCTGTGGAGGCCCATGAGCAAGGATCTGAGAGAGGCTCCTGTCCAACAAACAGCTGAGAACTAAGAGGGACCAACAGCCAGCAAGAAACTAAGCCTGTCAGTCCAACAGCCCACAAGGACCTGAATCCTGCCAACAACCACATGAACTTGGAAGTGGCTTCTTCCCCAGTCAAGTCATTGGATGAGATCACAGAGCTGGCTGACATCTTAACTGCAGCCTTGTGAAACTCTGAAGTAGCGAACCCAGGTAAGCCATGATCAGACACCAAACCACTGTCAGAAACTGTGAGACAATAAATGTGAGTTATTTCAAGCTGCTCAGTTGGTGGTATTATAATATTGTTATGTAACAATAGATAACTAACACACATGCCTTTTGGTCTTGGAGTTTCAACAATTAACTCATGGTTTAGAACTGCTAATTGCTGCTACTGATTCTTCGAAATCTGGATCACTTGCCAGGATAGACTCTTTTTTTTTTTTTTTGGTGGGGGAGGAGAGAATACGGCCACACTCCGTTCATACCTCTGGTGTATCATTAACCAAATGTCTCCCACAATAAAATGGCAGTTTCTTGATGGAAGGGATTGTATTCTGTTCATCTTGATGTCAGCAGTGCTGAATATTGTGTATGTGCTCAGTGAGTTGTTGTTGAGTGAATGAACATAGTTGAATGGCTGAATTGTCAATTGCAGGCACTTTTGTCCCCCTCTAGTTCCATTCTTAATGACTGGATCATCTTCTGCTGTTTGAAGGCACCAGAGTTTGATTAATACAGGTGACTAATATTCTTTTTGTATTTATCTTGTTTCTGCAGAATTTTTTGCTAATATAACTAATATAATAATAATAATGCTTCAATTCAGCATTCTAATAGCCAAATGTTTGTGCTCATTTATGATTGTTGTTGGGCCAAAACATATGTGTAATATTATGGTTTTTAATACTTACTGGAAAGATATTTACACTTCTAAAAATATAGTATATAGGAATGTCAACTTTCCCACACATTTACCAGTATTGGTTAGTATTTTTCTGGTTAACCTTTGCCAATTTAATAGGTGGGGATACTATCTTGTTGTTTTATTTGCATTTATTTGCTAGTGAGTGAGGTGGAATTTTTTATTAACAGTTTGTATTTCTTTTATAAATTTATATTTCATGTCCATTGACCATTTTTCTATTGGGAAGGTTGATCTTTATTTTATTGATTTGTAAGAGTTCTTTATATATTAGCTCTTAAGATAAAATATTACATATTATATATTATCATATATATGTTTTGGAACACATTAAAAAATTTTTATTTGGTGAAATTTACTAGTTTTTTATTTTACAGTTCCTGCCTTTTCTTCATACTTAGTTATTTTGAGAAGTATCTGTTCATATCCTTCACCCATTTTCTGATGGGGTTGTTTGTTTGTTTGTTTTCCTTGTAAATTTGTTTAAGTTCCTTGTAGATTCTGGTGAGGCTGTGGAGAAATAGGAATCCTTTTACACTGTTGGTGCGAGTGTAAATTAATTCAACCATTGTGGAAGACAGTGTGACAATTCCTCAAGGATCTAGAACCAGAAATACCATTTGACCCAGCAATCCCATTACTAGGTATATACCCAAAGGATTATAAATCATTCTACTATAAAGACACATGCACATGTATGTTTATTGCGGCACTATTCACAATAGCAAAGATTTGGAACCAACCCAAATGTCCATTGATGATAGACTGGATAAAGAAAATGTGGCACATATTCACCATGGAATACTATGCAGCCATAAAAAAGAATGAGTTTATGTCCTTTGCAGGAACATGGATGAAGCTGGAAGCCATCATTCTCAGCAAACTAACACAGGAACAGAAAACCAAACACTGCATGTTCTCACTCATAAGTGGGAGGTGAACAGTGAGAACACATGGACACAGGGAGGGGAACATCACACACCGGGGTCTGTTGGGGCATGGGGGGTAAGGGGAGGGCAAGCATTAGGACGAATACCTAAGGCATGCAGGGCTTAAAACCTAGATGACAGGTTGACAGCTGCAGCAAACCACCATGGCATATGTATATCTATGTAACAAACCTGCACGTTCTGCACATATATCCCAGAACTTCAAGTAAAATTTAAAAAAGAACAATAGAAAAAGAAAGTTATTTACCACCTTCAACATTATATGCTCATTCTCCAACCTTTTTTCTTTTCTTTTCTTTTGAGACGGAGTCTCTCTCTGTTGCCCAGGCTGAAGTACAGTGACGCAATCTCGGCTCACTGCAACCTCTGCCTCCTGGGTTCCAGCGATTCTCCTGCCTCAGCCTCCTGAGTAGCTGGGATTACAGGCACAAGCCACCATGCCCAGGTAATTTTTTTGTATTTTTAGTAGAGACGGAGTTTCACCGTGTTAGCCAGGATGGTCTGGACAGGTTCACAGGCCACCGGAAGCATGTCACCATCACCCATGCTGCAGACAGCCCTCCAGGGCTTGGGCTTCGCACATTGTCCAGGATGATCCCAGAGGGATGAGTTAGTCCAGGATGAGACCAGAGGCTACCGTTTTAGCCAGGATCCTGACCTTGTGATTCGCTCACCTTGGCCTCCTAAAGTGCTGGGATTACAGGCATGAGCAACCTTTTTTCTAAGGAAGTGGTTGATCTTCTGAGGACTTTTTACTCAATGTTGCAACTGATACAAGGACTTTCTCTGTATCAGTAATATTTTGGCCAAGCATAATTGAAATCTACACATATAGAATCAGACTTGATCTTTCAGCAGACTCACGCTGATAGATTCTTAACAAAACCTGTTTTCTCTACCCAAGACTCCAGAGGCTCTGCAGGCCTTTGCCTATCCAACTACTTACTCCCACATTCTTCCCCTTTCAGTGGTGGAAGCCACTTCATATCTTTATCTAAGCTCTAGGAATAAAAGTTTCCTTGGAAGACAGACTCAGCAATGAGTGTTGGGAGGCAGAACATGTTATTTTGACAACAGGTGGTAAACTGGACAAGTAATCAGTTCTGAGTCCTACAGGAAGTGGGAGCATCCTACAGGTGATCAGAAACATAATGGGATCAGGAATTGCTCAAGTATGGACTCAGTGCCAGCAACTGTGTTAGGGTACTAATATCTATTACATAACTTAACCTTCTTAATAACTCTATGGTGGAGACATTTTCAGCCACATTTTGAAAATGAGGGAACTAAGACTCAGGATCTTGATTCAGGTTTGTCTGACTTTGAGGTCTGTGCCCTTTCCACCACGCTACAATGCTGTTTCATGTGTCACTGCATGGCTATAGGTAATATTTGGGGATGCAGGCAGCATCAGGAGCAGAATAGTCAAGCTGTGGGGCTAGGTTTCAGGTGAGGTGATGGGTGAGCACCGATTTGGTATCTGGGTGGATTATTATAAAGGGGGAATGTGAGAGCCTCATGAACTCAGCCTTTGGCAGAAATGGACAGTCTGGTGCCTTGATCTACAAATGCCCGTTTAGATACTTCTTAGAGTTTTCTAACCCTGCATTTTCTTATCTATGCATGGGTTCACCCTGTGTTAACTTGTATTCCTTGTAGCAAGTTTTCTTTCACCATCCTCCTTTATTATCTGTAGGATCCCTTGGGGGTGACCCATGTATAAACCCAATGTTCTCCTTAGCATTGGGTGTTGGAAGTGTGCTGGTATATATGCCACTTTCCTAGTGCTTATGAGTAGGTATTTCACATCTCAAGATCATAGAGGGATAAGATAACTTCATCAGGTAGAATCATTGAGAGCAATTGTCTCTGAAACCATACTTCACTTATGTATTCCACAAATATTTATTGAGCACTTACTATGTGCCAAGCACCATCCTAGATGCCTGAAAGATAGCAAGTGAATAGAGTCTTATAATATATTAAATGGACCAAGCTGAGAGAGAACCTGCCGTCAGTGAGCTTACATTCTAGCACAGCAGAGTACAAACAATACACACAACAAATAAACAAATTATATGGTACATCAGCAGAAGGTGATAAGTGGTATTAAATTAAAAAGTGGAGCATGTAATTGCCAGAGATGGACAATGGAGATGGAGAGGAGTCACAGTATTCAATAGGGAGGTCAAAGTGGGCATCACTGAGAATGGGATTTTTGACCAGATACTTAAAGAACATGTGGGACTTAAAGAAACAGATATTTTGGGGAAAGGTGTTCCAGGCTAGAAAGAACAGGAGGAGCAAAGTCTATGAGATTGGAGTGAGCCCACGGTGCAAGGAGACAATGTCCGGAGAAAAGGGAGTGTAAGTCAGATGAGATGAGGCTGGAAAGATAATAGGGCGGGAGAAGCGTGTAGGACCTCGTAGGACACTGTAAGTGCTTTGGTTTTTCCTTTGGATGAAATGAGGTCCATTGTAGGGCTTTGGGCAGAGATGGGACATGATCTGATACTTAGCAGGATCTGGTGGCTGCTGTGTTGAGAATAGATCATAATTAAGCAATAATGGAGCCAGTGAGGTCAGTAAGAAATCCATGCAAAAAACCTGAAATGATGGTGGCTCTGATCAGGGCGATAGGAGTTAAAGTGGTGAGAAGTAGTTGGATTCTAAATATACTTTGAAGGGAGAGCCAATGGGATTCCCTGATGTAATAGACGTGGGGTAAAAGAACGAGAGTAGTCAAGGTGGACATGCTCAAGTCAAAGGATAGAGTTGCCTTTAACTCAGGCAGGGAAGGCTGTGGAAGGTGCCGGTTTTGAGGGGGAAGATAAAGATCTCTGTTTCAGACAATTGAAAGGTTATTCCTTTCATATTATACCTTGATAATAATCATAATATCCCTTGATTAGTCACGGAATGTGGCATGAGGTGATGGGAGTTGAGATGACTCAAAAGGGAAATGAGGAAATGTGCAAAGAAAGAGAGGGTTCTTCCCATATCATCCTTCTCTGAAAGTGTTTAATGAGTAAGTTAATAAGATTCCCCTCTAATGGGAGAGACTTCTGGTGCCCAACTTTATGTGATCCTCCTCTTCCCCTGAGCACACCAGAGGATGACACAGCCTAACCCCCATAAAGTGGGACAGGGCTATGTGGACAGTGGGCTGGAATGGAAGTGATGTGTCACCTCTAGACCAAAGCATTGAATTATCATGATGACCCTATTCCTCTCTCCTCTTCTGTCCTGGTGACCAAGGAAGGCTTCATATTCTAGATGGACCAGCAACAAAATGTCAGAGCCTCCATCCATCATTCTGGGTAGCTCTATGGAGCAGAGTTCCCCCACTGACCTTGCTGGACATGTACTGTGAAGAGGAAATACAGCCTGTTGGATTGAAACCACTGAGATTTCAGGGTTAATATGTTACCACAGCAAAACCTAGACTATCTTGACTAAAACAACCTTACAGACAGAAGCAAATTACAGCTTACTCTATTTCCTCTTTCATCTCTTATCCTTTTAAGAAACACAAAAGCTGCTAACACTTTCCTGATGCTCCTGATAATACATCAGTACATCAGAACCCCCACCCATCCTAAGAGACTCAGCTCTGTGTGAAGCCTTCCCCACCCCCACTCCAAGCAGAGTGAGAAGATGCCTCCTTTCTGTTCCCATGGCGCTCTTATCATACCTCTATTAGAGCACTTACCACATTGTATTGAAATGATTTGTGTATGTCTGTCTTTCCCACTAGACTGTAAGTGTCAGAAGCCCCCTCTATTTCCCTCTTAAGAAACAGGGGAAATATACCAAAGGAAGGATAAATACAGATAAAAGGCAGCTGCCCTTAGTCTCTCCCCAGCCTTTATCTGGCACTGTTTTAGTTGAGGCTGTTTTGATTGCAGGCAACAAAAACCTAATCTTGCTAGTTTAAGTGAAAAGAAAGAAAATTTGTTGGAAGAATATAAGGATATAGTCACTCTTGGAATCCAAGGAAAAGGTGAACAATACCTCAAGAAATTGCAGGAGCCAGGGAAGTCTTGGGATGTCAGTGAGGGACTTTATCAACCTTCCCTCTAAAGCTCTACCATGGCCTGACACAGCTGCCAACTCCAAGACTCTGGATCCATCAGTGATGTTTTTCAGGACCAAGAATCTGGCGCAGTTGGGTCAAGTGTCTGTCTCTGGCCCTGTCCCCAATGGCCAGAAGACATGTAGTGCAGTAGAAACAGAGCCATGGTTTTGGGTATAGGGGCAATTCTCAGAGATAAGGGTCAGGCGAATCCTCTAATGGATGCTTATGTCAGGTAATATCTTGCCCAACCCTTGGTAAAAGCATGTACCCGCCTCACAGCTCTCTCTTGACCTGATACTTTCCGATAAGTTTCAACCAAGGTAGACTCTCTCTTGACCTGACACTTTCCAATAAATTTCCACCAAGTGCCTTCCTGGAGCCTGCCTTAATGTCCCAAATGACCCTAACCATTTGCAAAAATTCCAGGACACGCAGTCTTCTTCTGGAGACCAGAATACATCTCAGAAGTGTAGGTCACCTGAGTTGCTTTTACCTGGCTGCCCTATTGCTCTGTTGCTTTTCTCCTTGATGGTTCACAGGCACTAGGCTCTGCTCAGGGGCTTTATCACCCTCCTTTGAGGCTGATTGCTCAGCCAAACTGGATTGTTAGCTGGAAACAGACAATGCTTTTACCCATATTAAGCCCACAAAATGCATATTAAATTAAATGGAAGTGGATTACTAAAAGCTAGATTGTGTCTTCTTTTACCAGCCTTCTCTGGAATGGAAAACTGGAGTCCTGCAGGGAAGAGAGTGTGTGGCATCAATTCTGGAAACAGATTACCTCAGTCTTGATGGCTGATTCTCAGATTCTCATGTATTCATTCACTCACTCATTCAGCAAACATTTCTGGGGATGCCAAGCACTTTCTTAGGACTGGGGATATTAAGATGAAAAAGATCTTATCTTGCCATTACCTCAAGTCTAGTGTAGTGGGGGATGCAGACATTTACATTCTGGGTGATAGAACAGGCAACAAAGTCTTAGAAAAGAGTATGAGTGTTGGTGGGACTGTAAATTAGTACAACCAATAGGGAAAACAGCATGGAGACTTCTTAAAGAACTAAAAATAGAACTCCCATTGGACCTAGCAGTCCTGCTACTGGGTATATCCCCAAAGAAAAATAAATCATTATGTAAAAAAGACACCTGCCCTAGTATGTTTATCACAGCACTATTCACAATAGCAAAGTCATGGAATCAACCTAAGTGTCCTTCAATAGATGACTGGATAAAGAAGATGTGGGGCATATACATCATGGAATACTATGCAGGCATAAAAAAGAATCAAGTGATGTCTTTTGTAGCAACATGGATGGAGCTGGAGACCATTATCCTAAGTGAAATAATTCAGAAACAGAAAATCAAATACCACATGTTCTCACTTATAAGTGAGAGCTAAACAGTGGGCATACATGGACATAAAGATGGAAATAATATACACTGAAGACTCCAAAAGTGGGGGAAATGGAAGGAGAGTGAGGATTGAAAAATTGCCTATTGGGTGCAATTGCCTATTTGCATGATGGGCACACTAGAAATCCAAACTTCATCGTTATACAATCTATCCATGTTACAAACCTGCATATGCACCCCCTGAATCTATTTTTAAAAAGAGAATGTGGATTACAAAAAGACCTCAATATGAATGCTCCCTTTACCACTTCCTAGGCGCAAGACCTTGAACAAATTACTTGACTTTTCCAGATCTTAGTTGCTTTATGACAAAAGAAGGCAAAAATAATGTCAGCTTTGCAGTGTTGTATTGAGTACTATATATAATATGTAAAGTATCTGGCATATAATAGATTGCTGGTAGATGGTAACTATTAATATGATTATGAAATCCAAGTTTTTCACATGGTTATAATTTTGTGTAATTTCTGGTGTCTATAATAGTGTCTGGCACGTAGTAAGACTTCAGTACATATTTTTTTGAATGAATGCTCATTTCTCTGGCACTTACCCTCTATCAGGCATCTGTATGTGTGTCTGTAAAATAATTCAATTTAGAGAAGGACAATGCAGTCAATATAGAAGCTAAGACCTTCATCTCCAGTGTCAGAAACATTTGTGTTCTGAGCGTTACTATGATTTGGGCTCTGTCTTAGGTCAGGGGCCTAGAAGCAGAACCTGAGAAGGGGCTTCCTGTGTAAGTGATCGGACTCTTCTTGGGAGAAACATGTAAGACAGTGATGGAGACAGGTGAAAAACTAGACAAAGATGTCTGGTGGTTTCTGGCGCCTCAGTCTGGCTTCAGTCCAATCCCATAGAGAGCTGCAGACTGTGAATTGCACAAGAAAGGGGGCTCGCTCTGGTACCCCCAACATCAGTCAGCTATTGGAGGCAGGTGGCCCTGGGGAGGGGGTTTTTAATCTCTCAAGCATCTCTAGGCAGAGTGCTCCCATTGAGAGAATGCCAGTATGAACTCATAGTCATCACCACCAGAAGCTGGGGGCTGTAAAGGGGACCTGGTGGGGAACAAAGAGCATGTACTATAGACCTGTAAGCACTATCATCAAATATGGCACCCCCCCTGCAGTTTATGACACTTGAGGGAATCGAGGGATTGAGAACTTAAAATACTCATCCAAAGTTATTTAGCTCTAAGTAAAAAGTTAATCCCAACAACTACTCGTATGTCCATAAAAAATATGGACATACACATGTGTGGGACAGACAGGGAGAAAGAGAGACAGAGAAAAAGAAAGGTAGAGATAGAGAAAAAAAAAGCGAGACTGACAAAAAGAGACAGAGACAGACAGAGAGAGAAAGACAGAGACAGAAAGAGACAGAGAGGGCCGGGCATGGTGGCTCACACCTGTAATCCCAGCACTTTTGGAGGTTGAGGTGGGTGGAGCACCTGAGGTCAGGAGTTCTAGACCAGCCTGGACAACATGGTGAAATGCTTTCTTTACTAAAAATACAAAAATTAGCCGGGCGTGGTGACACACACCTGTAATCCCAGCTGCTTGGGAGGCTGAGGCAGGGGAATCGCTTGAACCTGGGAGATGGAGGTTGCAATGAGCTGAGATCGTGCCATTGAACTCTAGCCTGGGTGAGTAGAGTGAAACTCTGTCTTAAAAAAAAGAAAAGAAAGAGGCAGAGATACAGACAGAGACAGAAAAATGAGATAGTCTGACAAAAAGAGACAGAGACAGAGATATATAAAGACAGAGAGAAAGACAGAGATAGAGAGAGAGACACAGAGGAAGGAGAGAAAGAGAAAGACAGAGACAGAGAAAAAGAGAGAGACAGACCAAAAGAGACAGAGGCAGAGACAGAGAGCTAGAGGAAGAGAGAGAGAGAGGAAGGAAAGACAGAGACAGAGAAAGAGAGACAGACAAAAAGAGACAGACAGAGACAGAGAGAGCATGAGAGCACTTTTTGGATCCCTCAGCAGCAGAGATCTGACTGACACTCACTTCCCAGGAGCACGGATGGGAGCGATCACAAAACCTCAGAGAAGAAAGGCATGCGGTGCTTCCAGGCAGATGAGACCCCAGGAAGGCTCACAAAAGATTCTCACTTTCTAAGCTTTACAAAGAAGCACTGAATAAATGGATGAAAAGAAGCCACGCGGACAGGGACAATGGCTGCATCCATGGCAGCTTGTGCAGACAGATGACTGAGAATCAAATTCAGCCACTCTTTGGGTGCAAAAGACATGGATGTGACATGACCCTTGGAAGAACCAAAGTTTGTTTTTTTGTTTTCTACAAATCAGAGGGATATGGAACATGCAGTGAAATAATCACATCGGGCCAGAAAAAAAGAAAATACATTTATTGCACTACTGACTTTGAAGTTTGAAATGTGTACCTATAACAAATGGAAAAACAATTTCTTGGCTTCAGGGAATGGGGTGATAGTGCCCTGGGTTATGGTGAGTGGAGAGTGGGTTATGGTGACTGGGTTATAGTGAGTGGATTATGGTGGCTTTATACTGAAGTCAGCATTGCTGCTCACTAAAAGGCAAATTTTATCTATTCATTTGTGTTTCTCTACTCACTGTTCCTACTAGGATGATGGAAAATATTGAAAATTGAGGTCTAGATAAACTAAAGCTAGAACCCTGATAGGGCTATTGTCTCAGTGAAAGGGGGACTAATACATTGTGCCCACCAGTCTGGAGAAGCAAACTGAGGAATTTGTCACTCACCAGGGCTCTGGGTTGGAAAATTACAAAACGACTCATCCATGAGAAACTGAAATGCCAAGTCTGCACCACACGGTCAGGTTGAAAATCAAGTTTACACTACTGGTAAGTGCAGGGATATCTCTAACACGATCAATTAACATCATAAGCTTGTCTTAGACTGGTAAAACACCCAAGGTTCTCTGCAGACCAAATGCAAAAACATTCTGTAAAAACATTATCAGAACACTAGGCTCCCTGGGACTCCCATGGTATAAAAAATTCCTGCTAGGATTTAGCAATCATTCAAAAACTACAAACCATAGGAAGAAATTATCAACCATAAGGAAAAGTCGGCAGACACTCAAACAGTAAAATTAGCAGTCTCAGGAACTTCAGGTAACAGAATAACAGTGTGAAAGGACTATAAGTCTGCTTAAAAATATTAAGGTGATAAAAGCAAAAGTAGACATAATCGCAAAAGAGCAGAATGATGTGAAAATAACAAGCAGAATCAAATAGAATGTCTGCCAATAAAAATAAAACCTCAATAAATGTGTTAGACAACAGATTAAACCAGCTAAAATGAGAATTGTTGATGTATAAGACAGAGCTAAGAATATTACCCAGAATAAAGGCAACAGAGAGGAAGATGTGGACAGGATGAAAAAAGATATGGGGAACAGGATGTGAGAAAATGTTCTAGAAGGAAAGAATAGAGAGGAATATGCAATGATAGTTTCCAGAAATCAGGAGGCCTACTGCGTTCTAACAAGGTACATAAAATTAAATCCGCAAATGGATACATCAAGGTGAAACTGAAAAACAAGCAAGACAAGGAAAATCTTAAAAGCCACCAGAGATAAAAGATAATGAAATTAACTGCAATGGAAAAACAGATTGATAGTCACAATAGACGCTCAGAAGAATGAAATGGTCCCTCCAAAGTCCTGATAAAGAATGCTGTCAATCTGGAATCCCACATTCAGTTTAAATATCAAGAATGAAGGTAATAAAAAGACATCTCTAGACAGAAAAGATGGAGAGGATTTAATAATCCCAGGGATGTGTTTTCGTAAAAGGATATTGAACACAGAAGGAAGGAGTGGGGGACATGGAGTATTATTGAGCTGACAAACTGGTGACATTTGTGGGTAACTCTAAAAAAGCATTTTTCTTAAAAAATAGTAACCAACATTGGGGGAGGGAGTAAAAGCAAGGTGGAAATAAAATAACCAGACAACAAAAATAAATCAGATGGGAAAAGAACAATGAGAGTTAAAACTTTCTAAGGCCCTTGTGTTGCTCTGGAGGATAGGAGAAATAGTGATTAACTACAGAGATGACCTATGCACACTAAAAACTTAAAGGAACTACTAAGAGAATAGAAATGGAATGCACAACTTCCAAACAAGTTGCAGGGAAAATACCTAATTCAATAAAAATAGGAGATATAGGCTGGGCGTGGTGGCTCATTCCTGTAATCCCAGCCCTTTGGGAGGCCGAGGCAGGTGGATCACCTGAGGTCAGGAGTTTGAGATCAGCATGGCCAATATGGTGAAACCCTGTCTCTACCAAAAATAAAAAAATTAGCCAGGTGTGGTGGCGGGTGCCTGTAATCCCAGCTACGCGGGAGGCTGAGGCAGGAGAATTGCTTGAACCCTGGAGGCGGTTGCAGTGAGCCGAGATCGTGCCATTGCACTCAGGCCTGGGCGACAGAATGAGACTCTGTCTCAAAAAAAATAAAATAAAATAAAAAAAATAAGTAGGAGTTACAAACTATAGAAAGTATGTAATAGAAAATAAAAATCACAAAGCTAGATGGTCCAAATAAACCCAAAGATGCTAGTAATTACAATAAACATAAATGGATCATTGCCATTTTTTTTTTACATGAATAAGTTCTTTAGTGGTGATTTCTGAGATTTGGGTGCACCCGTCACCTGAGCAGAGTACACTGTACCCAACGTACAGTCTTTTATCCCTCACCCACCTCCCACCCTTCCCCTCTAGTCCACAAAGTCCACTGCATCATTCTTATGCCTCTGTGTCATCATAACTTAGCTCCCACTTTTGAGTGAGAACATGCGATGTTTGGTGTTCCATTCCTGAGTTACTTCACTTAGAATAATAGTCTCCAATTCCATCCAGGTTGCTGCAAATGCCATTATTTTGTTCCTTTTTATGGCTGAGTAGTATTCCATGGCATATATATATACCACAGTTTCTTTATCTGCTTGTTGATTGATGGGCATTTGGGCTGGTTCCATATTCATTACCATTAATTAATATATAGATATGCTTAAGTTGGATAAAAAACCTGAATGTACCTACATATTATTTATTAAAAACATACCTAAAAAGTAATTTTTGAAAGTAATGGGATGGAAGAAGCTATCCCAGGCAAATGCCAACCAAATATGTACAATATGTACAACTATCAGCATCACATAAAATATCATTCAAGATGATAAAGGATAATTAGGGATTAAAATGATCATTATATAATTATTAAGGGGAAAATTCATCAGCTACGTTCAACTAACAACACAGCTTCAAAAATAAAAAGCAAAGATGATAGAATTACAAGAAGAATTTGACAAATCTACAATCGTAGTGGGAGATTTTAATAGACATTTTTCAGAAATTGATGGATCAAGGAAATGAAAACTGAGTAAGGATATTGAAGTTCTGAACATCATAGTAAATAAGCTTGGTCTAATGCACATGTTGAAGATGTACAACCTAAAAATTAAAATATATTCTTGTTAAATACACAGGGAATATTTATCAAAATATCCCAGGGCTACAAAGTGAGCCTCAACAAATACCAAAGACCCAATATTATGTAGACCACTTCCTCGAGAATGCAATAAAATTGAAAAAGAAATGCAGAAAGGAAGTCAAACCCTCCCCCCACTACATTTGGAAATGATAACACTTTTAAACAATTGATGCACCAAGAAGAAATATAAAGGAACTTAGGAAATATTTAGACAAACAACCCAAACCACTGTCTATTACAGCATGAGGATCTTGATTCCAAAAATTCACGTGGAAGAGTAAAAGGTCAGGTCCAGTAGGAATTTGGGAAATACAAATGGAAACAGCAATGAGATTCTTTGATGCCTATTGGTAGGGTAAAAACTTAGAAAGTCTGACAATGACAAGCATTGGCAAGAATGAGTGAGATGACACGAACCCCCAACCCTGCTGCTGGAGGGGTAAACAGCAGAGCCGTTCTGAAGAGTGGCCGAGCACACGGATGCCCTTCAACTCAGCAAGTAACCTCTAGGCATATACCCTGGAATGTCTACCCCTCATTAGTGGTTGTGAAATCCAAGGGTCTTAAACAGCTTTAAAAGGAAAGAAAGAAAGAAGGAAAGAAAGGAAGAAAGAAAGAAAGAAAGGAAGAAAGAAAGAAAGAAAGAAAGAAAGAAAGAAAGAAAGAAAGAAAGAAAGAGAGAGAGGGAGGGAGGGAGGGAGAGAGAGAGAGAAAGAAAGAACAAAGAAAAAAAGAAAGAAAGAGAGAGAGAAAGAAAGAGAGAGAAAGAAAGGAAAAGAGAGAGAGAAGGGAGGAAGGGAAGGAAAGAAGGAAGGAAGGAGAAAAGAGAAAAAGATCAAGGAAGGAAGGAGAAAAGAGAAAAAGATCAAGGAAGGAAGGAGAAAAGAGAAAAAGATCAAGGAAGGAAGGAAAGAAGAAAGGAAGGAAGGAAGGAGAAAAGGAAGGAGAAAAGAGAAAAAGATCAAGGAAGGAAGGAAAGAAGAAAGGAAGGAAGGGAGGAGAGAAGGAAGGAGAAAAGAGAAAAAGATCAAGGAAGGAAGGAGAAAAGAGAAAAAGATCAAGGAAGGAAGGAGAAAAGAGAAAAAGATCAAGGAAGGAAGGAAAGAAGAAAGGAAGGAAGGAAGGAGAGAAGGAAGGAGAAAAGAGAAAAAGATCAAGGAAGGAAGGAGAAAAGAGAAAAAGATCAAGGAAGGAAGGAAAGAAGAAAGGAAGGAAGGAAGGAGAGAAGGAAGGAGAAAAGAGAAAAAGATCAAGGAAGGAAGGAAGGAGAAAAGAGAAAAAGATGATAGTAAGATTAGGTATTAGTTTTGTAAAAATTGTGCACAAGTAAGTGTATGTGTGTGTGGCAATGTAAATACATTTTTTTCTGGGGGTTGTGGCAAAAAAAGAATTTTGTAGATACTGCTCTAAAGAAACTGTCACATTTGTACACAAGAGATAGAGCTAAGGGTACTCATTGCAGTGTTGGCAGTACTGAAAGCTGAAAAGTTCTAAATGTCTATCCATAATGTAATGGAAAAGAAAAGTTGTCTTTCTCTACTCAGTGGAATATTATCCTGCAGTTAAAATAAGCTAAATATACATATGTCAACATTTGAGAAATCTCAAAATCATAACGTTGAAGACACGTCTTCATGTAGCATGTCTCTAATTTTTTTTTGAGATGGAGTCTAGCTCTGTCACCCAGACTGGAGTACAGTGGCACAACCTCGGCTCACTGCAACCTCCGCCTCCCAGGCTCAAGCGATTCTCCTGCCTCAGCCTCCCGAGTAGCTGGGATTACAGGCGCCCACCAACACGCCCAGATAATTTTTGTATTTTTAGTAGAGACGGGTTTTCACTGTGTTGGCCAGGCTGGTCTCGAACTCCTGACCTCATGATCCACCCACCTCGGCCTCCCACAGTGCTGGGATTACAAGCGTGAGCCACCGCGCCCGGCCAGCATGTCTCTAAATTTTAAAGATGCGTATATATTTGTGGTAAAAATACTGAGATATTCACGGGAAAGATCCACACCAACTTCAGGGTTATGCTTACATCTGAGGCGGAAGGTCGGGAGGAGACTAGGGCGGAGTATGTGCCTGGGGTGACTTGTGCTTTACCTGTAACATTATAGATGTAAACAAATCTGAATCAGATAAGGGAAAATGTGAACACTGGTACAATTTGAGTGCTAGGTACACAGATGGCTATAATCTTATTTACTTTATGTTTGAAATTGTTCACAAATAAAAACGTCAGAATTTAAATGATCACTATAAAAATACCTTCCGAGCATCCCCTACCCAGGAGAGGCTCCCATCTCAAGCCGAATGGCCAGTGTGGACTCGGCCATTTGGAAAGGGATGCTTGCTGGCATTTAAGCTTGAGGCCAGGCAGACAGAATGTAAATTTATATCACACACTCCGACGAAATCAATAGAGGTAATTTCCTGATTCAAACCCATAGATGTGCGTAGAATCATCCAGATCTACAGAGAACTATACACATGGAGAGGGAGCTCAGGGGGGCAATTTAGGGCCTGAATTATTCAGTGTCTGTCTCACGTCGCTGTCACTTTGGGCTTTAGTTGGGGCGTGGTGGAGAAACATGAATTCTGTTGCCGGACTGGACTCAGCTCAGATGCTCTGACAATAAAGACCTGTGATGAATGATAATTGCGTTTTCTCTGCATCAGTGTATGGAAATCTGTTTATAGATTTGGATTACAAATTCTGGAAGCTTTATATGTTTAATGATTTTTTTTCACCGACCTTAAAGTGCTCTGTACTATTTCAACCATGACTCTGCTTAAATTCAGGCCACTGCTGAATTAACTCTGATTTTGCCCTGTGGAATTAACTTTTGTGATTAAGTCAAACTGGAAATGCCACTTATCCCACCCCCAAGTTCTTCTTATGATTTAGAAAACAGGTTGGGAAGGGAAAAGACAGACATTTGGGAAAGAATGGTGAATGGCTGTTTTTCTTCCTTAGGCTTATAGGAGCCCTGTGATTCTAGACTTCATAACTGAAATCCCTGTTGAGCACAGAGTAGTCCATTGGGTCTCATTTGTGTTTCTCAAAGACCGAAGCAACTGGCCATGAAGTTCAGTTCTAATAGGATTAAAAAATACAGCAGCAGGTAGATGGCTACAATATCAAAAGGTGCTGAGTGACATACACATTAGAAAAAGAAAACTGAATTAGCAGTGACATTTTTTGGCCTGAGGGCTTTTTTTTGGACTGTGGAAATAAAGACACACTTTGATCTATTCTACTTAGAACCTGACAAAACATCAAGGCCAGAATATTGCCTCTAATCTTATTAGTCATTTCCAGACTGTATCCCTTCAGCTCCTCTGTTCCTTGCAGATAAGGCTGTGTGTTTCTCTGAATGGACATTTTATGCTTCTGTTACAACAACCCCAGAAGGGAAGTCATGCTGGGCACTCGTAAGGGGTCTCGTGATTGTTGTGGGAAGCAGCTACTGGATTGGCCGTGACTCTGTTAGATTCATGAGATTTAAGTGTTCTTCCTCAGTGTGGAAACACCATCGCCAGAGGAAGTGAAATGTAAAAGATGGCAGGGAAATGACAGGCAAGTGAATATAAAATTATAAAAGACGCAAGCAGCAAAAACTCTCCTGTTGGCTAATAAAATGCTTCATTATTTTCTCAGAAAAAAAAGTAATGAAATGGGACCTACCATTAGACACAATCTAAAAGTGTTTTTTTACATTTTGAAGATAAAAATTATGCCGCAGGCATTCAAGCAAGAAAACAGTTACCTTTGAAAACAAACACAAACACAAAAGGAAAACAAAACAAAATATATATTTAAAAAAAGAATCTGGCAGGCTCAGACCTTTCTGCTTCAGCGACAAACACTGTCACAGACTGAAGTGATGCCTCTACAACTTTGAGAAAAGAAGATTGTAACTCGATATGCATCCAAGTTGGTATTCGGGTATGAAGAAAACAGAAAAGCATTTCAGAGATCCTCTTGTCAGGAGAAACAGGATTGCAAAGATATCCAAGTGAAAAGACCTCAGCATGTAGGACTTTGAAGCCCGCAGTAAGCGTCTGGAATTTTTTCTATGGATTTTAAGCAAAGGAGTGATGTGATTCAATGGATGTTTTAAAAATATTAATCTAGCTTGCTGGGTAAAGAACAGACTAGAAGGCTAAGTGTAGGAGTGGGCATATGAATGAGGGGGTTTTGCACCCACCAGGTAAGAAATGATGAAGGCCTGGACTGGTGCAGTGATTGTCAAGAAAAAGAAGTAGTTGGATATGAGACCTCTTTTCCAGGAAGACTGCATAATAGGAATTGTGGATAAGTTGCCTTGGAGGTGGGCTGGGGTAGTGAAGGACTCAGAGAAGCCTTCAGGTTTTAATTGTGAGTACTGGGAAGCTGGTGTTGCAACTTACGGAAGTGAGAAGGACTAGTGAAGGCATAAATTTAGGGTTGAAGATCAATGGACTGGTTCTGAACCAGTTTGAGAGACTGAAACTTCAGTGAGGCCAAGGAAGTAATTGGACATGCAAGTGTGGAATCATGAAAGATGTTCCCAGCTCCATACCTTTCTGTGCATCCGCTACTGACCCCTACTGATCCCTCACATTCTCCCAAACCTTCCCATTGACCCTCTAGGGCTCCTATACTGTGATCAATAAATGCACCATCCTTCAAATATTACCTCATCAGTGAAGCATGTCCTAATCCAATATAAAGCAACATATTTCCCCTCCTTGGCCATCACCATCTGGCTTACTTTCTATGTTTATTTGTTTGTTTGTTTCGCCACACTAGACGGCAAGTCCATGAGATCATTGACTTTGTTTTGTTCACCAGTGTATCCCTACAGTCGAGAACAGTGCCTTGCATGATTGGGTAGATGCCCAATCAATATTGTTGCTGGTGACTAGAAGCCCAATAATCTGGATTTTAGCCTCAATTATAACGTCGTGAAACTTCCCTGAGATTCTTCTTAGTTGTGAGGTGGGGATCTTAGTGTCTGCCCTGCTAGCTCATGGAGCTGCTGTGACCATCAGGTGAATTATTGGACCCCATGGCTTAACTGCTAGAAAGATTTTGACATTTTCACAGGCCATGGCCTCATGCCAAAAATGCGAAGCAGACTGCATGAAACTCAATAAGGGGATGTTTGACAATTTTCTATATGATTTCCATGGGGGGAAAATGGGGTGGGGGATGAGGGCCCTAAAGAAATGAGCGTGTTCTCATAGGGAGTTCTCTGGTGAGTTCTGATCTTAAAATGATCAGTACATAAAAGATAGAAAGAGGTGCTTAAAACTAAAGGTGAATACAAAAGAGTGGTGAGCATGGACAAGAATGGTCTCGGGGAGTTTGTGGCAAAAAAAAAAAAAAAGAGCTAAGGCTTGCAAAAATGTTAAGGACGAGAAGAATTGATTTGGGGGCACATTTGAAGCAAGAAGATAAATTACAGGACCGCGCCAACACATGACAGATTAAAAGCAGCACTTGGGTTTTAGTTTGTTTCCGGCAAAGAAAATGCTCTTCAGATTTGAAATAAGAAATCCTTAAAAACGAAACTTAAAGACCAAGGGAGGTATGAAAAGAGACAACATTTTGCTTTGTTAAATAATATTGAGCCCCCGAACCTGGCATAACTGTCAACTCAATCTCCTTCTCCATTTCTTGGGCCTTTTATTTTCTCCCCCAGGCTTGGCACTCAGGTTAGCTATTGAGTTCTGGGTGTATTTCCGGCCAGTTCTTAGCTCAGTCTGATGAAAGAGAGATTAGGGAACCACATCAGATGAAGACTTGTTAGAAAGAATAACTCTGCTCTAGAGGGGCCTCTCCTGATCCTTATGATCAGGCTTGAAGAGGCATGACCAGTTGAGCATGTGCATGCTTGTTTGTGTGTTTGTACGTGCACGAGGGTTATTTCTTTACAAGGGAGGTCAAGGGAGGTTTCTTCTGATGATAGGAAACTAGACTTTATTGTCACCATCTCCTCTGCCAGAGGTAGGAGAGTTTGGCGAACACGAGGGCTGTGGTCCCCTGCTGCTAAGAAGCACAACATACACATACTTTTGGATTTTCCAGCCTCTTACTAAATACTCCAAGAAAAGTTGATAAGGCCTTGCCTTCTCTTCTGGGAGCCCCACAAAACATTTGTGAGATAGAGAAAACCCTGGGAAGGTTGTTGGAGTTAAACCCCAAATAAAAATTGCTAATCTTATTCAACAAAGTAATGTTTCTGCATCGTGGTTGTTGGATAGCAATATTGACCATCTCAGATCATAGTTCTGACCTAATACAATATAGCAAATTTAGCCTTTATCTTGGTCCTTAAAATGCTAATCCTGCATCAAGATCTCTCAATACCCTTTTTCCCCTGTGTTAGGTCATTTTTGTGTTGCTATAAAGGAATACCTGAGACTTCGTAATTTATAAAGAAAAGAGGCTCAATTGGCTCACGGTTCCACAGGCTGTACAGGAAGCATGGTGCTGGCATCTGTTTCTGGTGAGGCCTCAGGAAACTTACAATCATCGTGAAAGGTGATGGGGTGCCAAAGTGTCACATGGTGAAAGTGAGAGAGCAGGAGAAAGACAGGGAAGGTGCCAAACTCTTTTAAACAACTGGCTGTCACGTGATCTGAGCAAGAACTCACTCATCACCAAGGGGAAGGCACTAAGCCATTCATGAAGGATCCGCCCCCATAACCCAACAACTTCCACCAGGCCCCACCTCCAATACTGGGGATTACATTTCAACACGAGATTTGGAGAGGACACACATCCAAACTATATCACCCCCATTCTTTATAAGGCCATTGGTGGAAAACATCTTTCAAAATTTAACTATCACTTGATACTTGGGAATGACTCATTATCCATGTTGATATGCTTTAATCCACTTATAAATGCTTTGTTCTAGAGCCCCTTTCCCCTGCTGACCTGGCCTTAGTGTGTTCTTCTTGACCTCTCTTTTTCATTGTCCGAACTCATAATTTACCCATTATCTCCCTGGTGGAATGACCTTGGCTGTTGCACTCTGGACTGGACACTGGGTTTCCATGTGGTCATCTGACTATTGGGATCCAACTCTGCCCCCAAGGGGTTCCCATTTTCCCAGTTAGTAAGAATGGGATTCCATTTTGATTTCCATTCTTTGCTCTTATTCTTACAAATTGTTTATGCTTTCCATCTCCCATCCCCATGGGGATCACCATCCTCACTCTTGCTGGCGGCTGGGTCCTGCCACCCACAAGGAGGCTTCTCAGACAGTGCCTTTCTGTCTTCCTGGGCTTCTGAGCACTGTTCCTCTGGGGGCTCTCCCCTGACACCCATATGCCATTACTCTCCACAGCAGCCAGGGTGCCAGGCAACCACTTAGTTACACCATGACCACGGAAGATCATACAGGCATACACACAGGAGACCACATCTTGCTAATTGAACCTGGGAGGTCAGCCCCTGCTACTTTCCATGTCTTTTCCTTACTAGAAACAGAATCTAGTCTAGATTATGGTCTGTCTGCCCTGCCTACTTGATCTTGCTGTGAATTCTCTATTCTTCCTGACTCCCTTTGAACGATAGTAGTTCTAAAACTTATAAATATGGGATTCCCAAACAACTGCCAGTAACCATTTGACTTTTTGACAGGCAGATGCTGAGTCTCATTCATCTTTCTAGCCTGGGGCAGCGAGCAGCTACAATGTTTATAGGAAGAAAAATCAGGAGACTAGAACAAGAGGCTAATCTTTGTTTCCATAAAATGGCAAATTCCAACAAGCAAAATAGAGTTAAGTGGTGAAACCCTAAATAAACCCTTGCAATTTTGGTTTGTGGTACTTGGGAAAGAATGACAGTCACCAAGTGAGTCATATGAAATTGACCTAATTCCCTGATTCCGAGGGGATAAGTCTCGGGGGTATAATATAGAGGTTGTCTATCTCAATCTTTTTAAAAACTATATATGTTTATATATACATATATATGTTATGTATGTATGTGGTAAATACAATTCTCCATTTTAACCATTTTTAGATGTACATTTCAGTGGCAATAAGTATATTCACATTGTTGTATGACCATCACCATCATCCAGCTGCAGAACTTTTTCACCCTCTCAAATTGAAAATCTACCCAGTAACTTCCCATTCTCTCTTCCCCCAGCTGCTGGCAGCCACTGTTCTACTTTGTCTCTATGCATTTAGTGACCCTAGGAACCTCGTATAAGAGGAATCATACAATATTTATTCTTTTGCTACTGCTTTATTTCACTTAGCATAAGGTCCTCAAGATTCATCCATGTGTAGCATGCATCAGAATTTCCCTTCTTTTTAAGGCTGAATAATAGTATATCTCAGTTTTAAAAAGACAGAGTTTCTCCCACTATCCTATAGGAATTCAGACAGAGGGATGAGATATGGAGACATCACAGAATCCATGCATCTGGAGGAAGCTGTCTCGGGAAGTTCCACAATATTCTTGTCCAGGCTCTGCCCTGGACAACATTTCTAACAATGACTTAAGTAAGGCCCCAGGAGGGCTGCCAAGCTAATAACTTGTGAATGACACAAAATTGGGCCTAATAGCTCTTCCGTCAAATGATGAATACAGATTCAAAATATGTAGTATACTAAAATGGTCTACTGAAACAAAGGAGATGAAATTTAACAGCAATACATATAATTTACTAAAATTAGGCTAAGGTGCACACGCGCCTATGTGTGCATGCACAGAAGTGCGTGAACAAACACACACACAACTGCAGAAGCACGGGATGGACTACAACTGCCTAAGAGCAGCACAACCAAGAGTTGTGGGTTTTAATTGACCACAGACTCAGTCTGAGTCAACAGTGGGATGTGGTTGCCAAAAAAGCAACTAATGTGATCCAGAGGGGCATTAATAGAAGCACGACGTTCAGAGCAAGGCAGGAAATAGCTGGTCTGCAGGCCCTGATGGTTAGGCCGCCCCTGGAATGTTGTGCTCAACTGGGTACTGCAGTTTATGAGGGATATAAAAAAAAAAAACTGGAGGGCATTTGGCAGAGGGTGAATGGTCTGGAAAACGTGCTGCATAAGAAGCAGGAAGCAAACCAGGAAATTTAGCAGATAGAAAAGAGAACTTTGCAGGGGCCACACAGAGGGTGGCTTTGCAATTTGGAAGGCCTGCTTCTGTGTAGCATTAGGAAATGCAACCGTTACTCATGGATGGAAGTTCTGGGCAGGGTAATTTCTACTTAGAAAATAAACAACTTCCCTATAGTTGGACCTATCAAATAATAGAATGGGCTCTTTCAGGAGTGAGTTGCTCATCATTGGAGGCAATTACTCAGTTGTTTTAGAACGGTGGTTCTCTTAACCACGTGTGGTAGCTCCTGCCTATAGTCCCAGCTACTTGGGAGGCTGAGGCAAGAGAATTGCTTGAGCCCAGGAGTTTGAGGCTGCAGTGAGCTATGATCACGCCACTGTACTCCAGCCTGGGTGACAGAGTGAGACCCTGTCTCTAAATTTTAAAAAAAATTATTTTAAAAAGAACAGTGGTTCTCGGGGGCAATTTTGCCCCCAAGGGGATACTTGCCAATGTCTACAGACATCATTGATTTTCACAAATGGGGACTGGGAGGTGCTGCTGGCTCCTATTGGGATGCTGCTACAATGCACAGGATAGCCCCAGAGGTTGAATGATCCAGCTCAAGATATTAATAGTGCTCACCTCTGGCTGTAATCCTAGCACTTAGGGAGGCTGAGGCTAGTGGATCACCTACAGGAGTTTGAGACCAACCTGGCCAACATGGTGAAAGCTTGTCTCTCTAAAAATACAAAACAAAACAAAATAAACAAAACAAAAAATAGCCAGGCGCGGTGGCAGGCACCTGTAGTCCCAACTATTTGGGAGGCTGAGGTCGGAGAATTGCTTGAACCCAGGAGGTGGAGGTTGCAGTGAGCTGAGATCACACCACTGCGCTCCAGCCTGGGTGACAGATCGAGACCCCATCTCAAAAAAAAAAAAAAAAAAAAAAGTGCTGAGCTCAAGAAACTTGCTTTTGCTTTAGAAGGAATCCTATACTAAAATATTTTAGACCAGAGGACCAAGGCTGCTGGATCTGGCCTGCAGATTATTTTTTATTTTTATGTCATTTGCCAGCATTTAAGAATCCTGAGATTTAACATAAATATTTGGACTTCCAGACTCTCTCTTTTTTTTTTTAAATTCCCGTATTTGGCAATGTCTGGCCCACCTGCCTGGAGGTGAGTAATTGCCTGGAGCTGAGTAGTTGGTGTCTCTTTTGAATGAATCAAGAGCTCTCTAGTTCATCACAGTCCTCACCTGATAACCTGTCTGACATTGCAGGCATTTGAGTTTGTGACCTCATGTGCCTTTCATCCAGTGAATCTCAACTCTGCCGTGCATTTGATCACCTGGGGAGCTTTGAAAAACCCCAGTGCTGAGGCTGCACCCTCGACCAATTACATCAGACTCTCTAGGGGTGAGACCCAGGCTTTGGTGTGTTTTATAGGTCTCCAAGATGGTTCCAAGGTGAAGGCAAGGGTAAGAACCACAATTGTAGATAATGTAACACTATAACCTGCAGGAAAAAGTTCTAAGGCAAGCTGACTCATACCCAGCAGATAGAACTTTCTAATAGTTAAAGAATTTAAGGCCGGGCACGATGGCTCATGCCTGTAATCCCAGCACTTTAGGAGGCCAAGGCGGGTGGATCACGAGGTCAGGAGATTGAGACCATCCTGGCCAACATGGTGAAACCCTGTCTCTACTAAAATAGAAAAAAATTAACCCGGGCATGGTGGGGCGTGCCTGTAGTCTCAGCTACCTAGGAGGCTGAGGCAGAGGAATTGCTTGAACCCGGGAGGTGGAGGTTGTAGTGAGCCAAGATCGCGCCACTGCACTCCAGCCTGGTGACAGAGCAAGACTCTGACAAAATAAATAAATAAATAAATAAATAAAATAAACAACTGATTGGGCTGCTTTGGAAGTGACCTCCAAAAGAAAACCTGACTTTGGGATGTCTGAAAGGGAGAGAGATGGAATGAAAGCAGTTTGTTACCCTGAATGTGGATGCTCTGGGGAGTATCCCCAAGTACCCAGGTCCAGGTACCATTCTGGAAGATTATAATCTAGTAAAGTCAGGTGGGCTGAGCAGGTATAAGTTGAAAAACCTCCCCAGATGATGAGTTTATAAGAGCTCTTAAAAGAGAACACTAAGTCAGATGGATGACCTCTACAAACCCCCAACCTCAACCTTGGGAATGACTCAGGTCCTTAAGAAAAAAATCTATGTAAACCTTCAAATACACGCTGAAATAGAAACATAAGTAACATAACCATTATGGGTTGGGGAGTATTTTTACTGAGGTTAAACTTGAAGCTGCAAGATTCTCTGGTTTGGTCTAACATTAAGGCCTAAAGGATGCCAGGAAATAACTGTTTTTTAGGTTCTAGCTCTTTTTCTGACACACTTGACATGTGATGCTTGCTTAAATAACCTCTCAGAAAGCAGCTTATGTACTTGTGTGAGAGTTCTTAGCTTCAAGCAACAGATATGATGCTTGATGCCGCCTGCTTTAAGCTAAAAGGAATTCTATTAAATGGATGACAGTGTAAGAAGATTTCTGAATATGTTTGCTTTAATAAAGTATGATACATCTATGCAATGGCTCGTTTTAAAGCCATTAGAAACTATTAAACAGATTTAAACTTTTTGGTATGTAAAGATGTTCATAATAGTGGTGTTTGTGAGAATATTATGTTACACAAAAGAATATAAGCTATGATATGATTTATCTTTATAGTAGCATATTATATATATTGATAGTTATATACAAAACCTGGAAAAAAACTGAACCTCAACCTAAACCTCATAACTTATTTAAAAAATATCGCAAGGACAGAAAACGAAACACCGCATGCTGTCACTCATAGGTGGGAATTGAACAATGAGAACACTTGGACACAGGAAGGGGAATATCACACACCAGGGCCTGTTGTGGGGTGGGGAGAGGCGGGAGGGATAGCATTAGGAGAGATATCTAATGTAAATGACGAGTTAATGGGTGCAGCACACCAATATGGCACATATATACATATGTAACAAACCTGCATGTTGTGCACATGTACCCTAGAACTTAAGGCATAATAAAAATATATATATATAAAAATAAAAAAATAAAAATTAACTTAAAGTAGATCATAGTCTTAAATATTAAATGTAAATCTATAAAAATTTTAGAAAAAAGAAAAATCTTAAAGATCTCGGCTTTTAGACTTAACACCAAAGGCATAACCTGTAAGAGGAAAGATTGATAAATCTGACCTCATCGGAATTAAAAACTTTTGCTTTGCAAAAGACCTCATGAAAAGAATGAAAACAAAAGCTGCAAACCGGGAGAACATACTTGTAAACCACATATCCAACAAAGGACTAGTAGCTAGAATATCTAAATGATTCTCAATACTCAACAGTAACAAAAAATAAGATTAGAAAATTGGCAAGGACATGAAGAGACATTTCAACAGAAAGGACATACATTTGAAAAATAAGCATAAGAAAAGATGTTCAGCATCATTAGCCATCAGGGAAACATGTTGAAATCACAATAAGGTATCACCACACATCTATCAGAATGGCTAAAATAAAAAACAGTGACAACATCAAATGCTGTCCAGGATGTGGAGAAACTGGACCACTCACACATTGTAAGATTGTATGGTTGCTCTGGAAAACAGCTTGGCTGGTTTTTTATAAGCTATTGGGTTGGTGCAAAAGCAATTGCACCATTGACTTTGCATTTTGGAAGGCCTGCTTCTGTGTAGCATTAGGAAATGGAACTGTTACTCATGGATGGAAGTTCTGGGCAGGGTAATTTCTACTTAGAAATTAGGTTGCTTTTGCACCAACCTAATAAACATGGAATTACTATTTTATCCAGCAGTTGAGCTCTTGGGCGTTCATTTATCCATGGAAATGAAAACTTATGCCCACACAAAAACTTATACACAAATATACATATCAGCTTTATTTGTAGTAGGGAAAAACTGGGAACAACCCAAATGTCCCTCAATGGGTGGATGATAAGAAGCTGTGATACACCCATACCATGGAATACTACTCAGCAATAAATAAGAATGAACTATTGATACGTGTCACAATTTCGATGGATCTCCAGGGAATTATGCTAACTGAAGAAAAGGCCAGTTCCAAAAGATTACATGCAATATGATTTCATTTATGTAACACTGGTGAAAAGATGAAATTTTAGAAGTGGAGAACAGATTAGAAGTTAGGGATGGGGAGTGGGGCAGGAGAGAGGTGGGTGAGGTTATTAAAGGACACATGAAAGATCCTTGTGATGATGGAACTGTTCTGTATCTTGACTGTGATGGTGGATAAATGAACACAATAATACCATATTCAACTAAATACACACACAAATGAGCACAAGTAAAACAGGGGAAATCTGAATAATATCAGTGGATTAATGTCAAGGTCTAAATTTAAAAATTAGCTGGATGCATTTGCCTGCATCTGTAATCCCAGCTACTCAGGAGGCTAAGGCAGGAGGATCGTTTGATCCCAGGAGTTTGAGGCTACAGGGAGCTATGATAGCATCACTGCACTCCAGACTCGGCAACAGAGCAAGACCCTGTCTCAAAAAAAAAAAAAAAAAAAAGGTCAATATCCTGGTTGTGATACAATAGTTTTCCAAGATGTCACCACTGGGAGAAATTGGGTAAAGGATACATGGGCTCTCCTTGTATTATGTCGTACAATTGCATGTGAATCTACAAATTACTCAAAATAGCAAATTGAATTAACAAAAAGAAAAATGGGTCAGGTACAGTGGCTGACGCCTGTAATCCTAGCACTTTGGGAGGCCGAGGTAGGCGGATCACTTGAGGTCAAGAGTTTAAGACCAGCCTGGCCAATAAGGCAAAATCCCGTTGCCATCAAAAATACAAAAATTAGCTGGGTGTGGTGGCGGGGCCTGTAATCCCAGCTACTTGGGAGGTTGAGGCATGAGAATCACTTGAACCCTGGGGGTAGAGGTTGCAGTGAACTGGGATCACACCACTGCACTCCAGCCCAGGTGACAGACTGAGACTCTGTCTCAAAAAAATTCATAATAAAAATATAAAAGAAAAATGCATTGGCATATAAAGATGTCCACAATATACGGTTTTGTGAAAAAATTAGGTTGCAAAGCAGAATATACTCTATGAATTATTTTTGTAATTTTGTATGTCTATATTAATGGTTACATATAAAATCTGGAAGGTTATGCTGAAATGATAACAGTCAATTCTTCAGGGTGACAAGATTGTGGGTAACTTTAATTGTAACTTTCTTTTATTTCCTTGAGTGTTCTATTGTTTTTTCTACTGGACACATGGACTCAAGGGGTGGAAATAAGTAAACCTTTTAAAAGAGAGAATAAAATGCTGTTGGGTAGTTCATAGAATTGCTGAGATGTCTGGAGAAAGGGAAAAGTGGAGACAAGCAAAAAAAGAGGCTGACCAGTAGAAATCTCTGGCCATATCCTCTCAAAAATGGTCTAGTTAGGGTACTGCTGCTGCTACCCCAGCAGTAGATGCAGCTTGCCATCAACACCACCAGCAATGGACTCTGAAAGACCCCATTCTTCGTGCTACCACTTGCCTTTGGAATGTTAATCTTGCTGCAGCTGCCACTGCCATGCAGACAAACACACACACACAGCCACAAAGACACACACACACACTGCCACACAGACACACACACACACACTGCCTCCCCCCACCACACACACAAACAGTGGTGGGTGGAGACTCTCTGTAGTCCTTGCTTCCTTGTGTCTTTTGCTCCTGATTCAAAGACCAGAGCAGGTGCACAGACAATTCCTAACATTTTCAGGACTTAGAGCAAGAGCACAATTGAAGGCCAAACTACTGTATGCTTAAACATTTAGAAGTTATAAACCAAACCTAGGAAACTATTACATAAAATATATTCTATAATATGCCTTCAGAACATCCTGAAAGGCCCAGTTCAAATGAAGGTGATGGCAGAGGGAGAGCCAGCCTGGTAGGTGGCTCAACCCCTTTCTCTTTCCACCACTGACTCGTTCTCCACTTTAAGTTGCCTTATACACAGGCATGTAAGCATCCAAGCACCATCCACACACTACCCCCATCCTGTCCCTGCAAACAGTCACTTCGTGGCCACCCTTTGAGCCTCAGGATATGCATGCAGTCCACCCTCTAAATAATGGATTTGGGGAGGAGACTGTACAGGCTTGGAAATGAATTGAAGCTGTTTGACCAGATATTCCAGGATCCAGGATACCTGGAATGTGGTCTATAAGGTGGGCAGGGGGGGTCATAGATGAACACATCTCCTGGCCCTGTGGACTCCTCACCCCATGGGAAGGGACACAGCCAGAGTCTGGATTTCCCTAGCTGCAAGGGAGTCCAGGAAAGTGAAATCTGACACTTTTCAGCTTAAGGTTTTGCCTGCCACCAAGACTTAGTGTAGGGAATTGCATAAACATAGGAAAGGTGCTCAAAGCTGAGCAGCTTAAAAGAACAAATGTCCACTATGATATTATCCAATTGTCGGCTCAGAAATTCATAGATTGATGATGATGACAATGCTATTGATCACAATAAAGGCTAATCTTTTTTGAACATTCACTTCTATCAGGCAGCATGCAAATCTCTTTACACTTTTTACTCTCATGACAACTCTAAGACATAGTCCCTTTTGTTATTGCCACCCCCAACAGAGATAAGAAAACCGAGATGGTAAGAGGTTAGATCACTTAGTCAAGGTCACTTGGGTAGCAAGTAGCACAGACAGGCTTGAATACAAGTACGCCTGGTTCCAGGAACTCCAAGGTTTACCTCTACACTGGACATCCTCTAGAGAGTAGGCTGGTAGAGATCACCTCCAAATCAACATATATGTTAGCAGCTATCTGCCTTAACTATAGAAAACCTGACCAATGCTGCCTACAAATGTTTGATTCTGAACCAGAAAACCCATTAGGATGAGTTCACTGGATGGTGAAAACATCCTAGGGTGCTCTGTAAGCTGAGTTCAATGATACTTTAACACTGTTAGCCTGCTACCCTCTCCTCTCACCAGCCTTCTTTAGGACCAAGGATTCACAGAGGTTGAAGTTGCAGAGATAGGACTGAGAAATCCCAGTAGAAACTGAAAAAAACATGGTGAGTGACTGGGAGGTGAACATGTGTTACCCTTGTGGTGGAGAGAAGGCAGGCATTCTCTGGTCTCTTTCTTTTCTTCTCCCCCTCTCCACACCCCAAGTGTAGGATTAGGGTGGGATGCTTTTAGGGATTATTAATAAAGAACAGATTTTTCAGTTTTGCGGGAAGATGATAAGAGATGGGAGAACCTTTCATAGCTGAGGCATTTTAGAGGAATTTAGTTTGGGGGCACTTGAGCAGAGTGGTTGAGGGGAGGGTGAGGTAAGCCAGGTTCTGCTGGGGATACTGGCATTACCTTGCTGCTTAAGGATAGATCCTAGGCAAAAGTTTCCCAAAGCTGTCTTCCCATTGGAATCACCTGGTGCACTTTTTAGAAATACAGCTTTTGAGCTGCGATTCAGACCTACCAAGTTGGAATCTCTCAGGGAGATTTATTGGTCAATAGATGGTTAGCCTGGTTTAAAGGAAAAAGGATCCAAAATCATATTCAAGCTTACTTTTGGGTCCAGCTAAGATAGGAAAAGAGGCATATAAAGGCTCTCACTAGAAATAAAAGCAAACATTGGGCTAGAGCAATGTTTCTCCAAGTGTGGGGTGTTTACGAGTACCAAGATAATATTAGGCATCACACAGCCATCAATTCACAAAGAAAGTTCTTCTTTTACAAACCTCTTTCAGTCCTTCTGATTACATCAAGAACTATCAGTCTGGTGCTAAAATGTCTTTAACGCCTCTCTTGCTTATTCCTCTTCTAAACAAAGAGAAAGCAAATCTCAAATTCAGCTTCTGGCAGATAACAGGATCTAAAGCATGTTATAACATTGTGTTGTGTGTATTGAATGTGTGGTTTTTTTAAATTATACTTTAAGTTCTGAGATACATGTGTGAAAGTGTTTTTAAAGATTTTATTTCTTGATTACTTTTTAATTGTCACATAATAATTGTACATATTTATGGGATACAATGTGATGTTTTGATACATGTGCACCTTGTGTAATAATCAAATCAGGGTGTTTAGCATGTCCATCACTTCATACATTTATCATTTCTTTGTGGTGAGAACATTCAAGTCTTCTCTTCTGGCTATTTTGAAATATGCAATACAATATTGTTAACCATGCTCATCCTACTGTGGAACAGAACATTAGAACTTATTTTTTCTATTTAATGTAACTTTGCATGCATTGAGCAATCCCTCTTTATCCCACTTCTCCCCTTCCCTTCCCTGGTGACCATTATTCTACTCCCTACATCTATGTGATCAATTTCTGTAGATTCTACCTGTGAGTGAGATCATGCTGTATTTGTCTTTCTGTGCTTGGATTATTTCACCTAACATGATGTCCTCCAGGTTTATCCATGTTGCTGCAAATGACAGGGTTTCATTCCTTTTATGGATGAGTAGTATTCCATTATGCATATATACCACATTTTCTTTATCCATGAATTCATTGCTGGACACTTAGGTTGATTCCATATCTTGAATATTATGAATAGTACCATGCTCCTAGTTATTGGGAGAATTAATATTGTAAGAATGTCTATACTACTGTAGTGATCTACAGATTTAGTGCAGTCCCTATCAAAATACCAATGACATTCTTCACAAAAATAAAAAAAAACTTAAAATTCATATGGAACAACAAAAGACCTCAAATAATCAAAGCATTCTCGAGCAAAAAGATCAAAGCTGGCAGCCTCACACTACCTGACTTCAAATTATATTTCAAAGCTATGATAGCCAAAATAGCATGGTACTGACATAAAGATAGACACATCGACCAGTGGAGCAGAATAGAGAACACAGAAAAAAATCCGCCAACTTACAGCCAGCTGACTTTTGAGAAAGGTACCAAAAACACAAAATGGAGAAAAGGCAGCCTCTTTAATAAACGGTTCTGAGAAAACTGTATTCACATTCAGAAGAATGAGGCTAGACCACTATCTCTCAACATGTACAAAAATCAACTCAACATGAATTAAAGACTTAAATGTAAGACCTGAAACAATAAAACTCCTGGAAGAAAACATAAGAGAAATGCTTCATGGCTGGTCCGGGCAAAGATTTTTTAGTGACCTCAAAAGCACAGTAATGAAAGCAAAAATAGACAAATGAGATAACCCCAACCAAAAAGCTTCTTCACAGCAAAGGAAATAATCAACAGAGTGAAGAGGCAACTTAGATAATGGTAGAAAATATTTGCAAACTATGGATCTGACAAGGGATTAATATCCAGAATATATAAGAAATTCAAATGACTCAGTAGAAAAAGAATCTGATTAAAAATGGACAAAAGATCTGAATAGACATTTCCCAAAAGAATGCATACAAATGGTCAACAGGTATTTGAAAAAAATGCTTAACATCACTAATCATCAGGGGAATGCAAATCAAAACCACAATGAGATACCATCTCACACCTGTTAGAATGACTATCATCGAAAAGACAATAAAAATGCTGGTATGGATGTGGAGAAAGAGGAGCACTTATATACTCTGGGTGAGAGTGTAAATTGGTACTGCCATTATAGAAAACATATAGAAAAGTATACAGAACATTATAGAAAACATGTAGAAAAGTATAGAGGTTTCTCGCAAAATCATGAAATAGCTGGATGTGATGGCTCATGCCTGTAATCCCAGCACTTTGGGAGGCTGAGGTGAGCAGATCACATAAGGCCTGAAGTTTGAGACCAGCCTGGCCAACATGGTGAAATCCCATTTCTACTAAAAATACAAAAATTAGCCAGGCGTGGTGGCTTATGTCTGTAATCCCAACTACTTGGGTGGCTGAGGCACAAGAATTGCTTGAACCAGGGAGGTGAAGGTTGCAGTGAGCTGAGGTTGCACCACTGCACTCCAGCCTGGTGGCAGAGTGAGACCTTGTTTCAAAAAAATAAAAAATAAAAAATAAAAAATAGAACTACCATATGATCTAGCAATCCCACTATGGAACATATAGTCAAAGGAAATATATCTAATATGTTTTAAAGGTTACCTTCAATTTTGGGAAATGAGACTGCTGTTTTATTTTGAGTAATGATAAGTTTCACTTTTGAAAAATCATGCACATATGTATTTTAGAGTCAGATAACATTAAAAAGTTACATAAATAATAATACTATTTGTACATTGGTGGGGGAGAAATCATGAAGGTGCAATGTGAATGACTGAAGTTTGGGAAACATTGGAATATTCCCTAGTCCCCGTTTTCTCTCTCTTGGGAATCAGAGTGCAGTGGAAACAGTACAGAAAATTAGACTCCCAATAAACAGTAGCCACGTATTTTCTTCTTCTTTTTTAAGTCTTTCATCTCATACTCAGAAAGAGGGACTCCAGACATTAACACATCACTTCCTTTAATATGTTAATACATTATCTGAAATGAACTATAGTCCTTGCAGCTCACAATGTCATTAGATAGGTTGAGGAGGTTGGGAGTCAGAGACAGAGCCATGGGGGGGATTAGGGAAGAGGCAGTTGCTGATGAAAATAAAAAAGCCTTTTCATGGTCTGCAGCTAAGCCTCAAGCCATCACTGTGTGAGCAAGGAAGTACTAGAAAGTTGTTTGTGTGAAATGGAGTGTAAACTGCAAACGTCTTATTGAGGTGGAGGAGAGGGGAACAGAGACTGAAGGAGTAGAAATGGAAAGCATGGACAGAAGGAGGGACCCACTTAGGAAGCATTAGCACCCCCTGCAAGTGGGAGACATTGTAGGAGTTTGGCTGTCCTTCTTTATACAATACCAGATAAGGCTGCAGTTCACACTCTGTGTGTTTGCTGCTGCATCTCCATCAACAGATGGAGGTAATAAAGAGGCTAAAAATGGAAACGTGAACTGGTGTGTAGCTTTGTTGTGGCAGTTTGTCACAGAACAGTCAAGAATCCCTTGCTGGTAAGTGTGGTTGTCAAGGTCACCCATGACCTCTTTGGTATTAAATCTAATAGACACTTGGCTGGCTGGGCTGTAGCATGGCCAGGGAGGCCAGTCTCTTGGGGCATGAGGTTGGCCGCTGCCCATTTGTGATCAGTTGGACTCAAGCAATGGCATGGCTTCCCTGGGGTTTCTTGAGGGCTGTTAGTTCCAGCTTTGGTCAATAGCCTATATAATTAATCAACTTAAAGGGAGTGCTGGTTAGCAATGGTTCTTGACCCTGGCTGCACATTAGAATCACCCAGGGAGCTTTAAAAATAATACCAATTCCTAGGCCTCACCCAGGACCAATTGAATCAGAATCTTGGGAGGAGGAGGAAGCCTCAGATATCAGCAGTGTTTTAAAGCTCCCCAGGTGATTCTAATGTGCAGCCAGGGTTAAGAATCACTAGGTTAGATCATTAAGGGGCCAAGTTCAGATACACATGCCTAATACCAGTCATGTATTGGTTCTCTTCCCAGTCAACTCTGAATTGGGATAGGGGGTTGACTTTGAGAGAACAAGAGACCGTAATTTATTTAAGCAATAACCAGTTAATGCAGCATTAAGATTGCTTCCAATTTTATTTATATAATGTGACAAACACTAACCTTATGCATAAACCTTACTTTGGGAGGCCAAGGCGGGTGGATCACGAGGTCAAGAGATTGAGACCATCATGGCCAATATGGTGAAACCCTGTCTCTACTAAAAATACAAAAATTAACTAGGCATGGTGGTATGTGCCTATAGCCCCACCTACTCAGGAGGCTGAGGCAGGAGAATCACTTGAACCCGGGAGGTGGAGATTGCAGTGAACTGAGATCGCACCACTGCACTCCAGCCTGGTGACAGAGCAAGACTCCGTCTCAAACAACAACAACAACCACAACAACAACAAAACCTTTGTACGTATCTATAATCTATTTTTTGGGGGTACACTTCTACCCTGAGTGAAAAGGTATGAATACTTTCTAATGTGTGTTATACACACTGCTGAATTGTCTTCCAGAACTACTGCTCCAATGTAAACACTCAAGTATGTATGAGTGTGCCCTTTTTATATAGGTTTGATAGCCTGGAGCTTATCATTTAAAAAATATTGGCCAATTTGATAGGTAAATTCTATTGAACATTAGTTTATCTTGTACTTCTTTAATGTCCAAGTTTCTCATTTGTATATTAGTCATTTCTTCTTTTCTGAAATGGCTACTTATATGCTTTGACCATTTTCCCATTGTGGTGTTCATTTTTTCTTACTGATTTTTTAAAGACTTTACATATTAAGGCTATTAAACTTTGTCATATGTTGCTGATATTTTTCTTGGTGTCATGAGTTTTTAATTTAATTTTATTATTTTTTTTTAATATACAGATGTAAAGTGTTTACGTAGTCAAAATTTACCATCTTACCTTTATGGTATCTTCCACTGCTTTTATGTTTAAAAAGTTCTTTATCTCAGAACGTTCTTATAATATTTTATGGGTTAATTTCTTTTTTTATTATTATACTTGAAGTTCTAGGGTACATGTGCACAACCTGCAGGTTTGTTACATATGTATACACGTGCCATGTTGGTGTGCTGCACCCATTGAGTCGTCATTTACAATAACATTAAATGTTTCAATTCATTTGGAATTTGTTTTGTTTTGGCAAACAAATTGCCTCAACTCCAACAACCAAAAGCCTACCCCATCACATATTTAACAAATATTGAAGTCTTATTACTTGACTTTCTTTTTCGTCCTTTTGATCAATTTGTGTATTCTGTCTTAGGCTAATACCACACTGTTTAATTATCATGACTTTATAACTTATTTTAAGATCTGGGAAAGTACAACATTCTTCTTTTTATTTTCAAAAGCATTTTGTCTATACTTTAGATTCTTTTTACGTAAATATTATTCCTAAAAAATCTTACAAAAACATTATAAAATTAAAACATGTTAAGACCATATTGTTTGTAAATATTGACAAATGGATCTATGGAATCAAAGAGAGAGTCCAGAGATTAGAAACATAGCATTTTATATCAGCAAGAAAAGAGAATATCATTCAGTAATTGATTTTGGACAATTACTTATACAATTGGAAAAAAATTAATGCACTACTTCAGATTATAAACAAAAGTAAACTCCGGGAAAATTGGTAAAGTCTGTGAAGAGTCAATTGACAAACCAGAAATCAAGTATGGTCATGAAACATATAAAAAGATTCTCACCCTTGGTGATAGGGAAATGCAAATAAAAGCAACAATTTGATATCATTTTTTCTTCCATACGATTGGCAAAATTATTTTTAAGATATGATTTCTTAATATGTAGAATTGTTGAGGTTGGGGTGATATTGCTGGGGTGGTGTGGATTAGCATAGCTATCTTGGAAGAAAATTTGGGAGAATCTATTAAAATTAAAAATATGTATACCCTGTGACCCAGTGAATCTTCTTCAGAGACACACTGCCACGTGTACACTGTAAGGAAAATATAAGCAGGCCTCTACCAGTTTCTAAAATATTGAAATGCTTCTCCTTTGGTTGGTAGATAGCCCCAACCTCAGGTCATTTAAGTGCCCTTGACCCTCACTCCCTGGACCGCTTCAATCCCTTACCCTTAGCCCTGCACTTTTCTGTGATCCAGCAACTAGAGGTAATGACTGGCACAGAGGGACCCTCCTCTGGCCATAGGGTCAGGGTCTGTTCTAATTGGCTGGGGATATTTTGACTCATCCTTGTTGTTAAAAGATGCTTATTGAAGCATTGTTGTTAGAATAACAGAGTATAAACAACCTGAAGCAGAAACTGCTAGCTGTCTACTTCCTATCCACTTCTTTTTCAAAACAACAGGACCAATGAACACTACTGCCCATCAAAAGAGTACACACCCTAGCTTTCCTTGTGGCCAGATGTGGCCATGTGGTTAAATTCTAGCCAATGAAAGGTGATCAGACATTTGTGTAGACTTCTGGGAAATCCTCTTAAGGGGGAGGAAGAGTACCCTTCTCTGCTTCCTCCATGCAGTCAACAGGATTGGGGATGTGATTGTGAGCATGTCAGGTGCCCATCTTCAACCATAAGGAGGTGGGATACATCCAAGGTTGCAGAGAGATGGAAGAAGCATGGGTGCCTGATAACTTCATAGAGCTGCCATACAGACCCAGATTGCTTCCTTTTGTACTTCCGTTAAATGACATAGAAACATTTACATCCTAGTCAAACTGCTATTGTTTTGGGATTTTCCATTATATGCAACCAAATCTAATCCTAAAGGAAAAGGATAGAAAGTTAAATGCCCATGAACACTGAAATGGATATATAAATGACAACACATAAATAAATATAAACTGGAAATAACTTGAGGTATCATATATGCGATGAAAATACCCTGAAGAGCCTAAGTTAAATCTATAGGCATTAACATGTTCAGTGAAAAAAGCAAGTTGCAGAATACCCTCATCATGTGTGTACACTCCTAGCAAAACCCCAACAAAATATGCTGAGTTTAAAATTTTTCTATTTTTTTCCATACATGAAGGCATAGGAAAGAGATTAAAAGTATACTACCTAAACTGTAACAGTGTTAATAACTTTTGGGGAGAAGAAGAGAGCACAAAAATTCCTGGGGATGGTTGGTCAAAGGGCACCTTATCTTTGGCTGCACTATTCTACATTTTTACAAAAGGACTGAGTCATGTACTACTTGTATAGTACAAATTAATTAGATTTCCCTGCTACCCACTGGCTGACCTTCTTAAACTGTTTACTTGCTCATTGCTTGCCACCTGCAGGGTCCACATTTGAAAACCGCCAGAGCTGAAGACTCAAAACTGGAGGAGTTGCCTCTTTGGTACAGAGAGATTAACTCAAGGGCCACCACCTGAGTGCTTTTTGTTGGTGAAGTTCAAGGTTCTTTCAGAACACTTCTGTCACATAAATTGTATTTCTCACCATACCACCATGTCTAAAGGAATGAAATAAAGGTATTCATTTACAAGGACAAAGAAAGTGAGAGGATGCAATGGAAAATGTAAGATTACCATAAAATGTTGGAAGCATTACCCAGCATAGCAGACAAGTAGGTTGCAGCTGACTGCCTACAGTAGGTAATATTGCCTCAGAAACCCTCAAAAGTCTCAGCACTTGGAGGCATCAGGTACTGTGGGAAGCAGGAAAGAGGCACAAGGTTGAGCAGTTGGACCCCGCATGTATCCCTTGCCATGCACGCAACAAGAAAACAGTGCCACTCACTCTGTAGTCACTTATTCTACAGGAAAATTGATTAAAAGGAGCTTCAGACTGGGAGACTTCAAACATGGTGGTGGGAAAAGTCACAGTGTTAGCATGAACCAAGAAGAATTAGGTTAAAATCATCCTCTTATGTAGTATTTATTCATGGATCCCATGCCGGATTCTTCTGATTATTTTTCATTTTCAAATGGGGTCAGTTCTTAGTCTGCTTGTTGCTTAAGAATAGTGTAGGGTCAGGGTGGAGATGAGTGATCTGGGCAGTTGGCAGTATTATTTTGGCTTATTGTCCTAAAAATTTTCTTACCAGGTTGACAAGTCTTTAGCTCCAGGAATAGATCTTCTATTTGAGTGATATTAGAAGGCATAGAGGGCTTTAAATAGAAGGATTCCTCTTTTTGGGACTGGACTTTAGGAAGATCTGTTAGAAGACTATATCAGTCAGCATCTGCTCAGGAAAACAGAACAGCTCTAGGTATTTCAAACGGAAAGGATGTAATAGAGGGAATTGGTCCCAAAAGTGATGGAAGGGTTGGAGGAGCCAAAAGGGGAGAACGAAGTTACTTAAAAATTAACAACTGCAAAAACCACGCCTAGACTGAAGGATCAAAGGGAAAGTGGTGTTAACAGAGCCCGTGGCTGCTACATCACTGTGATAGCTGGAGCATCTGCTACTGTTACAGCTGCCTTAGGAACCATGGCCACATCCGCCTTGCAGGAAGCCAGAAGGTCACACTTCCGCTAACATTGCAGGATCCCGGGGCACCCAAAATTGACTGAGAGGTAGAGGGTCCATTACACCTGTGGGAGCCAGGACCTATGAATTCTGTGCTGCTGAAGCTATAGGAATGCCCACTTCAACCACCATGCCACATGAGAAGGAAATTATAAGTCTGCACATAGCCACCCCTGCTGTTGCTGCTAATGCTATATGAGATATCTCTAGAAGTAAAACATGATTTCTTCCTTCCATCTATTTTTCAGTCTTCTGCCAGGACCTCCTGTGGGTGAATCTAACTGGAAAACCAGCTGGCCAAAGATTCTGGGAAATGTAGTTTTCAGACTGCCAGCATCTTGCAATTCAAAGGAAAATATAAAAGAGTGGGAATAGAACCCAGAGGAAAGAAATGACTGACAGTAGCTATTGCAGGAGTTTAGATGAGAAAGGATAATAACTTGGACCAGGCTGTTGGCAATGGAGACTGTGAGTCAGTCAAATTCAGAAAAATAGTCCCACTTTATCCAAGAGGGATATATTCCAAGACCCCCAGTGGATGTCTGAAACCGTGGATAGTACTGAACTCTCTATACACACTATGTTTTTTCCTATATATACATACCTATGATAAACTTTATAAATTAGACACTGTAAGAGATTAACTTATCTAAAAACACAAACAATAACTAATAATAAAATAGAATGGTTATAACAATATGTCAACGTCACTACTCTTGTGCTTTGGGGTCATTATTCGGTAAAATAAAGGTTACTTGAACACAAGCACTGTGATGCTGCAACAGTTGGTCTGTTAACCAAGAAGCCTATTAATGATGAATGGGTGGGGTAGCATCTACAGTGTGGCTATGCTGAACAAAGGCATGAATCACATCCCAGGCAGGACAGAGCTGGATAGGGAGAGATTTCATTATGCTACTCAAAATGCTGTGCAATTTAAAACTTACACATTGTTTATTTCTGGAATTGTTCGCTTAATATTTTCGAACCATGGTTGACTGTGGGTAACTGAAAATGCAGACAGCAAAATTGCAGTTGGGGAGGGACGACTGTATAGACTTTGAGGGGAGAATCAACAGGATTTGCTCACAGATCAGGTGTGGAGTATGAGAAAGAAAGGAATCAGGACTAACTCTAGACTTTTCTTGGCCTGAGCAAATGAAGATTAGGATTATCATTTATTTACATGACTGAGATTATGAACAAAGCAGGCTTTAGGTAACTTGTAAGAGTTCAGTTTGGGACATGTTTATCTGAGATGTCTATTAGGCATCCAAGTAGAGATGCTGAATAGACAGTTTAGGGAAAAGCAGATATGAATTTGAGACTCAGTAGCATGTAAATGGTGTATCAAGCCATGAGACTTGTAATATCACTATGAGAATGAATGTAAGTAGCAAAGAGATGATGTCTCAAGACTAATCCCTAGGATACTACAAGTTAGGGGTCAGGGAGGCAAAAAGAAATCATCAAAGGAGACTTAGAAGGAGAAGTAGAGAAGAGATAGAAACACTGGAAGAATGAGGCATCTTGAAATCCTGGTGAACAAAGCATTTCAAGAAGAAAAAAGTGTCACCTGTGTCAAATGCTGCTTTTAGGTAGGACCAATGAGGATTAAAAATTGACTTGAGTTCAACAACATGGAGTTCATTGGCGACCTTGAGAAGAACAATTGTAGAGGAGAGGGTAGAGGTGGGAGCAAAAGTTGATTGGAATGGGTTCAGGGCAATCGGGAGCACTAAAGATCATTCTTTTGAGGAGTTGAGCTGTAAAGGGAAGCATATTAATAGAGCACTAGAAAGGCAGAGGTGAGGTCAAGATAAGGTAGTTTCTTTTCTTTTTAAGATGTCACAAATAACAACACGTATGCTGATGAGAAGGACCCAGTGGAGAGGGGAAATTGATGATAAAGGAGGGAAACTGAAGGATTTCTGGGGTCATGTCCTAGAGAATACAAGAGTGGATTGGATGTGTATACAAGTGGAAAGTTCAGCTTTATCTAAAAACACAGACAATAAAATCATATTAATAGGCACTTGCAACAACATGGGTGGAATTGGGGATGATTATGTTAAGTGATCTTCAGCCACAGAAGGACAAACATCTCATGTTCTCACTGATTTGTGGGATATAAAAATCAAAACAATTGAACTCATGCACACAGAGAGTAGAAGGATGGTTACCAGAGGCTGGGAAGTGTAGTGGGGTGTGTGTGGAGCGAGGAAGGTGGGGATGGTTAATGGGTACGAAAAAGTAGCTGGAAAGAATAAATAAGACCTACTATTTGATAGCCCAACAGGGTGACTATACTCAATAATAACTTAATTGTACATTTAAACATAACTAAAAGAGTGCAACTGGATTGTTTGTAATACAGAGGATAAATGCTTGAGGGGATGAATACCTCATTCTCCATAATGTGATTATTACATATTGCATACCTGTATCAAAACATCTCATGCGCCCCATACATATATACACCTACTGTGTACTCATAAAATTAAAAAATAAAAAAACAAACAGACCATAACAAAATCATACTAACAAGAGAGAAAATAAAGTATATGAACACAGATGCAGGTAGGTGAGTAGAGGTGGTCGTAAAAATTCTCTTCTGATTTCTTCTATTTTACCAGTAAAGTAAAGGCAAGGCCATTGGCTGATGGGGATAGTGGAGAAAGCGTTAGAGGTTTGCAAAGAGGAGGGAGGGTGCTAAGTAGCTATATACAGCCTGAGAATGAATGGACTAGGAAACATAGTATGATTGCTAGGAAGTGTTAAGGGCCCTCTTGAGAATAGAAATGATGAATTTTAAGTGAGACTAGTCGTCATGCTTGTACATTCGCTGTGTTCGGTTGTGCGGGTGCAGACATTGAGTGGGAAGAAAGTTGATCTTAACCCAAGAAATACAGCACAGTGAGAGAGGGTCAAGGAGTTGATGGTTATAAGCGAAAAGTTGATTACCGTGTTTATCCATGGAATCTTGGCTGAATAAAGAGGGAAGAGAGGACATGAAGGAGGTGATCAATAAACAGAGAATTTGGTCCTTTAAGATAAGTTGTACCATGTCCTCATGGCTAAAATTGTTGTCCTTCAGGCAAAGGGGTGTTTGAAGGTATTATCTGTCTATTTATCCAATAAGCACTTATTGAACACCTGCCATGAGCTATGTCCAGAGAGGATATTTGGTTTCTTCCCTAGAAACATTTAAAATACCAAGGAGATACATTGGATTCAAAGCAAGAGGGGTCTTAAGTGATTACTGAGAACAGAAAATGATTTTATTTTGTTTTTAATAAAATTTTCAAGTTGGTCAAAAGATGTATGTCTAGTTGAAAAGTACATATCTATATCAGTCGAAATGGCTTAAGCCAAAAAAATTTATTGATGGATGTAATTGAAAAATGTTCAGCATGATAATGGCTAATGTTTATTGAGGGCCTATTGTTAGCCAGACTGTGTTCTAAGTGAATGACATTTATTACCCTGTTAAATCCTAGCAGCAGAGCCAAGATTTGAACCGAGGCAGTCTGCTTCCAGAGACTGCACTCCTAACCACTATGCTTTACTGACTCTTAAAGAGAGAGCTTTAGGCAAAACTGGATCCAGGGATTCAAGCATTATTTCAAGACAGCCTTTCACTGTCACTCTGCTTACTTCTGTACTGAGTTAATGCACATGCAGGTTAGATTTTCTCCATTCGTGGTAGCTGCAGACTCACACCATCCTTACATCTAGCATTTTCAGTATAAAGTTATTTTCTCTTTCTAAAAGTACTAGGCTCATTATTACATAAGTCTGTGTTTAATGGCATGGAATAGAGTCACACTATTACAAAGCTGAAAAAAATCAAAACTTTACAAAACAGTAGGTATGGGCTGAGCCATAAGCAAACAAACATACAAATACATTTATAATTGGAAGGATGTAAATAAAATATTAGCAATAGTTATTTCTGGGTGTTATGATTTAGAGGACCTTTTTTCTTTTTTCTTCTCAGTATTTTCATTGTTTCTACACTGAAGATATATTACCTATATAACAAAAATGTTAAAGGGAAACAAAAAAATCAGTACAAAACAATAAAGATATCTCCCTATATTGTTCTCTATAGCTAGATATTCTTCCATTCATTCCATCCTATACCATTAAGGTCTGTTTTTTAGAAAATTGATGACAATTGTGCTCACCTCTGGTTCAGTAGTGTCATTTTTATCTGCTTCCAGATAAAAGGAAAATTAGGGGAGAGGGTGCATTACTAGGTCAGCCCTACTGTATTATTGTGCAAGTGAACAGGCTTAGTATCATCTTTGCCATTACAAATAATCCATGCTGGATATATTTGGAAATGAAATGTTAGTTCTTCCTTGGAAGCCCCAACGTGGGTAATAGTTAGTGGTCCATCGAAGAAGGAGAAGGGGATAAAGAAACCAAGGGAGGAGTCCCAACATGAATATGAAGCCCAAATTCCAAGAGCTAGACTGAGTTGGAACTTGTCATTTTGTCCCTGTCCCCAAGGAGTTCACAGTTGCATGAAGAAGACAAGATGGTAAGGTTGGGTGAGATAAGATAGTGTGGTTTAAATAATGCAGGATAAGAGGTGGAGGTGCTAAACAGTACTGACCCACAAGAAGATTATAAGATGAGTAAACCTGATCCTGGATCTCCACATTAATGCTTTTTTTGAACTAATTTCCCCCTCCCTCAGCCTGTAACATCTGTAGAACATGGAAAATTCAACCTACTTGAGACTTTCCTTATTTATAAAATAGGGATAATAATAATAATGCCTACTTTATTGGTTTATTGAGACTATTAAATTAAGTAATGCATCTAAATGCACCAGTCCATGATGCGAGTAAATGCTCAATAAATGGTACCTATTATTTCTGGCAAAAACAGAAGTCACCTACATGGAGAATAACAAAGCGTTTGGAATCTTATAGAGTTCTTAAAAATCAACCAGGTCTCCGGTCTTCTAGATTTGGATCATTTCTACAGGCAGTATCTGGAAGCCCCTTGAGCTTTTACCCTCTGATTTTATCCAAAGAATGAAGCACAACTGAAATCTCTCATTCTCGCTCTCAACCTCTTTCCTAAATGTAGCAGATATATGCACATCCTCTGATTCAGATGCAAACTTTGTACCTCACAGACCCTGCAGACCATGTGGCTCCACTTCACTGTCCTTTGCCTCATAGGAGTCACCCTCTTTGGGACATTTTCTCACATTTTTGCAAAACTCTGCTTTAGGGAACAGATTTGAAGCTTACACACTGAAATAAAACTGAATAACAAGGCTTGATTAGGCCCAAAGACTGAAGGGGAAGAAAATTTCCTATTTTATGATTTTAAATTCAAAGTCTTGAATGCAGGGCATTAGAGTGGGAAGGAAGATTCAAGAGAATGCTAATGTGAAAGAGAAATGGACTCAGAAAAAGAAAAGAAAGAGAGTGTAATGTGCTCTTTGGTTGCTATTCTATTTGAGCCCAGTTCTCCAGCCTTCTTCTTAATTTTGTGAGCTACCCCAAAGTTCCTTTCCTGTGTAAGATATCCCAAATCTCTTTTTTTCACTTCTAGTAACCCTTACTGTTTCATAAATAAAGAGCAATGGCAGTTAAGAATGAGAAGCAAAATAAATAAGATACAAGAAAAGTAGAGAAGTTGAAGAAAGTAACTGGATCCTATGACTGTCTCAAATTTGGAAGGGTTGCAGTCCTGATACATGCATATCCTTCAAAATAAGCCCCCCCACCTCCAACACTTTTTATTAAAATGGTATCTATTCCTTGCAACGGAGGGAGCAACTCTTTTTGTTTGTTTGTTGTATTGGTCAGCACTCTTTCAGTTGCAAGTGCTAACAGAAAGATAGCTAATCACTGCAGCAATAAAGTCCAGGGTCCATGCATTCCGCATGGCTAGATTCAGAGGTTCAAAGGATATTATCAGGAATCTAATTCTCCCTCCATCAGTTCTGCTCTCCTCTTTGTTGGCTTTATTGTTGGTTTCTCCTCTTGATAGCAGAGATGACCATTGGAAGCTTCAGGCTTATTTTAGATTAATTCATCATCTCAGAAAAAGAAGTTTCTCTTTTCCAATAGTTTTCACAAATGTTGTGTGGTTTATTCTCACTAGAAAGATTTGAGTTACTTTCAGTTCTTGAAATATAATTAGAAAGTGATGATGTCAGGCTTGGTCATATGCCTGTCTTTGAACTATGTTCAACCCATACAAACCACATGGGAATAAAAGAGGGAAAACTGTTTGTCCAAGGATGGCAAGGATTACTAGTTGTCCTCCATAACCATTCTTTAGTTCTTTCTTGATACCAAAATCTCAAAGTGTTAGCCAGGCATACAGCCATCCAGAATCAAGACTGCATTTTGAAGCATCTCTTGAAGCTAGAAAGTCAAATGATAAAATGCTGTCAAATTGAATACGAGTTGAAATAATACAGGCAACTTCCAAGAAATGTCCTTAAACAGATATGGCATGTCTTTACATATTTACTAATGACCAGAATGTGAACATTCTGGCTGCAGATGAATAAGTCATTGTAGACTATGTGGTGACTTTAGAATGGAGGAAATGCATGGTAGAGTAACAAGATAGAGGGAGCCTGGGTCCCAAACACTTTGGAGCTTCCATACAAGCCCTAAAGTACCTTCATCTGGACTTTCATGTGATTACAAAAATAAACATATACCTTGCTTAAGTGGGTGTTAATTGACAAACTACACAACCCAGCATAATCCTACCTGATACCCCCAAAGCAGAATCACGTTTGCTACTGTAAACAGATAAAGGTTTAGGAGATGGGCAGGTATGTCCAATGTCTCACTTCCTAAAAAATTCTATCCAAGTCAGTCATTACTCTGATTGGAAATTTGAAGAGGAAAATCTTCCTGGTTTTGATATATGTGAGTACCCAGGGATATCACAGTTTATGAATTCAAAGGTTAAAAATTATTTAAAAATTAAGCCAAGCACAGAATTATGAGAAATCATTATATTCATGTTTTATTTTCTAAGGGAAATAGTACTGATCACAGCAGATGACTCCACATTTAACCTTGTAATTTTAACAATGGAATACAAAAATAGCAGGTTCATGATGTGAATAATTGTTCAAAGTATATATAAGAGCTCCTTCCAGGCCAGGCATTGTGGCTCATGTCTGTAATTCTAGCACTTTGGGAAGCTGAGGCAGGAGGATCACTTGAGCTCAGGAGTTCAAGACCAGCTTGGGCAACACAGTAAGACTTCATCTCTACAAAAAATTAAAAAACTAGCTAGGTGTGGTGGCACATGCCTGTAGTCCTAGCTACTCAGGAGGCTGAGGCAGGAGGATCCCTTGAGCCCAGGAAGTGGAGGCTGCAGCATGAGCTATGATTGCACTACTGCATGCCAGCATGGTCAACAGAGTGAGACACTTCCCCTCACCCAAAAGAAGAAGAAGAACTCCTTTAAGTATATTTGTTTTGACATTTTTATTAACAATTAGAATGAGGAATTAATTAAATTGTGATCAACTGTGGAAATTACATGATGCCAAGTGAGTGGTTCATGCTTTGGGTAATGGAATCATAGAATCATGCAACATCTAAACTTTGAGAGACTTTTAAGGTGAATCATAGCGTCCCATTTTACAGCTGAGGAACCTGAGGCTTAAAGGGGGTCCACTTGCCCAAAGTACACCTGGAATAAAGGGTAAAGCTGGGATACAATCTTTCTACTTTTTCTTTTTGAATAAATGAAAGCTACCTCGTGGTTTGACTTCAAATAGACATTTAAAAAAAACTAGGGCAGCGAACTGATGAGACAAGATGAAATGCAATCAAGTCAAATCTATAAGGACCTACACATTGGGTCCAAAAAGGCCCACTGTACAAGCACAGTATGGGGTAGCTGTGCCTTAATCAGCAGCACTTGTAAGAAACATTTAGAGATGTTACTTGGCTGCAAGTTTGAGATGTCAGCAGTGTGATATAGCCACAAGAAAAAGATAATGGAGTCTTAGGTGGCATTACTAGAAATAGAACTTACAAAAGAGAGGTGAGAGTCCTGTTGAACTTTTCAATCCATATCTGAAATTCCTCGCGCAGTCCCAGGTGTGAGATTTTAGAAGAGACATAGACAAATTAGCTTACATCCAGGAGAGGAGCCTAGGATGGAATTATATGAATAATGGTCAAAGGAAGTTAGGAAGCTGCAAAGTGCTGTAACTAAGAGCTTGAATCTTGGAGTCAAGACTGCCCGGGTTTAATCCCAGCTCTGCCAGTTACTGTGTATATGTTTGTTAAATCTTCTTATCACTGCCTGTAGATTAGAAATTACAATAATACCTATCTCCAAAGATAAATGAGGTAGTGCATGTCAAGTGATTAGCGCATAACTCCCATAAAACAAGCACTCAATAAATGCTAGCTACTATTAGAATTAAGACAGCAAAGTGATGCCAGGGTAATGGTAACAACTTCATAGGTTGTGAATATTTAATCAGTTAACCCATGCCAGGTGCTTGATACAAAGTTGGCAGCTATTATTATTATCTGCCGTAGAATTGGTTTAAGGTTTCTAGGGATGGGACTAGTTTGGGGACAAAATATTTTCTGGTTTGGGCTAAGATCCACAGAACCTAATGATCAGTTTACAGCCTGAGGAAGGAAGTCAGTTATACCCTGATCAGGGTGGGGGTCATGGTGGTCATCTAGACATTCTATGGCTGGGTGGTGGTGGAGGGCACTCACCTTGTGAACACTCGGACATGGTGAATTGGCATTGGCATTGCTGTTGAAGGACAACTCAGCCGTGTTCTTAGCCATGGCCATTTAGGCCTGTTCTGATGCAGGGTTCTGATCCAAGGTACCAGTGTGGTCCCTCAGGGAAGTACTGGGGATCGTCACTTATGCCTGTTCTGGACATGGTCACCGAGAACTGTCCTGTAGGCATTCACTTAGGAATCATTCGAAGTGGAATTGCTCCTGGATACGTTCTCCTTGTACTCTGTTTCCTCCTCCTAGTGTCTCTGTGTGAAGAAGCCCTCCTCACTCAGCCCTCGGCGACCCTCTGGTACCCTGGACAGCTCCCCGGGGAGCAGTCTACCGCTAGGCGGCGGCTGCTAAGAGAGGAACCCTCCTGACGCGGAGTCTGCCGCTCCGGGGCTCGCTCTCCGGCAGGCCCGGGGAGAGGTGGGGTGACAATGGGTTGGGGTGCGCGCGTGCCTCATAGGTGCGAGACAGAGCGAGCCGCCGGGGTGTGAGTCAGCGCGCTGGGGGCTAAGAAGCTGGGTGAATAGTCACGGAATCTCACTCACGCTCGGCTCCTCCACCCATCCCGTCTACAGCGCGTGTCCCAGTCCAGGGCGTGCGTGCGCTCGGTGTCCGATTCCGGGCTGTGTGTGTCCATTTGGCGAGATGTCGAGAGCGGGGGGAGTGTCCTTGTCGGTGTATCTGGGCCCAGGTTAGGGGACTTCTCCTCCCCACCCCCGCGTGGGTGTGGGGGTGTGTCCGGGCTAGGGCGCGTGTGCTTCTGTGCCTGTGCGTGCGTGTGCGGGTCAGGGTGGTGGGACCGCGCATCAGGGCAGGGTGCCTGCGTCTGCGTCTGGGTCTGTCTGGTCTGCATGTCGGCGCGATCTCGACCTGGATTCGTGTCCCTGGATGTCGAGAGGCCAGCGTGGTGGGGGTGTCCAGCCTCCCGGAGGAGTACTATGCCTTGACACCTTCGTTTCACCGCCCCAAAGCTGGCCTGGGGCTCCGTAGGGAGTGGCCTGCATGGGGAGGGCCCGCGTGCTGTGTTTCTGGGAGGGGTAAGAGAGTGGGGGCGCAGGGGGCGGGCCAGGTCCCTGGGCGCGGCGCGGGCTCGGGGGACCCGCGCGGCTGACGTCAGGCCACTCCTTAAATAGAGCCGGCAGCGCGCTCCGCTCGGCATTTCCCGAAGAGCCAGATCGCGGCCGGCGCCAGCGCCACCGTCCGGTCCACCCGCCAGCCCGCACAGCCGCGCCGCCGCCGAGCGTTTCGTGAGCGGCGCTCCGAGGATCAGGAATGGGGCTTCGGGCGCTGGGCGCGCTCCGAACCCGGCGCACGTAAGAGCCTGGGAGCGCCCGAGCCGCCCGGCTGCCCGGAGCCCCATCGCCTAGGACCGGGAGATGCTGGAAATGCAACCGCCTGTTCCCCGAGGAGCCGCTGCCCCCGGGACCCCCTGGCACTGTGCGCACCCTGGTCAGCAGCCCCCGGAGAAGACGGCGCCCCCAACGCCCGACCCGCGTGGCCGTGGCAGCGCCACGCGAGCCCTCTAGGCGACCGCAGGGCCACAGCAGCTCAGCCGCCGGTGCCCCCTCGGAAACCATGACCCCCGGCGCGGGCCCATGGAGCCATGGCCTATAGGGTCCTGGGCCGCGCGGGGCCACCTCAGCCGCGGAGGGCGCGCAGGCTGCTCTTCGCCTTCACGCTCTCGCTCTCCTGCACTTACCTGTGTTACAGCTTCCTGTGCTGCTGCGACGACCTGGGTCGGAGCCGCCTCCTCGGCGCGCCTCGCTGCCTCCGCGGCCCCAGCGCGGGCGGCCAGAAACTTCTCCAGAAGTCCCGCCCCTGTGATCCCTCCGGGCCGACGCCCAGCGAGCCCAGCGCTCCCAGCGCGCCCGCCGCCGCCGTGCCCGCCCCTCGCCTCTCCGGTTCCAACCACTCCGGCTCACCCAAGCTGGGTACCAAGCGGTTGCCCCAAGCCCTCATTGTGGGCGTGAAGAAGGGGGGCACCCGGGCCGTGCTGGAGTTTATCCGAGTACACCCGGACGTGCGGGCCTTGGGCACGGAACCCCACTTCTTTGACAGGAACTACGGCCGCGGGCTGGATTGGTACAGGTAAGGACCAGGAGCTCCGCTCCGTGCGCCGGGTCTCTGATCGCTTCCATTGGGAGAGCCATCCGTCTCTTGTGTTTTCTCTTTCTTTTAACCCAACTCATTGTATGGGTTCAGGCTGACACACAGGGCCATGGGGGGCTATAGCAGAATTTACCCAGAACTTCCCAGTGATAATCTAGACGGGCAGTTTCTGGAACTGCAAAGGGCGTTCCCTCGTCACTGGAGTCGTTGGAAAAGGATTATCTCCAGTCAAACCTAAGTGCCAGCTAAAGGGCTAACTCCCTCTGTGACCAGCCCTTAGGGTGCCCAAGGAAGGGACAGGCGAGGACCTGTGCTGCCTGAACACGGCACCATCCTAACCCTCTGTAGGTCTTTGCTGGTACCCAGCCCCTGAAGGACCCTGAGAAAGATAAGGCAGTTCAGAGACCCCTTGCAGCAAGGCTCTGTTTGGGAAAGGTCCCCAGAGTTCAGGCCAAATGACAGTGCATCGCCAGAGGTCTCCAGTAAGAAAGATGCCTTAGGGAGTCTCAATCTCAAACCCAGGTATTTGCTGCTGTACTGGGGCTGAGACCCCCAGTAGCTCTGGCCCTGGTAGGTGGTCTTTGAGTAGTGGAAAGAGCCCTGGATTCGAGTCTTGGGTCTGTCACTTAAGCTTGAGCAAGTTTCTTAAACTCTATCAGCCTCTATTTTCTCATCCATCCCAATGGGCAGGAAAACAGCCCTTGCCCTGTATACCTTCCAAGGCTTTTCTGAAGTGCCTTAAAGGTGTAAAAAAGGCACTTCACTTTAAGTGATGCTTCTAAACCAGCAGCCAAAATGTGGAATTTGAAGGTGGGCCCTGCGGGTGAAGGCTAGCAAGGGTGCTAGGGGCAGCCAGTCATGCATAGACTGTCTATGCTTCCCATGCATGCCAGGGAGGAGAATTATCCCCACTGGGGGAGTCAAGGCACAGACCAAAGCTTCTGTGAGGTGGCAGCGTCCACGCCTCAATGCCTTTCTGCCTCCCTAGCCCTGTATGGTGCTGAAGTGTAGGACTGGCCCACATGTGGGTGGTGTAATGTCCCGGCTCCCTGTTAACACATAGGTCACAGAATTCTCACAATTCACCTGACCCTTTGAAGACTTTCTAGAAACATCTGCATAGTAATGACGTTGGGGAGGGGTAACATGGTAGCTGACAGAGTAGCTGAGGCTAAATCTGCTGTTTTTATCTACAGCTTTAGGCAGTAGAGGTCATATGCATATTGGACAAGGGACAACTTTGTTAGAAAGAGGACCCCACTGGGCTTATAATAGAGGGCCCTGGATTTACCAAAAGTAGGGGGACCGCAGGCCTGATTTAGCACCTTTGCAGGTTACTCCTGGCTCGCAATGGTTGTAGTTGTGGGGACGAGTGGGTCATGCATCATCCTTAGCAGGCAGACACATAGTCTGTCCCCATTGCAGCCAACCAGGGGCTAGCTAGCCTGTGGGTGGCCCCAGCACCATTATGTCTGGTTAATAGGGTAGGGTGGCACAGAGTGGCAGATCTGGCTTCATGCCAATGCCAATAGCCCACTGTGCTTTCCAAGCTGTGACTCATGGGCATCCCGTCTAGGTGCATGTGGACACTGTCTGAGTCAGATCCCGGGATGGAGGAGGCAAACACATTGAACAGCAGAGCCCAGAGTGGGTCAGCCATGACCACATTCGAATGCAGGCCAGCATTTCCTCGATGGAAAATCTGAAGATCATTATGACACCTTTTGCCAATGCGAAGTGCCTTTTAAGTGCAAAACAGCAAAATTCTGAGCATCTGGCTTTCAGATAGTGTGCCCTCCAATAAATACCTATGCCCTGAACCCAGACTCTCCTCCCTCCCCTCTCTTCCTTCCACCACTAAACAGCATACCTCAGGCTTCCATCCTGGAGCCCATGTCATTCAGGGATGGCTGCTTTTTATTTTTAACCTTGGCATGTGTGATTCTAAGCAAGCTTAGCTGTGAACCTTAGAGAGGGAAGCCATGTCTTATTTTTTATTTATTTATTTTTTTTTAGCACATTTGGATTCTGCTAAAATTCTCAGCTGAGTCTTGGTAGGTTTTATTTAACATCAAGCATGCTGACAGCTCTGCTTCTCTCTTCTCTCCCCCTCTACCACCTTTCCCCACTTTATATTTCTAAAAGACTATCCTAGAGGTCTGGTCGTAATTGCCCTCTCCCCATTGCTTGACCAGGAAGGCTGGGAGGCTCCAGTGTCAGGAAAAGGCTGTGTGGTTTGTGCTTCTTTCAGTTACAAATCCACACCCCTAGAGTCAAGTGTTTAGCTTGTGGATTGCCATTTCTGTGCAGGGTAATACTACCCCACTTAGATGCTGTTTCCATAACCTCCAGAACATCTTTCTGTATGTAAAGAACATTTTTGTACATTTCTTTTTATTATGACCAAGTCATACACATTAACTGCAGAAATCATGGGGATTTCTGGAATCTTTTAAAACCCATGTTCTTACTTTCTTCCTGAATCCCATGAGCTAGGTACGGTGGGTGACAGGATGTTCCGCTCTCTGTCCACTGCCTTGTCAGTTCACAGCTTGCCATCATAAAGCCAGGGTCCACTGGGCAGACATAGCCAAAGAACCCTTGCACCCATTGGAGTGGACTGTGCTTTCCAAAGGGGGAGGTGCAGAGTTGCAGGCAGTGTGGATCTTAGTATGATCTGCCCACATCAAAGCCCCTGGTGATAACTTCCTGATCAGGAGGCTGAAATCCAGATAGTGGAAAAATCAAAAGCTTTACCCTTAACCCAAAGGAGGGGCTTCTTTCTGTGGGTAAATGGAGATAAAGCTGAAGGCCGAGTGATATAGCCAGAAAGACACCATCATTTGGAGAGACCAGGAGACAGAGTCTGCACCTTCTTGTCCTTAGCCTGATCCTTCTTGGGAACCACTCCCGTTCAGGCCACTACCAGAGAGCCCAGCCTTCTGCAGTGGGTTCTCTCCAATTTGCTGTCTTTCTGCCATGCCATCTCTGATGCTTACCTCAACTATGTGTCTGGCCTGGGTTCTCCCCCACCCACATTTCCTCCCCGAGGTAAGAGCTGCAGGGTGGTATCTCCTAGCTGCTTGGACAGGTGGGCAAAGCAACACCAGGCTGATGAGGGAACCAGGACAGGGAACCACAGTCAGAAGACCAGAGGTGGTCACCTAGGTGCTGTATGATTTGAAGAAAGGTGATTCTCCCAAGTCTCAGCTTCCTCATCATGGAATGGGACCTGTAGTAACTATCCTAGAAACGTGTTGTGAAGAATAAATGCAAAACTGTACATGAAATTGCCCTGGAAAATTCTATGATATATAAAGACAAGGCAGTAATGTTACTACTGTTATTGCTACTAATTACTACAACACTCCTGTTATCACTATTAGTTCTGTTAGTATTAAAAATATTAGTTTCTGATGCTGCTGCTGTTACTAAATCGGGCTGAGGAATTAATCAATTGCTATAAAGATAGTTCCATACTTTCCTCTTTATTCCTTCCCTTCCCTTCCTCCTTCCCTCTCTCCCCTTTCCCTTCTCCTTTTCCTTCCTTCCTTCCTTCCTCCCTCCCTCCTTGCCTGCCTTCCTTCCTTCCCTCCTTCCTTCCTTCCCTCCCTCCCTCCTTCCCTTCCTTCCTTCCTTCCTTCATTCCTTCCTTCCCTCCTTCCTTCCTTCCCTCCCTCCCTCCCTTCCTTCCTTCCTTCCTTCCTTCCTTCCTTCCCTCCTTCCTTCCTCCCTCCCTCCCTCCCTCCCTTCCTTCCTTCCTTCCTTCATTCCTTCCTTCCTTCCTTCCCTCCTTCCTTCCTTCCCTCCCTCCCTCCCTCCCTTCCTTCCTTCCTTCCTTCCTTCCTTCCTTCCCTCCTTCCTTCCTTCCCTCCTTCCTTCCTCCCTCCCTCCCTCCCTCCCTTCCTTCCTTCCTTCCTTCATTCCTTCCTTCCTTCCTTCCCTCCTTCCTTCCTTCCCTCCCTCCCTCCCTTCCTCCCTCCCTCCCTTCCTTCCTTCCTTCCTTCCTTCCTTCATTCCTTCCTTCCTTCCTTCCTTCCCTCCTTCCTTCCTTCCCTCCTTCCTTCCTCCCTTCCTCCCTTCCTTTTCTCTTTCCTTCCCTCCTTCCATGTTAACAGAAAGTCAGTTCACATATCTGGGTGTCAGTCTGCTCACCTGTGAAATGGCAATGATGCCTGAACTGCTTTGCAACCTTATAAAAATCAAGTAAGACTATCTACATGAAAATGTTTTTCCAAATCTAAGGTTATCTTTAGGATGCTCTCCATTCTAAGGAAGTTTGGATGTGAAATAGACTCTTCAGGGTCATCTTTTATAAACAGATATAAGCTTTGCTGTGTGTAGTAGTTTTTAGAGTCACAGGGAAAGCTGAGATATGTCTGAAGTGTTCTCAATTTTGCTGGTGTTTCGGTATGGCAGGGGAATGTGTGTGTGGAGGAAGTGTATCTTTTCTAAATGCATTGAAATGCCAACAAGAGCAAGTTAATATGTGATAATTGACTCTGTGTTCTGGTGTCCAAATTTTGATAGATGAGCCTGTTCTATAAATTTCAGACTTCACTTCACAACTCTGGTTATTTATTTGTTCAGCATCGATGATGTTCTTGGGATGGTGCAAAGCAAAGAAGACAGAATATTTGCCCCAGAGGCAACAGTCTAAGTACGAAAGAGAATAAAAAGCCCAGAATAAGATCTATCACATTATCCAGTTCATTTTCATCAAGAAATCATATTCTAATTGCAAAGCCCAATTCTGGAAATGCAAACCTTAGAAAAAAATAAAATCAAAGGCAGAAGGTAAGGGGCCTCCTGCCATGACGTAGTTAATGCAGACAGTTTTATCATCTTTCAACAAATTGATCAACACACAAAACAGACTGATCTGTGCTCATTGGGTGTGCACATAGATGAATGTGTGTGCACACCCACACATGTGCACCTGCATGCACAATTGCAGCATCTATGCAGACTTAGGCCTTTATACAGAAATTCCCTGTCTTGGTCCAGGCGAACGTCACACAGTATGATTAAATGAAACCATTGAGTCCATAAACCCCCCCCCATTTGTCTTGCAGCACTCTGTCAGCCTTGCAGCATGCTGTAGATATAATACTTAGTGCCAGCAAATGTACAGTTCTTGTCAGGCATGGAGGAACATTCGGAATGGGCAACAAGAATTGTCATTGCTCAAGGAAGTTTTTTGAAGAGCTGGTTTCCCTTCCCCTTGGAGCTGAGAAGGGGAATGAAGAACAGGCTTTCCCCAAAGCCTTAGTCTATTAATCCATTTTCACACTGCTGATAAAGACATACCCAACACTGGGTAATTTAAAAAGAAAAAGAGGTTTAATGGACTCACAGTTCCATGTGGCTGAGGAGGCCTCACAATCATGACAGAAGGAGAAAGGCATGTTTTACATGGCAGCAGGCAAGAGAGAAATGAGAGCCAAGCAAAAGGGGAAACTCCGTAAAAAGCCATCAGATTTCGTGAGACTTATTCACCATCACGAGAACAGTATGCGGGAAACCGCCATGATTCAATTATCTCCCACCTGGTCCCTCTGACAACATGTGGGAATTATGGGAGCTACAATTCAAGATGAGATTTGGGTGGGGACACAGCCAAACCCTATCACTTGTTACAGGAGCATTTTAGGTGGAGAAGATGCTGACAGCCCCAGTACTTTCCAGCTACACACATTGTTAAGCCTGTTTTGGATGTTAACGTGTGAAAATACCACTGAAAGGTTCTAAGAAGCGTCTTTAACATCTCTGAAATTAGCATGTATCTTATGATTGATGGTGTCTTAGATTGAAGATATAGGATGTTTCCATACTGATTCCGGAAATGCCCTCTGCCTGGGAGACCTGGCTTCCCCAGCCTAACCTGGACTCTCTGGACCTTCCAAAGAGCCAGTGACTAGACCCTGCTTCATCTCTGTAGCCAGCAGGGCTCTCTTCTGATTGGTCCGGGAGCTGGATTCATTTTATATTTTTGAATGTTACCCATGCCATCTCCCTGAAAGCAACTATCCTGAAATTAGGGAAGGTGTGGGGCTGGTACTCACAGGAGATAAGATGCGATGGTGGGCATGTCCTTCATGGCCTGCTGTACAGAGGCACTTGCTGTACCTTGCACATATCTGGAGACACATCCAAAGGGCCCTAGCGGATTTGAAGCAGAGTCAATGCTCAACAGGTGCTATTACCTGCATGCTTTGGTAATGCTTTGGTAATATTCTGTGTATCTGGTATGCAGGGCTGTAGAATAACTTTGGTTAGACCTCTATGAATCATTCCTGTATGATCGAGTGACAGGGTGCATGGGGACGGGGTGGGGGAGCACACAGCTCCCTATTGATCAGATCCCCTGGAGGACTTGAGGAGAGGTCATCTCCACCTGTGAGGGCTCAGGGCAGGTGATAGGGAAGTGGGGCTTTGCGGGGTAGTGACTCAGAACTGATAAGTCACACAGATAACCTAAACCTGTGGGACTCACTGTCTCTGCTGGAGCTAACTCCGGTGCAGGTTAATCCATTCGTTTGTCAAATGCTTTCCATTGGCCAGGCTTGGTGCCAGGCTGCTGTAGGCCGGTTCAGCTGCCACTTTGTTCTCCTAATGGGCTGCATGGCTGGGCTGAAGCACTGTGAGGTTCACAAGCAGCTTGACGAGGTGGGTAAAAGCCACCCGGGAGGGGAAATGACCTTGTGCTTCTGAGGAAGTTATTATTAAGTATGTTTTTCCAGGGCATATGAGACAGAGGTTTGGGCTTGGGTGATCTGGAGCCGGAGCATCACGTGGATTTCCTGGGCATGGGTCCATTGGGTGTCTTCCTAAGCTTTTCAAATCAGAGGAGCTGACAATGGCTCCACCTCAGTGTCCATGGCCACCAGCCACCATGAACACTCCCCAAGTGAGAAAGCCAGAAGTGTCTGCTCTAGGTGGAGGCTAAAGGACCTCTCACACTGCCTTCCAAATGGTGGCATAGTTATTTGGGAGGGAGAATTTTTTCAGATTTCAGACATTTTTGTGCCACCTTCATGACATTTGCCAAAGCCCAGCATGACCTCTACTATTATTTTCTTAATTTTTTTTTGAGACTCATGCAGTGGCACAGTCAAGGCTCACTGCAGTCTCAACCTCCCAGGCTCAAGTGATCCTCCCACCTCAGCCTCCCAAGTAGCTAGGACTACAGGTGTGCACCAACACACCTGGTTAATTTTTAAAATCCTTTGTTAGAGCCAGGGTCTTGTTTTGTTGCCCAGGCTGGTCTCAAACTCCTGGGCTCAAGCAATCCTTCTGCCTCCACCTCCTAGAGTGCTGGGATTACAGGTGTGAGCCATCTCATCCAACCTTCTTAATTTTTTTGCTTAAGTTAGCCCATTTAAAAATGATAATTTATCACAAAGAACAAGTTTTCCCCTTCAGTTTATATATTTTAGAATAGACAAGATATTCAGCTGGGTGCAGTGGCTGACGCCTGTAATCCCAGCACTTTGGGAGGCCAAGGCAGGTGGATCACCTGAGGTCAGGAGTTTGAGACCAGCCTGGCCAACATGGTGAAACCCCATCTCTACTAAAAATACAAAAAATTAGCTGGGCGTGGTGGCGTGCGCCTGTAGTCCCAGCTACTTGGGAGGCTGAGGAAGGAGAGTTGCTTGAACCTGGGAGGCAGGGGTTGCAGTGAGTCAAGATAGCACCACTGCATTCCAGCCTGGGCAACAGAGCAAGACTCCGTCTCAGAAAAAAAAAAAAAAGAAAGAAAGAAAAAAAGATATTTGTATTGTGAAATTCAAAAGTGACAAAGGGTATTCAGAGAAAATTAATCCCTTCCTTTCTACCTCGTCTTTCAGCCAAGAAGTTCCTCTTCCCAGAAGCAACCATAGGTACCTGTTTTTGTGTATCTTTCTAAAGATATGCTATGGATTTGCAAATCTAACACATACTGTGCAAGTATAGTTAAAATAAATATTGTTTAAAAGCAACTTTATTTTGAAGCCACCCTAAATGGAAAACCGGCAACACTTGCCATAATTAGAAAGTGATCATAAAAATAAGTTAGATTGAAAACAAAACAGTGTGATTGAATTTTTGCTCTCTAGTGTGACTGGAATGTTCTAAGCCTGCAGTGATTTCCATCTTTGCTTAAAAGAGGATACTAGGGGACACTACTAAGAGCAGTTAAAGAAATATCAATATCAATGTGAGATGTTTCTCCTTGATGTAATCAGAAGGAATGAAGGTAAAGAAGGAGAGATAATACATCTCACTGTGTGATTTGGTGGTATTTAGTAAGTCTGTGTAGTACCTAAAATTACCAAGATGAGGCACACAACTGACGTTATGGGAAATATTGTTGGAGTTTGCCGAAAACTCAGTTTAAGTAAATCCAATGATGGGCTGGGTGCGGTGGTAATGCCAGCACTTTTGGAGGCCGACGCTGGGTAATCGCTTCAGCCCAGGAGTTGGAGACCAGCCTGGGCAACATAGGGAGACCTCTTCTCTAAAAAAAAAAAAAAAAAAATTAGCCAGGCATGGTGGCAGGCACCTGTAGTCCCAACTACTTGGGAGGCTGACATGGGAGATTCACTTGAGCCCAGGAGTTCGAGGCTGCAATAAGCTATAATTGCACCACTGAACTCCAGCCTGGGTGATAGAGTGAGACTGTTTCTAGCTTTTCAGGTTTCTTTAATGTGTTAGCGATTGGGAGAGATGAGCCAAAAGAAAACTCAGAACAAATATGAGCACTAAGAGGAGAGTTTGACCTGCAATATTTACAAGGGAGTGTAGCCTTCCCAAGAACCAGGTTCCCTGAATAAAGGGTGTGGTGAGCATTTAAAAGACAATGTCAACTCACAGGGTTACAATGGATTTCTTCATTATTCTTACTGGTGGAAAGTCAGCAGTATTCTCCACAATTACCACATCTACATAGATTGTCACGTATCTGTAGACGTCAGTGTCACAAAAGTCAGAGATAAAGTTGTTTTCACTAGGGAATCAGCAATTTATGAGACAGTGGCACAAGGCTTTTCTTTATTTTAATTTTGAGGCTCATGTGAGAGAGGACGTCCCTTTTGTAAAATCTCAGGATGCAAAATACCTTTTCTTCCATTCTGGAAAACATGACGTGAAGCTTAAAAACATGACATGGGCTGGGCGTGGTGGCTCATGCCTGTAATCCCAGCACTTTGGGAGGCTGAGGCAGGTGGATCACGAGGTCAGGAGATCGAGACCATCTGGTTAACAGAGTGAAACCCTGTCTCTACTAAGAATACAAAAAATTAGCCGGGCGTGGTGGCAGGCACCTGTAGTCCCAGCTACTCAGGAGGCTGAGGCAAGAGAATGGCGTGAACCCGGGAGGCAGAGCTTGCAGTGAGCCGAGATAGAGCCACTGCACTCCAGCCTGGGTGACAGGGCGAGACTCCGCCAAAAAGCAAGCAAACAAACAAACAAACAAACAAACAAACCATGAAGCTTATACACAGGGCTGGGTAGGATGTCAATTTTGCTTTCTCAGGCAGTTTAATTTCACTGGATCAAGAGCGGAAGACAATGCAACTTCTTTGTGTGCTTTTAACTGTGTAAAAGAAGACCCACTGCAGAAAATGGTCCCTGGAATTTCCCTTGGTTAACAGAGGCAATGCAGAGGGTGTCTATGATGACAGGGCTTCCCAAGCTTGCCTTTAATAGGGCTGATGGTCAATTAAAGGGAGATGGCTTTCTTCCACCTCAGGGTGCTCCCTAGCCTCAGTGCTTGCTGCTGGGTGAAGGAACCCCAGATCAACCCTGAGGCTGATGGAGAGATGAGTGGGCATTGAAGCAAGGCCTCACGGTGGCACAAGGGCTTTTTAGGAAGCATACAAAGACAGATCTTATTGGAGAGAGAGAGAGAGGGAGAGAAGCCCGGATTCCAAGCATGAACTCAAAATGGAGATAAAGTTGCAGAAACTACTATGGAAGGCAGTTTCAGCATAGCTATGAAAAATTCGAACTCTGAGATCAGAAGGAATACGTTGGAATCTCAGCTCCACCACATGCAAGGTGAGTGTGTGTGCCAACCAGAGGCTTCTCTGTCTCAGTTCCTCCATCTGCACACTGGGACTAATCATATTGACTGCCACATAGGGTTGCTGTGAAGATTCAATGAACAATTACACATAAAAGTGCTCGAAACATCTGTGGCGCATGAGAGGTATTAAAAGCCTGTTAGTTGTCATTATTGGCCATTGATTTCTTCATCATACCTTTATTCAGCAGCATGCTAAGGACACAGAGATGAATATAACACAGAGCCTCTGGGCTCTTCACTGTTTGGTGAGGCTATTAGATGTTCGTGGAAAGTTTGCACACAAGTCAGATGAGAATAGGTACCATATTAGAGATACAAGGAGAGCTATAGTAAGTAGCATGGAAAGGAGAGAAAATTCATTTAGGGGAATTTGGGAAAGCTTCCTGGAGGAGGTGGTATGTTATTTGGACCTCAATGGCCAGAGAGGATTTCCTTGGATAGAGATGTTTTTGGTTGGGGGCTAATAAGGAGGGGGAACCTATAGGGATGCTGTTTCTAAATACATTCACTTCATGATTTTACCTCTGTTTACAGTCGAATCACAAAATAAAGTGGTTGCCGGGAGCGGGGGCTCACACCTGTAATCCCAGCACTTTGGGAGGCCAAGGTGGCGGATAACCTGAGGTCAGGAGTTCGAGACCAGCCTGGCCAACATGGTGAAACCCCATCTCTACTAAAAATACAAAAATTAGCTGGGCGTGGTGGCGTGCGCCTGTATTCCCAGCTACTTGGGAGGCTGAGGAAGGAGAATCACTTGAACCTTGGAGGCAGAGGTTGCAGTGAGCCGAAATCATGCTGCTGCACTCCAGCCTAGACAAAAAGAGCAAAACTCCATCTCAGGAAAAAAAAATGTTGTTTCAGATCACTTTAGTTCCACATGAATTTATTGGCCACCTGCTATGTGCCAGGCAATGTGCTAAGCCCTGGAGAAATGAAGATGAGAAAGAGAATTAATCTCTCTTTTAAAGAGAAGAAGGTACAGAGAAATTCAGCGGTCAGACTTACTGAGAGAGAGAGAAAGCTCCCAGCATTTGTGGGGTTGTAGAGGAGGGGCCCCCACCCAGGGTGGGCCAAAGAGGCTTTCAAGAGAGCTGGTGCCTATGTTTTGGGGTGTTTGCATCTGCTGTTCCTCTACAGGGATCATTCTTCCCCCAGAGCATCTCAGGTCTGGCTACTTCTCATCATGCATGTCCCAGCTCCAATGTCACCTCCTCAAAGAGACCATTCTCAGCCACCTAGTCTAGGCTGGCTCACCTCCTCACCACTCTCTATCTTTCCTCACCACCTTGCTTTATTTACTTCTTACTTCTCACTGACATCTGAAATTATTGTGTTCATTTTCTCTTTTATTTACTCTTTCCCCACTAGCCTGAAAACTCCCCTAGAGACCAGGAACCTTGTCTATCATATTCATGACTGTATCCCTGAAGCTCAGAAAGGTGTCTGGCACAAGATGGGTGCTCAATAAATATGCGTTGAGTGAATACTCTTAGCAATGAGGGATGATTAGGAATTGATGAGTCTGTTCGGGGCTACAAACTTGTCCACCCCTTTACTAAGCTTGCCACACCTGGTTCTGAAAGAATATGGAATGTAGATGCAGGTGACTCAGTCATCAATAGGTATTTATTGAGCACCTACTGTGTGTCAGCCACATAGTCACTGGGGAGAGAGGAATGAAAAAAACAGACAACAATTTCTGCCTTCATGCTGCTTACTTTTCTACAGGGTAGGAAGGAGATAGTCAATAAATAAGTAAGTCAAACATATCTATGTCAGATGGTGGTAAGTGCCATGGAGAAAATACAGGGAGGCGGAGAAAGAATACTTGGTCTGGGAGGGTGTTGCAGTTTTAAGCAGGGTGGTTAGGGAAGGCCTAGCAGAGAAGGCAATATTTGAGTGATGATCTGAAGGAGGTGAGGAGGCAAAACATGCTGTGATCTGGGAGAAGAATGTTCTAGCAGAAGCAGCACACGTGCAAAGGCCCTGAGGACAGAGGGTGGCTGGCATGTTTGAGGAAAACCCAGGGGCCAGTATGTCCAGGGTGGAGTGCCCAAGAAGTGCACAAGGGATGGGAAATAAACCTGGAGAGGTAACGGGGGCCGCCTGGTGCAGGACCCTGTAGGCCTTTGCAAGAATTTTGCCTTCTACTCTGAGCAAATGCAGGACTATTGGCTAGTGTTGAGTTAAGGCATTATATGATCTGACTTACACTCTACAAGGATTTCTTGGGCTGTTATGTAAGGCAGTAAGGATGGAAGGAGGAAAACTGGCTAGGGGGCTGTTGCAAAAGTGGTTGCAGCAGTGGTGGTGGAGAGAGAAAGGAGAGGGGACAGATGCTGGATACACTTTGAAGGGACAGTGGCAGGATTTGCTGATGACTGCATGGGGCAAGGTGTGAGAGAGAGGACTCAAGAAAGACGGCATTGGTGATGATGATGGTAGCAGTGTTGCTGCTGAGGTTGATGATGGTAGCAGTGTTGCTGCTGAGGTTGATGATGTGATAGTATTTCTTTCTTTCTTTCTTTTTTTTTTTTTTTTTTTGAGACAAGGTCTTGCTCTGTTGCCCATGCTGGAGTGCAGTGGCACAATCATGACTCACAGTAGTCTTGACCCTCCAGGCTCAAGCAATCCTCCCACTTCAGCCTCCCTAATATGAAACTACGGGCATGAGGCACCATGCCCGGCTAATTTTTGTATTTTTTTTAGGGACAGGGTGTCACCATGTTGCCCAGTCTTGTCTCCAATTCCTCTCAAGCAATCCTCCTGCCTTGGCTTCCCTAAGTGCTAGGATTACAGGCCTGAGCCACCGTGCCCAGCCCAAGTTCCTACTAAGGACTTGCTATCTTTCAGGCTCTTCCTTACAAGTGACAGGCTGGAGTCTGAACCAAATATACTTCCCAATACTTGCCCCTGGCTTGACTGGTCCTGTCTATCATAGACGTCCCTAAACTAACCAAAGAAAAGAACATTACGTTCTACTGTAGCTTGGAGTCTTCACTCCCAAATAGGTGGGAGATGGCAGATTCCTCATTTCTAGAGATCTTTGAGGCCTTTTTTATAAATACAGAGTTCTTAGGTAACCTCTTGAGATCTGTTAAAGGTGAAATTAGCCCTCTTCCAACCCAGAAAAGGCAAGTGACACTCAATGGGAGCCACCCTGCTGCTCATTCTTGTTCCAGCCTCATCAGCATGTATGGGGAGGTGGCTGCCATGATGACACTGCCAAAATTAAGGGCCTTGTGAGTGTGGCTTCCCTTAAGCAGAATTGAACATGATAACACCTTCCTGCGAGATAGTCAAAATCTGAATCTCTCCGACTTTCCCAAAGCTGCTGAAGCATGGGGAAATGTTCTCTGCCTTGGCAGCCTCTTTGCAGTGTGTTTCTGCTTTGATGGTTTTAATAAAGATATGAAATCATCTAACAGCTTTCATTTTGCTCAGGCGAGATGGCTTAAAGTGGAGGTAGCATTTCCTAGGATCAATCCCCATTTTCAGAAGTGGTTGGTTAAACTCTCTGAAGTTTATGGCCACTTCTAGCTGAAACACTGTAGGATCTGAATTATTAATTCTGTGAAAAATGAGTTAAGTCATTGCAAAGCTCTGTGGTGGCGCAGTCCCTACTTTAGGCCCCCTTTCCTGTATTTTCTCTAGCACAAACATCTCCATTAACAAGAAATCCTTGGGTAACTTGGCCAAATCTTTGTCTGTCACTCATTTCATGGAGAAGGAAAGAACTTGACTTAATTCAATTGTTCTTTCCTGCCTAGGATGAAGAAGAGAAATAACCAGAAATGACTCTGGGAAGTACTCAGGTCAGAGCCACTTACAGGTTTTCAAATTTGGGCATCATTCAAATGGCAATTGTGCAAGCAAGGTAGTCTCTAAAACAGGAACCTCTGAGCACCTCCTTCTATCCAGGTGGCTGGTGCCAAGGGAGGTCTGTAGAAGGATGGGGAAGTTCTGAGCTGTTCTGAATATGTCATTTTCAGCTGGGAACAGTGGCCAAGCTGCAGAGAGCTCCTATCCCATGGAGAAGCAGTTGGAAGTAGTGACGGCATCACAAACTCAACATCCTTAGGGATTCTGTGGGCACAGAAATGAATGAATGAAGTTGGCTGTGGGTTATGCAGAATAGGTGGGGATTTGTCCCATTTATACAAGTCTTATTTAAATAGGGTATTTGGTCCCATTTAGGTAGGGTATTGATTGTCCCATTTAGAGAGGACAATCAGTAGTCAGTCCTAAACAATATTTTTGACATCTCTGCATGGCCAGATCTCCTAGTTATAGCTTTTTTTTAAAAAGAAAAAGTTGAATATGGCATTTTAAAGAAAGTGAACTCTCAATTTATAATCACATCTTACTGATTCATAACTGTTATAGAACACTTGTGGGTCAAACAGGACATGTCTGTGGGCTGGATGGGACCTACAATCTGCCCTCTTATGACTCTGGGAAGGTAGGTCTTAGAAATAGGTACTAGTGGCTTCTAATCCTGCTTCTGCCATGGCTGTGGGGTAAGTTGCTTCATCTTTCCAAGCTTTGGCTTCTCCTATATAAGATAAGGATATGATGAAATGTTCCTGCCTTATAGGTTGCTGTAGTGATTCAATGTGATAAGAAAGTGTTTGATTTTATTATTGCTGTCTTGGGTCCTGCTTCCCTGATTGTGTTTGAAGGAGGTGTAATAATCGCTAAGCTGATGGCTGTGCTTGGAAGACAAGAGGCACTCACTGTCATCACACAGACCTTGGTCAATATGAGGGAAGCTGGGGTCTTAATAATTGGGCCAATAAGGAGGAGAAGAATCTCAAGCCAAGATGACCCATGCTTGGAGAAACCCATTTGGTTATAGAACTGGGCCCCAGACAGACAGCCAGCAATCTCCACCCCTCTTTATTGTCATTCATGTACATGCCCACAGACTCGCTGTAGGATGTTGAGTTTGTGATGCTGTCACTGCTTCTCTGTAGGATAGAAGCTCTCTGCAACTTGGTCATTGCCTCCAGCTCCCAATGACGTATTCAGAACACCAAGAGAAGAGCCCATACACTTCTCTTGGCATCAGCTACCTGAATTGGGTAGAGGTGCTCACAGGTTCTTGTTTTAGAGATCCGCTTGCTTGCACAGAATGTGAGTGCCTTTCTCATTCTAGTGGTGTAGATGAAGTCTAACCTGGAGCATGTGGTCTTGCTAACAGGAGGAGGCTAAGAGGTGAGCAGGGGTGCACCATAAAGATCAGCCGGGAAGAATTTCTGTTCACCCTTGATCAGTACTTTGCACCTGTAGAATGACAGAGGAACATTGGGATGGTGGGACAGAGAGGGCTGGAGAATGAATACCTGCCAAGGTGGCCTCAGAGATGACACAATTCTCTTTAAAGCCAAACAAAGCTTTGATGCAAATGGAGGTTTGTTGGGATTGGTTCTAAGTTCAATATTGAGAGCCTGGATGCATGAACCCTTGGTGGAAGAGCTGGGAGACCATCCAAACTTTGCCTTGCCTCTGGGCCAACCTGTCTACAACCTCCCCAATCATGGGGTCATCAACGTCCTTTACAAAATCTAACACGTTGCCTCCCATCCTTCAGTCATTTTTGTGCCATCTTCATGATTTGTTTTTTGGACATATTTACAAATAGTTCCATTTACTTTACATTATATTGAGGTCCACTCATAACTTTTACTCAAATGCATTTACCTAAAATTGAAACTTTATATCACCATCCTAAATGAGGCTCCTCAACTCTTGCCAGAAATAGAATGTAGTCATAAAATGAATGCAGTGAAAACCAAACAATGCAGTTCAATTCCAGCCCAATACAGTTGCCTATGCTTTGTTCTACATGAGGCAGCCTATTTCTCTGTTCCAGAGAGAGATCAAAAACTATTAGAAAGGTGTTAATGACATTCTAGAACCCAATGAAGACTTTCTCCATGATGGAATAAGAAGACTTGAATAGAATGGAAAAGGAAAGATAATTATCTTCTAATGATGTGATTAGATGACATTTAAAGCCATATCATTTGCCACCTAAATTTGTTTTTAGCCACTAGTGGTACATATCCCACATCTTGGGAAATGCCCACTAAGATTCTCCCTGCTTTGATGGAACTATATTATTTTATCATGTTTGGTTGTCATTGTCTATCAATAGCCTGGGAGGGTCTGGCTGACATTATAAAGTCTGGGTGGTTTAAAAAGCTGTGATTCCAATTTCAATTGCAAATGGATGGGGCATCATGGGAAAGCAAGCGCAGACATGAAGAACTGGAGGAAAAGATTCAGCTCCGCAGTATTTTTAGGTCTCCTTCCCTGGATCGGTTTTACATAATTTGTATCTGGATTGTAGGTTTGATAAGTTCTGATATCTGCTCTCTAATATGTTACCTGAGGGCTAACCCATTTTTTTTTTTTACAATCTCAGTTTAAATCACCGATGAGAAGTCTTTGTTTATTGTTCCTTAAAAACTGTAACTTGGATGAATCTCAAAGGCATTATGCCTAGTGAAGAAAGGTTATGCACTGTATGTTTCCTTTCTATAACACTCTCAGACAAAATGAAAATGACAGAGAACAAATCAGTAGTTCCAAGGGCTTAGGGCAGCGGGGAGGGGTGGCCACAAGAGGCAGACAAGCGAGTTTTCTGGGTGCTCTGTAGGGACACCCAAGGGGGACTCTGTACCTGATTGTGGTGGTGGTCACATGTATCTATACATGTGTTAAAATTCATAAAGTGAATACCAATAAAAAGATGATTTTACTGGAAGATAATTTTAAAAGATAACATTTTTTATTTTATTTTTATTTTTTAGACAGGATCTCATTCTGTTGCCCAGGCTGGAGTGCAGTGGCGTGATCTCAGCTCACTGTAGCCTTGGGCTCCCAGGCTTAAGTGATCCTCCCACTTCAGCTTCCCGAGTAGCTGGGACCACAGGCATGTGCTACCATCCCCAGCTGATCTTTTTTTTTTTTTTTTTTAATTTTTAGTGGAGATAGGGTCTTTCTGTGTTGCCCAAGCTGGTTTCAAACTCTTGGGATCAAGCAGTCCTCCCACTTCAGCCTCTCAAAGTGCTAGGATCACAGGCATGAGCCACTGTCCCTGATCTGAAGATAAAATTAAAAAATAAAACTTTATTCAAGAAACATCCCTGATTATAGAACTCAGCAGCTGGTGAGCATCCTACACCCCTCAACAGAATGTGGTTCATAATGATCAAAGAGACCCAGCCCTCACATTTTGGGGGTTCACAAGCTTCCCTAAACTTTCATCCTTATTATGAGTTACAATGTGGATGTGGGCGGTATTCAAGTCTTCCCCATCCCACACCCACATTCCTGAATGATGTTGGGGTCTGAAGTAACGGCTGGGAAGATTCCACTGTGGTCTGAGGCCAGGGTGGCCAGCATAGATGTCCAACCAGGCTTCTACTGAAAGGCATCAGATCAGGATACTGGAAGGCAGCTATGGGAAATGCATCTCATAAAAGGAGTGAATGCTGGTGGATAAAAAGATCCAACTGAAGGTCCTGGGGTGAGTTGAAGGGGATACGAGATGAGGAAAGATGGGCCATGAGCCACAGTGGAAGGGGTATCCCAGGGTTTTCCCCAAACAAGACAGTTCACAATCTACTGACAGCACCGATGACCTCCTGCCCACCAGACAGCCTCAGGACTGAGCAAGAAGCATTCCTGTTGCTCACCCCACCCACCCTACACCCTGAGCCAACTCAGCAAGGACCAAACCTTCCTGATGCATGCTGCCCAGTCAGAACACCCCCAGAGCTGGGGGACAACATCTACCCTGGACTGTTGATACCCTCAGTTCCTTCTTCTGAGTACTATGTAGAGAACCCATGCTTCCCAGAGGCTTGTGTGCTACAAGACCTCACTCCCCAGCCTCTGCTAAAGATGGGCCACCAATGGTGTTGATCTGGAATTGGACACAGAGACTATGTCTATGACAGAGAGAGTAGCCATTAAAACCTGGCTGTATTGCTTGCACTTTGTATCCACAAGGCACCCCTGCATTCTTCCATAACCCCCATTTTTCACTTGGGTGAAGTTGAGTGGGTTTCTTTCCTTAGGTGACTCAGACACTACCTGTGTGGTTGTCGGTGCACACACTTGGGTGATTGTGCTGAAGCTACCTGGACTGGAGACAAGAATGTGTGTCTTGCTAAACTGTGGATGATAATTAAATTCATGGAAGCAGCAGCAATGACCCAGGAGCACGTATAGCTGGAGAAGAAGGTCAGAGGTAGGGTGTGACCAGGAAATAGATTAACAAAATGGGGAGGAGGGGCAGAGGATGGTGTCACTTCATAAACCATGGTGTGGTAGAGGGGAGGCACACCGGACCTTTTTGGGGAGTCTACTACTCTAAAGACTCTTCCTCTGGGCTAGCCCATGAGAGAAAGATATTTGTTATTTCCTACCATTTTTCCATGGTTATTGGTCTATGTGGACTCTTGTAGGGTCAGTTTTAGTTATTTATATTTGCCTATTTCCAAAACAGTGGAATCACACTACATATTGAGGTGTGTGGGATCTGCTACTATCATCATTGTCTCCAACATATACTTTTATCTTTTCTGATTGTAAGAATAATTAATTTACAAATAATTATTTAAATAAGCAAACAAAAAATAAAGAGATATTCACGTGGCAGAATCCAGCATAGCAGATAAAAGAAAATATATACTCCTATGGGAAGTTCTCAAGATATATTGTTCAGCTAAAAAAACAAAACAAAACAAAACAAAACAAAAGCAAAGTAAAAAACATATTATCTTTTGTATAAAGGGAGGAATAGATAATGTATATTTAACTTATCTTATTTATGCATAAATAAATTTTGAAAGCTTACACAGGAAACTAATAACAGTTTTCTGGGTGTGAAATTGGGTGCATGGAAAAGCAGGGATAGGAGAGAGACTTTTCTGTATATCTTTTTCATTTTTTTGTGCTGTGTGAATATATTCCTTGAAAAATTAAAATGGAAATCGTGCATTGTGGAAAAATTAGGAAACTGATTAAAGAATTTTAAAATTACCCAAAGTGTACCCACAGTTGTAATCAATGTTAGGATTTTGCTTTTTACCATTTTAGACAAATCATGTGTATACTTAATATACCATTTTATACTGCTATTCATATCAGTACATATAGTAGATATAATATGCTTTATATTCCATTTTATAACTTGCAATTTTATTTAACAATGTGATGCAGGTATCTCTCCATGCCAATAAGTATATCTACAGAATCATTTTAAATGCTCAGAATTATTTTAAATAGCATCTAGTTGGATAGATATACTATTATTTATACAATCATTAACCAAATCGCCTACTGATAGACATTTAGATTGCTCCCACTTTTTGCTCTTTAACAATGAAAGGACAGCAGCAAGTATCGTACCCAATGATTTTCCTCAGAATAAATTTATTTCAGAGGAATTTTGGGGTTTGTGGGTAACCATGCTTTAAAAAGTATCCATTTTTTGATACAAATTACCAAGTTTTCCCCACCCCTATGGCAATAGAGCTGAAGCATTTATACTTCCCTAGCACAGTCTGAAAGGACTTTTTTCCACATCCTTGTCAACATTGACTATTAGCAACCTATTTATTTGCTCTTTGTCAATCTAATGCATGAAAACTATCTCCTTTTAATTTGAATTTTGGGGTATTTAAAAATATTTATTAGCCATTTGCATTCATTTTCTGAAATTTTTGGTTAATTTTTTCCCTGTTGGAGATATTTCTTTCCATTTTTAAAAGAGGATGTTTAATGATTAATGCTGCTTATACTGGATTGACTTTATCTTTTAGTGTTTTATTACTTCAGATGTTTCTAGTGAGCTGAATTTGGCTTGGTTCTACATTTTCATCCAGTGTGATCATCTTCATCTTTCAGTAAGAAAGTCTTAATTTTTTATGTATTCGATTATCAACATATTTGAACTTTTCAAATATTCATTTTGTTCATTTTTTTTTGTTTATTTTTTCTTCTCCTGACTCTTCAATATTGGATTGGTGGAGCCTTCTTTATTCCCCTGTTACTTCCCTCTGAGGTAGAAGTTATATAGGCTATTTCTGTTCTTTTTGTTTGTTTTCTTCATTTTTGTATTTTTAATAGTACTTATCTGATCACACTAAGACTTGGCAAAGAGTAACTTAGAGAACGACTCCAAACCTCCCTATTCCCCAATTCTATCCATGTTATGGCTGCCAAGTATTTTACTCCACTTTGTTTTTGTGATTTTAATGCTTATCAAAACAACAATAACACGTCTACATAGTTTAAACAGGTAAATCATATTATAAGGCTTATCACAAAACAGCAGCCTACTGTCTGACTACCCTGTCTTCTGATTCTTGCTTCACGGAAGCAACAGATTTTCAATTATTTGGGCTCTCTCTCCACTTCTATGTTCCTCCATACTACTAAGTAACCTGTTTATATTGAGAAGTCTTACAAATCACAAAAAAAGGATAGCCTTGGGAGTTAAAATTGCAGCTGTCAGTTACTCAGGTAAAAGATAAATTTCAAAACGGCAGTTGTACAACATATTGAAAATAATGATGTGTACTGAATGGTGTTACTGAAACAAGTCAGATGTAGCCAAAGCTACACTCAGCAGCAACTTAGCTTCTTTATTAAATGAAGAAAATGAATTGACTAAGGATTCAACCACAAAAGTGAGTGGAATGTTAAAGATAAGGAAACAAGGAAGTATTTTGGAAAAATGAAAACAGAAATTAATGAATAGAGGGAAATGGAAACATTGATTCTTAAAAAAAAAATCCAAGACTTATTCTTTGAAAAAAAAATAGACAAACATTTATGGTATCTAATTAAGAATAAGAGATAACAAAAATAGACAAAATTAGGAATGAGAAAGAGGATATAACCATAATCTGTGAAGGGCTGAAGCATCTTTATGATACTGAAAAAAAGGATTAGGTAAAATCTAACATTTAATCCTCATAAAACTCTGGTTACGTGTTAAAGATATTTTCTTAGCATGATTTAAAAAATAATTTTCAAGCTAATAGAGACATGCCATCTGTATTAGTCTGTTCTTGCACTACCGATAAAGAAGTACCTGAGACTGGGTAATTTACAAAAAAAGATTTAATTGACTCATAGTTCTGCAGACTGTACAGGAAGCACAGTGGCTTCTGCTTCTGGGAGGCCTCAGGAAACTTACAACCATGGCAGAAGATGAAGAGGAAGCAGGAGGATGTTAACTCTGATGCTGCACTTAAGTCTTATAACTGTATCAACCATTATGTCCTTGTTTACTGGCTCTGGTCCTGTCCTTCCTGTCTCCATTAATTTATACCTTTCTTTAGTTGCATGTTTTTATTTATCTCTTAATCAGTTGATGGATTTTTATGAGTATCTATTTTTTTTTCAATTAGTGCTTTAACCTGACCGCTGTGCAAGTTTAGGAATATCTTTCTGCTTTTGTCACACATGAACAATAATTCAGCCAAATTGAAATGTTTAGGATGGCTCACTGCAACCTCTGCCTCCCAGTTTCAAGTGATTCTCCTGCCTCAGCCTCCTGGGTAGCTGGGATCACAGGCATGCATCACCACGCCTGGCTAAATTTTTTTTGTTATTTATTTATTTACTAGTAGAGACGGGGTTTCACCATGTTGGCCAGGCTAGTCTCAAACTCCTGGTCTCAAGTGATCCACCCACCTCAGCCTCCCAAAGTGATGGGTTTATAGGTGTGAGCCACCATGCCCAGCCAGGACAAAATCTTTTTAAAAGCACCTCTGAAATCATGGATCTGTTGTCTTAGGTCATCTATGTGTGTGTGGCAGAGAAGATTGATGTCAGCTAGGTTCATTTTTTTCCCCTTTTGTTGGCAAACTGTTTTGTTTTGTTTTCCCTTCCTGGATGCCTATACAGTTTTTTTTTTTTCCATTATTTAAATAGAAACGGAGCCTCTAAAGTCAGACTGTCCTGAGTTCAACTCTCTGCTGCTTTGCTTAGTAACCTATGTCCTCCTGGGCAACTTATTTACCTGCTCTACACGTCATTCTCCCATGTGTGAAGTAGGGATAATAATCATACTGGGATGATATGAAAAATGAGGAATTAACTGTGCAAAGTGCTTAGAGGAAGGCTGAGCCCATAGCAAGTACTATATAGGAGTTTTCCACCTTGATATTGCAGTAGTCATCCCTTATCCAGGGGGATATGTCCCCAGATCCCCAGTGGATGCCTGAAACTGCCGATAATACCAAACCCTATATATAATGTTTTTTTCCTATGTGTGTGTGTGTGTGTATATATATGTGTATATATATACACATATATATACACAGATATATGTATATATATGTATATATATACATATATATATATACACACACACACGGACATATATATATTGACATATATGTATATATACACACAAACACACACACATATATGTATGCACACACACGTATCTATGATAAAGTTTAAGCTTCAAATTAGGGATAGAAGAGTTAATGCAGAATTAGTCACAGTATTGTTGTTAAGAGATTAACAACTAATAAAAAAAGAACAATTATAACTATACTATAATAAAGTTATGTTCATGTGATCTCTCTCTAAATATCTTATTTTACTATACTCGTTCTTCTTGTGATGATGTGAGATGATCTCTAACACACTAGTCCGAATTTAATGTTTTCAAAAAAAAGAATTTCATCTTTTCAATTCTCTGCATATGCTTTTACATTCATCTACTGTTTGTGGCAAGAGGTACTGGTTTTCCACTTATGTGCCTAACAAAATTGTAGGTAAAAAATTGTTCTATGTAAGTGAAAAAAAAAGTGAGTGGAATTCAAAGAAAAATATAAAGTAAACAATAGTGCAAGGATATGGCAGGAACTGTGGGAGTTGCATGCAAATGACTGAATTTGGAGAAAATAGACTTAAAGATCCTTTGTTCAGCTCTAGAATCTGTGCAAAAATCCCTCTGTGTGGTACTCACAGGGATTTTTGCACAAAGAGATTCTAGAGCTAGACAAAGAATCTAGCTCCTGAGCTCAAAGGGGGCTGAGGATGTACAATTCCACGACCCAGGATTTTGAAGGCTCCCTTTTGGATTCCTCTGGAATATGTTCGAAGCTGACCCGCTGAGTATGCCTGGAGTTGCACCTTTCAGATGCAAGCATGCCTGCCACACTGGATCAAAGAGGCTTTTTTGACAGCTGGTGGAGGCCTCTTTCCTCCAGCAGCCGCAGAATGAGTCCTTAAAAATCATAGACCACAAACGGCCTCTTTGGCTGATTTGACATTCTTATTTAGTTCAATCCAGGTGTATGGTAGCTGAATAGTTTGGACCAGAATCCTGGCTGGGGAGAAAATTGTTATGAAAAGCTATCGATTAGGTGTCCACAGCTGCTGAAACTCAACTGCGGAAGCTTCTGGAGCTGCATTTATGAAAGGGCAGGGGGCATGGAGAAGGGCAAGAATGTGATGGGGCGAGGAGGCAATCTGTTTAAAGGACAATGGTTTGTGAAGGCAGGCAGTCGATGAAAAGTCAGTTCTTCCTCTTGCTAGGTAGCTGGGTGGATCATCCAGTGTCTGCTAGGTTGTGCCTTACGACCTCTTGAAGCCTGGGAGAGAGTTCAGGGGTTGCTGCTTCTTCCTGGGAAGGCCTGCCTTGGATCTCATTACCTTCCTTTTTCACCAGTCCAGGCCATTGCTGCCCTTCACTGCCCAGCAGCAAACACTGAACCCCACACTTCCCTGCAGAGTCCAGCCTGCACAGCACAAGCCAACACTGTTTCCCCAATCTGTGAATGGCACTGGGCTGTGATTAACATGGTGCATATCCCTGCATTGCCTCTGACAACCCTGTAAACTCTCTCCTTCACTGTATTGAACATCCTCAAACACCTGTGCATTACTGCAAAATAAAGCATATCTCTGCTTATGCCTCCAGTTTCTGTGCCTAGAAAAGTGCTCGGCACATAAAAAGATTGATAAATATTTGTCGAATGAATGAATGAGGGTATGCACCAGACGGGATGGGGCAGGACTCAGCAAGGCTCACAGGCACCCACTGAAAACACATCAGACTGTTTACTTATAGCTGCAAATGCATGAAAGACTGAAAGGGGCTCAGAAAACCTGGAAGGAGTTCCTGACAAGAACAAAATATAAGTAGCAAAGGAGGAGTAGAACAATGCTCCTTCCTGCCTGGAGCTTCAGAATAGTTGTAATTTTGAATGGTCTGTCAATCACACTTGATAAATTAAATCATACCTTACAGCAGCATTTCACAACGTTTTTTTCTTCTTGACTCAAAAGCTGCTGCACAGGTAACTCTGAGAGTTATGTGAAATTTTCTTTCCTGGGTAGCAGTAACTTCAGTCTTTTTCTTCAATTCAAGTCAGGATATTGTATGCTTTTTTTTTTGTTTTTGAGATGACATACAGTTTTTTTCCCCTTTTACCTAAAGATTCTGATATCAGCCACCCACCTGCTACTCTTGCTAGTTAGAATTAATGTCTTGGACGCGTCTTACCCTCGTTTTGCTCATAAATTTCTCCATTAATATGATGAAAATTACATTGCCATCTCTTTCCCCCAAATTTGTAAATACATATATGCAACATTTTGCAGAGAATGCATCCTATTTCCGTGGAAGACGATTGCTTTCAAAACCATGCAATATGAATGTGATCTTTACAAAGGGCCTTTCACCTCAGCTTTTTAATGTAAAAATAAATGGTCACATTCTGGAAAATAATATAAACTCAAAGTTGTGCAAAATAAGACCAAAAGTAGCCTTTAACCTTACCGAAAAGGAAATTTCAATGATAATGTGGCTAATGTTTAGCTTGCACAAGGAGCTGGAATTGTGGTGCAAAGCACATGCCATCTTTGACATCAAATCAATTCTGACTTTTGGTTTTGATGGTGACAGGCACCTGACTTACAAAGGTAAGTAGAAGCAAATCCAGCCAGAGGATTGCATGGGCACATTTGCCTGATAAGGGTGGCCATAGGTCAAAGGGCACAAGATTTCTCCAAGACTTCTTAAGATGAATTCGTGCCACATCATTTCCTTCATACTTGTGTCAGGGAGGTCACTTCTAGCCCAGTCTGCATATTCTTTGCTGGGTAAAGAAACCTTTGCAATTTACCAGCAGGAGTTCACAAAATAGGAATCTTTTTTTTTTTTTCTTGAGACAGAGTCTCATTCTGTCACCCAGGCTGGAGTTAAGTGACACAATCTTGGCTCACTGCAACCTCTGCCTCCCAGTTTCAAGAGATTCTCCTGCCTCAGCCTCCCCAGTAGTTGGGATTACAGGCATGTGCCACCACGCCTGGCTAATTTTTTTTACTTTTAGTAGTGACAGGGTTTTGCCATGTTGCCCAGGCTGGCAAAATAGGAATTCTTTGATGGTGTCAGGGTGCATACAAGAGGTGAGTACAGGCTTCTGGCTGCACTGGGAGGTAGCAGCAGTTTATACAGCTACATGCTAGAAAGAATGGGGGAATTATCATTTTCTCCATGACCATCCTCATACTATTAGGAGAAATGTCAGTGGTTCTGGAGTAGGTGGTGACAGTCCACGGAGGCACTCCCTAAATTTCTTTTTTAAATTATTATTATACTTTAAGTTTTAGGGTACATGTGCACAACGTGCAGGTTAGTTACATATGTATACATGTGCCATGTTGGTGTGCTGCACCCATTAACTCGTCATTTAACATTAGGTATATCTCCTAATGCTATTCCTCCCCCCTCCCCCCACCCCACAACAGGCCCCAGTGTGTGATGTTCCCCTTCCTGTGTCCATGTGTTCTCATTGTTCAATTCCCACCTATGAGTGAGAGCAACCGGTGTTTGGTTTTTTGTCCTTGTGAGGGTCTCACATTGTCACCCGGGCTGGAGTGCAATGGCGCGATCTCAGCTCACTGCAACCTCTGCTTCCTGGGTTCAAGCGATTCTCCTGCCTCAGCCTCCTGAGTAGCTGGGATTACAGGCACCCACCAGCATGCCCAGCTAATTTTTTATATTTTTAGTAGAGACAGCGTTTCACTATGTTGCCCAGGCTGGTCTCGAACTCCTGACCTCATGATCTGCCCGCCTTGGCCTCCCAAAGTGCTGGGATTACAGGCATGAGCCACAGCGCCCGGCCTCACTCCCTGAATTTCTTTTGGCACTACCTGCATTTCTTCCTCTGCTCCTAATCACAAACCAGCTTGACAGCCTCACTGACTTCTCTCCTTCAGCTACTTGGGAAATTGTCTCTTCTACTTATATCCTTTAGTGGTTATTCTTACAGTGTTTACTTGACTTAATAGTTCAGAATTCATCAATATTTTACCTTCTTCCCAAATAATACAAGAACCTTAGCACACTAATTCCTATCACCACCCCCACCTACCATGTGATTGTCTAGTATTTTAATTATACCGTGTTTGTATCAACCAAAACCATATCATCATTATTGCTTCCTTTTTAAAAAACAAGATTGTAGATTTATCCAGAAGTTTTCCTAATTCCCCTGCTTACTATTGCTTCTTTCATCTACTTCGTCTTATGAGTTCAGTTGCCTGTAGTGGTTTTTTTCATAGGTGAATTCTGTCAATATTTTTTAAATGAAAATGTCTCTGTTTTGCCTTCTCTTTCAATTAATCATTTAGCTCAGTATGGAATTCTAGGTTGGTGATTATTCTCTTATAGACCCTGGAAGACCTAATTCCAGAATCTTCTGAACTTTCCTATTGCTGTTGAGAAAACTTCTCTGAATCTAGACAATCTGTCTTTTTTTTTCTCTGGTTGTTTTTCGCTGTATCTTTGGTGTTCTGTAATGTAATTTCTTTTTTTCTTTTCTTTCTTTTTTTTTTTTTTTTTTTGAGACAGTATCTTGCTGTTACCCAGGCTGGAGTGCAGTGGTACAATCCTGGCTCACTGCAAGCTCCACCTCCTGGGTCCAAGTGATTCTCCTGCCTCAGCCTTCCGAGTAGCTGGGACTAAAGGCATGTGCCACCACACCCAGCTAATTTTTATATTTTTAGCAGAGATAGGGTTTTGCCATTGTTGGTCAAGCTCGTCTCGAACTCCTGACCTCAGGTAATTCACCCGCCTCAGCCTCCCAAAGTGCTGGGATTGCAGGTGTGGGCCACTGTGTCCAGCTGGAGTACTGTAATTTTATTACAATGTGTCTAAACATGGATTTGTTTATTTATTTATCATTTTTCAAGAATACAATGTATTGTTATTAACTAGTCACCGTGTTGTACAATAGATCTCAAAGGTATTCCTCTTATCTAATTGAAATTTTGTATCCTTTGACCCACATCTCCCCACCCGCCCCAGCCTCTGGTGACCACCCTTCTACTTATTTATATTTTTATCAGAATACATTTTGCTTCCACAATCTGAGGATTCATGCCTTTTATCAATCCCGGAAAATTCTCAGCCATCATCTTTTTGCTTATTTTCTTTTCCATTCTCTCTACTTCCTCCTCCCAGAGCCTCCTGTTAGACACATGTTACACCTTTGGATGCATTCCTCCCATCTCTTAACCTTCTCCCCAGCTTTCTTTCCTTTAGTCTCTCCGTGTTGAGCTACAGAAAACTTCCTCTACGATTTTTCATTTGTTTAGAGCATGTATTTTTAACAGGAACAAGGCTCGATTTGGAAAGGCTAGAGCTTTTGCCAAAACTGGGATTTGTCTGTCCCATTGTGCCATGTAATGTGCTCTTCTTTCATTAGTGTTTCTGGTTTTGAATCTCTTCAATTATGTTAAACATACTTATTTTATAGTTTCTTTTAAATTGCTCTAGTATCTCAAGTTCTGAGGAAGATGCCATTCTCTTTTTGACATGTTGTGTAGGGAAAAACTTTCTCAAACCATGTTTTTCTTCTACTCTCACACTGCAAAAATCATAATCACAGAATAAGAACTCTGTGACTAGATGTATGTATGTGTGTGTGTGTGTGTGTGAACACATTGCCATGTGAGTGCCATGTATCCCAAGTGTGGAAGCCACTGAGTGGCTCTACATTTTGCTTCTGCTGTACTAGGACAAACTTTTGGGTTAATTTCCCATCACCAAGCAGCAGACACCAGCTGACTGTCCTCTAATTCAATTCTGACATTATCTACCCAGAAACAGCGTCAGATCCCACGGGTTGAGGACTCAGTTCCCAAGACTGCTCCCTCCTGCCCGCTAGTTGCAAATTTGGGCCTCCAGAACTTCTGACTGATTGGCTTCAAGTTTGACTGGCTTCAAGTTGGGGTTCCCATGACCTCCTATTTGAGATTGATTAATTTGTTAGAGTGGCTCACAGAATTCAGGGAAACACATCTGCCAGTTCATGAAGAGGGATCTTTTAAATGATGCAAATAAATAGCCAGATGAAGATATACACAGGGTGAGGTCTGGAAGGGTCCCGAGTGGATGAGCTCTGTCTTCATGGAGGCGGGGTGCATCACCCCCACCCCAGCTCGTGGATGAGCTCTTCTTCACCTTCCTGTCTGCCTCCGTGTGTTTAGCTCTCTGGAAACTCCCTGAATCCTGTTCTGTTGGGTTTTTATGGAAGTTTCAAGATGTCAGCATTCCTTTCTCCAGCATATAGGGTGGAGACCCTCTCTGGGGAGGGTCTGAAGACCCACAATCAGAAAGGTGGGGAAGATTAGAGTCCTGCCTTGGGGCAGGCAAGAAAGGAAGGCAAGAAACAGACAGTTTCCTAAGGCCTAAGTCACCCAACATTATAACAAAAGACTGTAACAAGGGATATGGGAGTTATGAACTGGGAATTGTGGATGAAAACCTACACACACACACACACACACACACACACGCACACACACACATATCATAACACCACACGTCTTCTTACTTTCCATTATGATGAATCATGTCCTGGCATGTTTCATAATTTTTGAATTTTGAGCTCATTTTAACTGAGTTTCATTTTTTATTTTTTTGCCATGTAAGTGCCATATGTCCCAGGTGTGGAAGCCTTTGAGTGGCTTTACATTTTGCTTCTGCTGCACTGTAACAAACTTTTTGTTTTATTTCTCACTTTGGGATTCTTGCATCACACTAGACACAAGCTCAGGGTTTCAATTTCTCAAGACTTAGATTTTCCTTCCAGAGCCCTGAATAGAGACAAAGCTCCTTACAGTTCCCAGGAGCTAGTGGGAAGAGCTTCCCTAGTATTCCTTCCCCAGGGTGGCAACCTTTATAAGATTCCCAACTCTATGCAGAGTCACAGTTCCAGGTAACCTCTTCATATAAACTGAGGGTGGCACCTTCAGTCTTTCTGGGAGGGATGTGGTTTGGATCTGTGTCCCCACCGAAACCTCATGTTGAATTGTAATCCTCAGTGTAGGAGGAGGGGCCTGGTGGGAGGTGATTGGATCATGGGGCTGGACTTCCTCCTGGCTGTTCTCGTGATGGTGAGTGAGTTCTCATGAGATCTGGTTAAGTGTGTGTAGCACCTTGCTCTTCTCTCTCTCTTCCTCCTGCTCCCACCATGTAAGACGTGCTTGCTTCACCTTCACTTTCACCTTTACCTTCACCTTCCACCATGATTGTAAAGCTTCCTGAGGCCTCCCCAGCCATGCTTCCTGTACAGCCTGCAGAACTGTGAGACAGTTAAACCTCTTTTCTTTTCTTTCTTTTTTTTTTTTTGAGATGGAGTCTCAGTCTGTTGCCCAGGCTGGAGTGCAGTGGCGTGATCTCAGCTCACTGCAAGCTTCGCCTCCCAGGTTCACGCCATTCTCTTGCCTCAGCCTCCCAAGTAGCTGGGATTACAGGTGCCTGCCACCATGCCTGGCTAATTTTTTGTATTTTTAGTATAGACAGGATTTCACTGTGTTAGTTAGGATGGTCTGGATCTCCTGACCTTGTGATCCGCCTGCCTCGGCCTCCCAAAGTGTTGGGATTACAGGCGTGAGCCACTGCGCCTGGCCTAAATCTTTTTTCTTGGTAAGTTACCCAATCTCAAGTACTTCTTTATAGCATTGGGAGAACAGACTAATATAGGGGGCAGTACAACTTCATCCACTAAGGCTCTGTAGACTACTGTAGCATCATTCCAGCTGCCAATGCTCTCATCACTTCTGCCATTCAGGAATTTCCTTTTTTGTGTGAACTCATCTATTTATTTGTGATTTTTTTTTTTTTTTGAGATGGAGTCTCACACTGTCACCCAGGCTGGAGTGCAATGGTGTGATCTCGGCTCACTGTAACCTCCGCCTCCTGGGTTCAAGCAATTCTCCTGCCTCAGCCTCCTGAGTAGCTGGGATTACAGGCACCTGCCACCATGCCTGGCTAATTTTTTGTATTTTTAGTAGAGATGAGGTTTCACTATGTTGGCCAGGCTGGTCTCGACCTCCTGACCTCGTGATCTGCCTGCCTCGGCCTCCCAAAGTTCTGGGATTACAAGCGTGAGCCATGCGCCTGGCCTATTTTTGATATTTTATCAATCATTTCTATTGATACAAAAATCCATGTTAGGTCGGGCTACTTTGCTGTCAGTCCTCATAATGTCTCTTTCATCATGGCAACATTTGTTTAGCAACACAAGAAGCAACTTAGTAGGATGCTGAAGATAAGGCTTTTGTGTTAAAGCAAATGCAACTTCTGGTAAAGTTCCAGTCTTTTCAGATTGAGTTTTCTTCTCATGACAAAAGGCCCTTATTGTCTGATGTCATTACAAGATGGGAAGACAGGAGTTGACACTTCAGACTGGTTGCAGCATTAAGCCAAGAGGCCCAGTCAACACTTGTTAATATATTATTGTTGGTTATGAGTCCAGGTGCTGTGGCTTACGCCTGTAATCCCAACAGTTTGGGAGGCCAAGGCAGGTGGATCACCTGAGGTCAGGAGTTCAAGACCAGCCTGACCAACATGGTGAAACCCCATCTCTGCTAAAAATACAAAATTAGCCAGGCATGGTGGCGAGTGCCTGTAGTCCCAGCTACTTGGGAGGCTGAGGCAGGAGAATTGTTTGAACCCGGGAGGCAGAGGTTGCAGTGAGCCGAGATCATGCCACTGCTCTCCAGCCTGGGTGGCAGAGTGAGACTCGATTTAAAAAAAAAAAAAAGTATATATGTATATTTGTGTGTGTTTATATATATGTATATATTATTGTTGGCTGTGGTCAGTGCTGCGCCCAATAATCTCATTGCAAACCCTTTCTTTGCTCTCACCTCTAATGCCTCCCTTGTTATATTCCTGGTCTTATTTTGTACCTTCATGTAAGCTTGGTGAGAGTCTGGGCCAAGTCATATGTGTGTTTCATATCACCTATGGTGTCAAGCACACAGTGAGATGTTTAAAACTCTGGATGTTTACGTGAACTCCTCTGTAATCAGACATTAAAATTACCACCATTTGAGTTGTCATTTCACACCGATTAGACTGGCAAAAATCAGAAAAATGCCGCATGTTGGAGTCATGAGAGGTTCGAGGAACTACCATGTACTGTTGATGAGAAGGTGGACTAGGGCAATTCCAAAGAGCAATCTGACATTGCTGTCAAATTAAACATATCAAACCCCAGAGATCCACTCCTAGGTATGTAACTCAAAGACAGTCTCATAAACCTTAATGTAAAAAAAAATATGCCAGGAAAGTAACTGCAAGGTGGTTATGATGGTGGGGAGCTGGAGACAGTCTGGATGTCCATCTCTGGCAGAGTCAGGATACAAAAGTGGGGATACACAGCGTGGAGTTCCTCTACAGTGCTGAGAATCAGTAAATGTGATGAATACAAAACAACAGGGATAGATTGTTTTTAACTTTTATTTTAGGTTAGGGGTACACGTGCAGGTTTGTTATGTAGGTAAACTCATGCCATGGTGGGAGTTGTTGTACAGATTATTTCATCACCCAGGTACTAAGCCTAGTACCCAATAGTTATTTCTTTCTGATCCTTGCCCTCTTCCCACCCTCCACCCTCAAGTGTGCCCCAGTGTCTGCTGTTCCCCACTTTGAGTCCGTGTGTTCTCATCATTTAGTTCCCACTTATAAGTGAGAACATATGGTATTTGGGTTTCTGTTCCTGCATTCGTTTGCTAAGAATGATGGCCGTCAGCTCCATCCATGTTCCCACAAAGGACATGATGTCATTTTTGTGGCTGCATAGAATTCCATGGTGTATATATATACCACACCTTCTTTACACAGATAGATCTTAAAAGCATAGTGCCTAGTGAAAAATGCAAGAAAGGAAGTGAGACATTTAGATAAATATCATTTATGTAAATTTTTAAAAACCCATTTGCAAATTTATTAAAGCCCATGTGCAAATTTTTAAAAACTCAGTGTATATTGCAAAACAATATACGTGTTGCAAGATCGTACTGAAACCAAACAATATCCATTAGATATATGTTTCCTCATGGATTGCCTATAGGAGAGGGGAATGGAAGAGAAGTATGAGGATAAAACTGAAAACATGAGTTAATACATATATTTTTTAAAGGAGCTGTGCGAAGGGCATACATGATAAGCTATTAAGCCATAGAGTCAGGAGTACGATTAACTTTGAACGCCTGATGTTAAAAAAAAGAATAGGGAGAGAAAGAGAAAGAGGAAGAAGAATAAGAAAGAGGAGAAGGAGGAGGAGGAGAAGAAAGAAAAAAATAAAGAAAAGGAAGGAAGGAAGGAGAAAAAGAAAAAAAAAGAAAGAAAGAGGAAGAAAGAGAGAAAGACAAAGCAAGAAGGAAGGAAGAAAAGGAAGGAAGGAAGGAAGGAGGGAGGGAAGAAAAGAAAGAGTGAGAAAGAAAGAATTTGTTCAATTAATAGTCTCATTTTCTTCAATTCTTGCCTGATCAGGTCAGCCTCATGTGTTTTCTGGAATCCTATAATTCTTATTTTAATGTGTCCTTTTCCTTCAACTGGCTGGTAAGCCCCTTAATTGCTGGTGCTATGTTTCATTTGTTGTTTATTCTTAACATGGCTGCAGCGAAATGTAGCTGGAAGAGCCTGGATTTTGGCGTCAAAGGAGCCTCTACCACTTATTGCCTGTTTCATCTTAGGCAGGTCACTTCATCTTCTGAGCCTCAGTTTCCTCACTTGGAAAACAAGGGCAAGAAGACTTCTGATGGCTATCACAAGGACTAAATGGAATTTGGACTATTGCCAATACAGTTCCTACAATAGGCACTCAGAAAATGCTAGCTTCCTCTCCTTGATTTTATTTCCTGCAATCCCCAACACATTATAGGTGTTCTGTCAAGATTTTTTGAACAGACATTAACTGATGTTCACCAGAGACTGGAGCAGAAGATGATGGCTTTAGCTCAAGCTGAAAAAGAACTTCCATACAGCATTTTTTTAAAAAGCCTCAGGATTGCTTCTGAGTGCAGTTGTGAAATATGCTCCTTTGAATACCTTTAGAAAGGAATTCTCTACCTTCACATACGCCTCCACAACTGCATTCCCTGGCTCTGTTTCTCTGCATTCAGTCTTGAGCATCCTGTGACTTCTCACTCACCTTCCTCCCTGCTGGTCTCTTGGAAAAGTGCTCTACGTATTCAAGTTGATTTCTCTCTCCCTTTTGTTCTCTGCTGTCTGTTAGAGAGACCATAACTTAACACGAGGCTCTATGATTATCCCCATGCTGGCTGCCAAGGGAAGGAACCCTGACACCGTACCATGCATGGTGGTGATTTTCTGAGGCCCTTAGATTGTTTGCATTCATCTTACCAGCAGGTTATACCCGCCTTACAATTATCCAGCTGCTTTTATAAAATCTTGCATTCAATGTGAGAGTCTTTAAAAGCTTTCACATTTAGAACATTTAAAAATCCAGCAGGTTTGGACAATGAAACTGACTCACTGTGCTTTGGGTGGGTGTTTTTACATCTGTATGCCTTGTTTTTCGCATCTAAGAAACGGGAATGATCTTCCGTGTGGCATGTACACCCAGAGGGACTTGAAGCATGTAATGTGCCCTAAATAGCAGGTTTCATGAATGTAGACCCACTCTCTGGCAGTTATGGCTCCCTGACCCTCTACAGGAACACACTCGTGCTGTCTCACCATTTCCAGCCAACAGGATCTCACAGATGTATGTACTTACCTCTTTAAAGTAACTCAATACTCTCTTTAAAATAAGCCAGCCCACCCAGAGACTAACAGTATAAATTAAGGGCAAACAAACCTCTTACTAAAATGTCTGCAATACAGAAATGTTACAGCTCATCTTCTATATATGGAAATACTATCTTTTTTGCGGGGGGGTATGTCTAGTTCTTATTCTAAATCTATTTAGGTGGACAGAATAGGCTAAGTTGTGCTGTAGTAACAACCACAGCATATCAATGGCTTAACACAGCAAAAATGTGTTTCTTGCTCATGCTACATGTCCAACAAGTATCAATGTGCTCACTGTGGCCCCTCAGGGACCCAGTTGAGAGACACTTCATCTCAACATAGGCTTCTAAGGTCATCACAGAAAAAGAAAAGGAATGGAGTAAATTGCGCACTTGTTCTCAACTTGTCTGCCTGGAGGCAGCTTCAGGCAAGGCTTGATTCAGGACACAAACTATACCATTGTGCTCCATCTTTCAGATCTGCTTCCTCTGGCTAATCTCTATTCTTGGCTTCTACTCGATAACCTCACAGCACCTAATTCAGCCAAAGGGACAGGATGATTTTGAATAGTTCTCACACCAGTCCTGGGATTCCCTCTCTCATTACCCTGGATGGAGTAATATAGCCATCCTGAAGGGATAACTGTAGCTAGGGGAATACAGCGCATTACTGGCTAAGTGTAAGGTCCTCCCCGCTCCTGGGGCTGGGTATGGGAGTAGGGTTGCTCCCATACAATAAAATACAGGATTCCCAGCTAAATTTGAATTTCAGATGAATAACAATTTTTTTAGTATAAAAAACATTCATTGTTTATCTGACATTTACATTTAACTGGGCATCCTGCATTTGTATTTGCTATTAATACAATGGGTAACCCTTAATGGAAACCCCTTTCCAAAACACATGTAGGGAAAGGGTGGTTCCCTCCAATGCAATGATATGTAGCATAATCAGAATGAAGGACAGTGGCAGCAACTGTAACTGTTCACTCTAGTAACTATGTCAGGGCTCGAATGGGTGTAATACTCTCGGTAGGTATATATGTGTGATATTGCCCTAAAAAATAATACCTTATAATGGCATGCCATTGCTCCAGTTATCTATTGGTATATAACAAACAACGCTAGAATTTAGTTGCTTGAACCATAATTTATTATTTCTCATGGTTCCATGTGATGACTGGGCTGAGCTGTTCTTATTCAGAATCTCTCATATAAGTCGGGCGCAGTGGCTCACACCTGTAATCTCAACACTTTGGGAGGCCAAGGCAGGCAGATCACTTGAGGTCAGGAGTTCGCGATCAGCCTGGCCAACATGGTGAAACCCCGTCTCTACTAAAAATACAAAAATTAGCGAGGTGTGGTGGAGCTCACCTGTAATCCCAGCTACTTGGGAGGCTGAGGCAGGAGAATCCCTTGAACCCGGGAGGCGGAGGTTGCAGTGAGCTGAGATTGTGCCACTGCACTCCAGCCTGGGCTACAGAACGAGACTCCATCTCAAAAAACAAAAACAACAGAAAACAAAACACCAAAAACACAACAACAACAAAAAAAACAGAATCTCTCATACAGCCGCAGTTCTGCAGTTGAATATCAGCTGGGCTGTAACCATCTGAGGGTTCTACTGGGATGAATGTCAAGCATGACTTACCTGCATGGCTGGGAGCTGCTTCTGGCTGTCACCTGTGAGCTCAGTTTGGGCTTTCAACCAGAGTGACTACCCATGGCCTTTCTGTAGGGCCTGGGCTTCCTGCACATGGCAGCTGGGTTCTGGGAAGGAGCATCTCAAGGGCAAGCGTTTCCAGAGGTCCAGGCAGAAGCTGCAGGACATCTTATAACTTGGTCTCAGAAGTCCCAGAGCATCATTTTTGCCTTAAGCAAGTCATTGAGGCCAGTCTAGATTCAAGGGAAGGGGAATGAGACCCCATCTCTTATGTGAAGAGCATCCTGTGTGTACAGGGAAGGGAGGAACTGATGGGGCACATATTACATCATTTATATAAACCACCTGCATTTTATGTGCATAATGTAATTTAATGCTCACATCAACTCTGTTGGGTAGAAACTGACTTTGTCTCATTTTATACGTGAGGAAACCAAGTCTTATTGGAGTCAAGGGGCTTGCTCAAAATCAAAGAGCCAATAATTGGCAAAACTAGAATTAGAACTTAGTCTTCTGATTCTAAGTTGATGCTATTTTTTTTCTCCATTGCAGCCCAGCTGTCTCCTCACTGGAGTGGTATAGCCATAAAATATGGGTTTAAGAATAAAGCTGAAAATCTACCCTCCTGAAGGAGAGAATCTCAGATATAATCCATACTTTCCTGATTCCTGGGAGTTTCCCATCTCCTAGTTGTTTATCATATTTCCTGGGTCTCCTCTAGGATAATTTAAGATAAAAGGTGAAGGACGCCTTAGACTAATATAATTTCAAGCCAATTGTCGTGTTGATGGCTGTGGTAGTTTAGATTATTATTCCATAAATATTCACTCCCATCTCCCCTCCACTGGGGCAAGGTATGCTTCCTCACTCCATCAGTGTTGGGCTTGACTGTGTGCCCTAGGGATGTTAGCTGATGTAACATGACCAGACATTTGAAATGTGCTTATGGGGTTGTCCTTCTGCAGTCACCTATGAGAATACCCTGAGCCATCTGGTTCCTAAAAGATGAGAGACACGTGGAGCAGGCTTGGACCCAACCTGAAGCTTAGACCCAAGCCCAGGTGAGCCCAGCTGAAGCTCAGCCTAGGCCAGTGGTTCTCGACTGAAAGTGTTTTTTCCTATCAGGAAACATTTGGCAATGTCTAGAGACATTTTTGATTATCACAACTAGGAGAAGGATGTTATGGGCATCTAGTGGATAGAGGTTACTTCTAAACAATACAGTGAGCAGGACAGCCCCCATCTTAAAGACTTATCTGGCCCCAAATGTCAATAGTGCTGAGGTTCAGAAACCCTGGTCTAAATGAGCTCCTAGTGTAGACACAGGAGCAAAAATAAGTGATTTCTCTTTGAAACCTCTGAGTTTTGTGGGAGGTTTTAAAATGTAGCATGATTGTGGTAGTAAATAGCTACTATAATGGCAAATGTGAGAACCATGTTTTAGGAGGCAAGCTCAGTAAATGGTTCCTTCTGGTGAAACTTCGCAATCTCCCTGCTGGCTCTGGTCCCCAGTCATTCCTTCTGGCACAGGGTGGTCCTGCAGATGAGCTCAGATGTGTACTAGTTCTTAGACACCCTGGGAGAAGAAGGCACCACCTTGGACCCCAAAGATTCCTCCCTCAAGCTTTGTGTCATCCTCTTTCTTGCCTTTTGAAGCCCTTAATGACTCTCTGCCTCCCAAGGCCTGCCCCTTCCCCTCTCTGTCACATTCATTTTGTCTGAAGAATTTTCTCCAGCTGGTTATTAATGCGTGTTTCTCCTGCAGAAAAGCTCAGCCATTTCTCTCATCATTCCAGGCTTGACTCTCCAGCCCTAAGGACCACATACCCTTGATGGTGACTCGTGTTCACCAAGGAACCGAATTCATTCTGTACTTTTCCAGAAAAGATGAAAAAGTGTTCCTTTTGGTCCTTCATAAAATCCCCACATCCCTTAGGATATTTTTACGTAGTCTTGGTTTCCAAACTGAGAAAGGAATCGGGTTCTGACTAATCTCACGAAAGAAATTATAGAAACATTTTTTTCTCTACTGAACATGCCATCCCATTTTATATCAGCTTACCTTTTTCACCCACTTTGAAGAGTTTTTAAGAATTGAGGTTTAACTTTGCATATAGCAGCATGCACAAATTGGAATGGTACAGCTTGATAAATTTTTACATCTGCACACACCTGTGTAACCAGTACCCAGATCAAGGTCTGGGACATGCTATCACCTCAGAAAGCCCCCCATGCACCTTTCCAGACAGTCGCTACCCCCACAAATCTACCCTATTCTGTCTCCTATCACCAAAGATTAATTTTGCCTGTTTTCAAACTTCTTACAGGTGGACTCATACAGTGCATCTTACAAGATATGCACATTGGTGTCGGGGTTCTTTTGGTCAACCTAAAGTTTTGAAATCCATCTATGTTGTTGGGTGTAACAGTTAAAAGATTCTAAATGGCATCTTCCACAGAAAAGAGGAAGGATTTCATAACAATTTCTACCACTGCTATTTCAGGAATCCGTGAATGGGTAAAAGAGAGAATTTAGGCCTCCTAGGGAAGATGGGAACTTGAACATAGGCATCTACATCTTCCCCTCTTCCTCCCCTCACTCCCATGATAATGATAAGTGCTAATAGGAGGATGATCGGCATTGGTTTCAGATGCTAGGATAGCTTCACCTATATGGCAGAGACTTCAAGATGAGATGGGCCTGAAGGTGCCACGGAAGTCAGCTTCCCTCTTTCCATCCTAAGAAGAGGAGAGAGCATTGTGGGACAGGCAGAGGTCCCTACAGCAGAAGTGGCTGGGCCTCCTTCAAGACTGGAAGACTGCCATGATCACAAAAATTCCAAGGAAGGCATCTCCCCAGCGTCCGCAGCCAAAACAAATAAAAATCCACTGAGACAGGGCATCCTCTGAGGCTGATTGTCTGGTCAAGCAAGAATCCTGGCACACTTATTGGCCTCAACAGGTTGACTCTTCTTGAGTCAATTTTGGTGATTTATCCTTTCCTAGAAGAGCATCTACTTCCTCCATATTTTCAGTTTCTAAGCATGGACCCATGTGGTCTCACTATTGTATTTTTAATCAGCTGATGATTGGCTGGAACATGATTTCAGTCATGTAGAATGTGGGTATTGAACTTCCTGAGCCCTTAAATATCTGAGAATATCTTCCCGTTGTTGTGCATAGGGGAATGGCAACTTGGTTGTGTGTGTAGATTTCTGGGGTTGCAGGCTTCCAGAACCCCAAAGCTCAACATCGTCTTTGATGTCTACTGTTAACAGAGGTAAAGTCTGAGGCCAGGCTGACTTTATCCTTTATAAGTAGGCTTTTCCCTGAGTATTTATAGAGTTCTTTTCCTTGAAGTTAGAACTTTGCCAGGATACGTATCTAGGTTTTAGTCTCTTTTTTATGAATTTTTTTCTGATGTGATTTATATTCTTTTGAAACACAGGTTCAGGTTTTTCTTTAATTCAGGAACTTTTCCCTCATATTGAATATTACTTCTATTGTACTTGTTTTGGTATCTTGTTCACAGATATACATTTTCTATGTGTTATATCACATTATCTGTCTTGATTATCACCACTTCCCTCTATCCTTTTCCTCTGAATCCTAAGGAAGTTTCTCAGGCTTCTTATTATCACTGATTTGCTTTTCTGCATTGTTAATTTATCTGTTACTGTATTAAATGCTTTTTTTTTTTTTTTTTGAGACAGGGTCTCACTCTGTCATTCAAGCTTGGGTGCAGTGGAATGATCATAGCTCACTTCAACCTCAAACTCCTGGGCTCAAGCGGTCCTCCCACCTCAGCTTCCCAAGGAGCTGACACTACAGGTATGTGCCACCATGCCCAGCTAATTTTTAAAAATTTTTGTTGGGACAGGGTCTTGCTTGGTTGCTCAAGCTGCTATCAAACTACTGGGCTCAAGTGATCCTCCCATCTTGGCTTCCCAAAGTGCTGGGATTATAGGCGTGAGCCACCACACCCAGCCTCAAATGCATTTTTAAATGGTTTAATTTCTTTCTGGCTTTAAACTACAATCACTTTAATCTCTTTTCTTCTCAACTCGTCTATGTTTTTGTGTCATGGAGTCTGCACTGAAAAAGAAATTTATGAAAAGTAGAAAGCAAATGCTGTTGGAATTTACTCTATTTCCTGCAGTAAATCATTTTCCAAACCACATTTTTCCTCTGCCCATTTTATGACATTGGCATTTTTCACAGGCCTCACATTTCTCCCCTTGTTTATTGCTTTTAATTGATGAGAGTTCTATTTGGGTCTGGCATGTCCTCCCAAGCAGAGGGCAATGGATTCTTCTAGTAGTTTCCCCCAACGTGGGCCTTGAGCTGGGGGTTTTTGCAAGTTGAGGGGTTGAGCATCCTTGGGGACACAGAAGGAGGGTGAGGCCACAGATAATCCCAGCCCTGGCTTGTGACTTCTCCACATTTGACAAGGTCACCATGGCAGGTTTCAAATACCTTCAGCTTCCAGGCCCTGGCTGGCTGGCTGCTTCCTACCATGCCTGCAAGAATTCCTGCTGCCTTGGGAAATTTCCCCTGTCCAGCTGCAACTGCCACGCCCCTGCTGCTCTCTAAACATCTGGAAGGCTCTCCTGCCACCCTGCTCTTGAACTCAGAAAGCATTCCTTTTCAATCTCTGATTTTCTCCCACCTCCAAGCCATCTGGCTTCTGGGGTATCAGGAACAATGCATCAGTTCTTTCTCTCTGTCTGTCTCTCTGTCTCTCTGTCTCTCTCTCTCTCTCTCTCTCTCTCTCTCTCTTTCTCCTCTCCACTTCATACGCTGACTTCATTCTCAGACTCCTTATGTTACCATGATGCTTCAACCCTTATATCCTCACAATTCCAAGTGCAACAGAATTTTCTTTTCTCCCAGCATTCCCAGAAAAAATCTAGCTGTGACTCATTGGCTCTGATTGGGTCACCTGCTCATCTTTGGACCACTCATCACAACTAGCGAGTGGGATGTTCTGCCTGGTTTGGGCATGGCTCATATACTCACTTCTTGAGCAGAGATTTGGATCTGCCCCACTCAAACTCTAAAAAGAAATGTTGGGGTATCATTACTATAAGAAGGATGAATAGTTGGTAGATGGCACAAATAATAGACATACATTACAGAAGAATTCTCCACTTAATTCTGCAAAAGCACTCTGCTTCCTAAGTATGGTAGATTGTGAACTGGCTCAGCAGGGATTCCATGTGAAACTGGGCAGGTTTTGTACTGCACAACCATGCATACCTAAGGGGCCCAAGTTACATCATAGACACTATAGATTTGCATAACTTTTACCATTTTCCAGCAGACGGAAGAAGGGTTTTGAGGAAGGGACACATTTTGCTAATCATGTAAATGTGCCATGTAGACTGGTGACAAGTGACAGTCCTGTCAAGATATCTTTACTCAATATTCATTTCCGTGACCTGCAATTCCTTTCCCTGAGCTGCCAGTCCTGATGCAGTTTCTTCAGATTATTTTTGCATCTTTAAGTCTGTAAGTCCTCAGTCTCCTGTCTTTTCCTAGAAATAGAAATCCTATTGCTATGTAGGATTGTTCTTCTGTCTTGCTCCCATGCTTATCCCCAAAACACATAACCTCCACTAAGAAACCCAACTCTCCCCTCCTTTATCTTTTGGGTTTTGAGCATTTCTGATGGGAAAGAGTTTTGGGAGGTCCCTCCTGGGGTAGCTGGATTTGAATCTGGAGGAGCAGGAGAGGCTGTGTCTGCTTCCATTCAGTAGCTGATGTGTCCATTTGGCCGTGACCTCAGAGGGCCCTGAGGAGCTGTACTTTGCAATCAGGAGTCCAGGCAAGGAATCACCTGGATTTTAATTCTGACTTTTCTCAGCCTTGGGCATGTCACATCACTTCTCTGGGCCTTTCCATGAGAGTGCAGAGCTGAGTCATTTCTGAAGGCTTTTCCACGCTCAGATCTGATGACTGCAGGTGTCATTCAAGGGTAAAAATGAAAACATTTTCAACAGATGCTACGTAATCTCAATGGCAATCCTTAATACAATGTACATATAATATATTCGAGGCACTATCCTAGGTGTTTTGTATGCACCATGCCATTTCATCTTTCCAGCAACCCCACAGATACCTGTTACCATCATGATCGTTTCATAAATGAGAAAAGCGAGGTTCAGAGGGGCTAAATGACACCTCGTTAAAAAAAATCAGTTAGGTTTCAATCCCATGACTTTGTTTATGATTTCCTGGTGCTGAGTATAGTGATGAAAGTAATGTTATTAATTTCCGTAGTTATAATTTTAAACACAAGTCAGTATGAATGCAAATTGTTTCACAAGACGCTTCTTGCATCTTTCCACACGTATGTTACCCAACCACCGTCTTCTTTCTTCAAGCTAGAGGCCTTTTGATTATTTTCTTCTAAGAAAGCACCTCTTTGTGATTTTCACTGTAGCCTCTCGATGAGTATTTGAGATGATTTTAAAGCGTAAACAGTGGAAAACGCGTTAATATCATTTCCTTTCCAGCCTCATTTCAAAATGAAAGGGAAATGTGTTTGGGGAAAAATTCACTTACAAGTTTGGCCAAATGCCTAAACTATGCAAAGAGCCTGACAAATGGAACAAAGTTTAACTTGCTCTAAATAACATCTCCATGCCTCTGATTCTGGGCTGGGGAAAGCTCTTACACTGACCCGTTTGCTAATGATAGCCCGGACATCAATAATGGAATGTGAAAGACAATCTTCTAATCAATTTTTTTTTCCTGCTGGTTTAGATTAAAGCACAGAAAATGCCCAAATGCTCCATCTGCTTCCTCTAAGATTTCTGGTAGGCTGGAGCCCAATTATGGCTGCCTTATCCATTTTTAATAATCTACTTATGATCGCGCAAACACAGGGTGTGATTATACCCACATCGGCTTCTGTTTCAGAGCTTCCATTTCCATCTATAATTAATAAGCCACTCAGTACATTGGAGGGGAGCTGAAGGAGAGATGTGAGAGATTCTTAAGTAGGATAGCTTTTGCGGTGGTTGTTCTTTGATTCACTTTACCAACCTTCACTGATGTCTACAGTGTGCCAGCCGCCGTGCTAGACCCCAAAGGTAAAAGAATAACACACACTTTTGCCCTCTTTAAGAGCTCTTAGGCATTTTAGAAAGAATGAATAAGACCTAGTATTTGCTAGCAAAACAGGGTGACTATAGTCAAAGACAATTAAATTGTACATTAAAAAATAACGAAAATTGTATAATTGGATTTTTGTAACCCAAAGGCTAAGTGCTTGAGGGGATGGATACCCCATTTACCTTGATGTGATTATTATGCATTGCATGTCTGTATCAAAATATCTCATATAACCCATAAATATATACATCTAGTATGTGCCCACAAATTTTTTTTAAAAAATTTTAAAGAAGAGCTCTTGGACTATCAAAAAAGATGTACAAGCATGCATGTTTTGTTTGTGATGTGAGTTGGGCTTTTTTCCAGAAAATTCAGCTGCTAAGACAATCAAGATGTTTTATGTTCCCAAACAATGAAGTATAGGATAATTAGATCACTATATTATTACAAATATAATTCTAAGAGAGCTTATTTTGGAATCCTTTTTTTGTTTGTTTGTTTGTTTGTTTGTTTGAAAGGAAGTGAGCTATTCTCGGGAAGTAGTCATTTTTATAAGGATGTGAGAGTAGAAAAAGACAAACTTGCAGCTAGACAGCCAGGGTTCAAGTCCCAGCTTTGTACTGTGTGACCTCAGACACGTCTCTTGACCTCTCTGAGTCTGTTTCTGTATTGTAAAATGAGGAAAATGGTTCCTTCACTGGGCTTGTCTGAGATAATGTGCATGAATTCAAGGTATGGATTGCAAAGTACTATATCAGTATAATAAAGAAAGCTCAAAGTCTTACTGATCAGAAATATGATAAAAACCACTTTGGGCCAGGTGCAGTGGCTTACACCTATAATCCCTGCACTTTGGGAGGCTGAAGTGGGAGTATCACTTGAAGCCAGGAGTTTGAGACTAGCCTGGACAACAGAGCGAGACCCTGTCTCTACAAAAAATTAAGAAATTAGATGGGCGTGGTGGTGTATGCCTGTAGTCCCAGCTACTTGAGGGGCTGAGGTGGGAGGATCCCTTAAGCCCAGGATTTAGAGGCTGTAGTGAGCTATGATCGTGCCACTGTGCTCCAGCCTGGGTGACAGGGCAAGATCCTGCCTCCAAACAAATAAACAAACGAACACTTTATCCTTATTTTTCTATTTCCCTGCCCAGTTCTCCCAGCCAAATGTTACCCATGCTCTAAGAAGACCAAAACCTTCACCTTAGCGACTAGTATGAAGTATTTTGCAGTACTCAAAGTACAAGTTATTTTTCATATTTGCAAACTGTGCAAACTGCCTCTAATAATTTTTAACACAAAGGGGATACTTTAGGAAAGATATTGGGGCCTCACACGTTTGCAGAAAGCTAGATAACTGAATTTAGTCCATGTTCTGTTGTTATTTGCTGAAAACGTAATTGCATCACTGATTTACTGCTTATACTCATTTTCAGTGTTATAGCTGTCAGATTCCTTACATCTTTTATGAGTCTTGTGTTAACAATCCACTGTGCCCACTCTCCTATCTCAAAGGCTTCCTTCTTGGGCCAAAGGGGTTCTTTCTAGACAGAGTTGCTTTCTTAGCCCATCTTAGAAGAATTCTCTACCTCTGATTTCAAAATTCCCACTGCTAGGCTTGATGGAAAATTCCAGCAATCTATAATCTATGATTTATAGCTGAGTGAAACCTACAAACATTAATCTCCAGCAGTAACCGAGCAGTATTAAGTGAGAGTGCAGGCAACAAATGCCTATTTCTGAGGCATGAGAGTTACTCTGATCTGGTCTGGACCTGGTCCGAGGGGATTTCTGACTTGGGCATGTAGGGGTGATTGGCAGTGGGGTGGATGCAGAATGGGAGGGGTCTGAGCGTGTGCACCCCAGCTCCCTGACATATTCCTCAATCTGAAGTCCAGCCACATTGCTCTTCCTCAAACATGTCAGGTTCACTCTGCCTCAGAGCCTTTGTACTCAGCCCTCTTACTGGAATTCTCTTTCCCCAGAAGGCCACACTCTCCCTAACAGCTCTATTTAAAATGACAATTGCCCTCTTCCCTTGTATTAGTCTGTTATTGTGCTGCTAATGAAGACCTAGCTGAGAGTGGGTAATTTATAAAGGAAAGAGGTTTAATGGACTCACAGTTCCACATGGCTGGGGAGGCCTCACAATCTTGGTGGAAGACAAAGAGCAAAGGGACGTCTTACATGGCGTCCGGCAAGAGAGAGAGCTTGTGTAGGGGAACTCCCCTTTATAAAACCATCAGATCTCGTGAGACTTATTCACTATCACGAGAACAGCATGGGAAAGACTTGCCCTCATGATTTAACTACCTCCCACTGGGTCCCTCCCATGACACATGGGAATTATGGGAGCTACAATTCAAGATTTGGGTGGGGACACAGCTAAAGCATATCACCCCGCATACACATCAGAACTCCCCATCTGACTTCTGCAGTTTATTTATTTATTTATTTTTGAGCAATGATCACTTTTTACTATATCACTTGCTTTTGGGGAAGGAGTCTGTCTCCCACCTCTAGGCAGGAATTGCCATCTATTTTGTTCACTGCTGCAATCCTCAACACTTACACCATTTTAGGCAATTGTTGGCTCCCAATAAATATTTCTGGAAGGAACCAATGAAAGCCATAGTCTTAGATATATAAATTGCCTTTATGTATCACAGTTATGAGTGTATAAAAGTATGAAATATAAAATATCATACATATTTAATAATTTAATACCCTTAATGTATATTTAACATCTTACAATATATGGTAGAATATATAGTATATTTAATATAGTAATAGATAAATATGTATTTAATATAATTATATATAGACAGACAGGGTCTTAGTTTGTCGCCCAGGCTGGAGTGCAGTGGTGTGGTCGTAGCTCAATGCAGCCTCGAATTCCTGGGCTCAAGCAATCTTCCTGCCTCAGCCTCCTGAGTAGCCAGGACTACAGGCAAGCACCCACCACACCTATATAATTTTTAAAAATTTTTTTGTAGATATAGGGCCTCACTATGTTGCCCAGGCTGATCTTGAACTCCTGAGCTTAGGCAATCTTCCTGCCTTGGCCTCCCAAAGCACTGGGATTACAGGCATGAGCCACTATACTCGGCCTATAAATATATTTTATATATCATAGTTGTATATCATAGTTTTGATATATAACGTTCTTTTCTGGCCTCTAGAACCACAGCCCAGTCTGGGGGGTCCATCAGAGACTCTACACTTGTGGGCCCATCTCTCTACTTTTGTCTCTGCTTGTGGCCTGGGGGCAGCTGCCCTGACTGCATCTGAACCAGAGTTGAACCCAGTTGGCTACTGGCATAGACAGAACCTGTACTTGCTGGAGAGGAGTTTCTTGTTTCTGAGAGGCCTGGAGGACTGGGGGCCATACCCTGGAATGGCAGTGGGTAGGTGAAGTGACCAGAAGCTGGAGGAGCCACCATCCCCAGGACCAGCCTTGGCCCTCTCCTCTTCCACAGGCATCTGAGCTGTCATCTGAGTACTAAATGGTACATGGAGACATTGACAGTCAGAGACTTTTAGAGCACAGTGACTAAAAGAAACACAATTTTTAATCCAGAGCTGGGGAGGGAAACTCCTTCTAGAAGTCATGGGTCAAGGGAACTTAAAATAATACAATGCACATCTCTTATTGTGGCCTCCGGCATCTCATGTGATATGGCTGCTGCAATCCTCTGTGGGCCTCCTACTTCCCCCTTGCTCACCACCCTCCAACCACAGTGCCCTCTCTGGCTTTTGAACCTGCTGAGCCGCTTCCCTGCCTCGGGACCTTTGCACTGGTCTCCTAAAGAGCTCTGCTCCCCAGTCTCAGCCTCCTCTCATCATTCAAACCTGAGCCCAGTATATCCCATTGGACAGACCTTTCCTGTCTGAAATAGCTGCCCCATCCTGTTTATGTTTTTCATAAAGAAAAGTAAATGTACTTGTTAAATATTCACTGCTTCTCTGTCCACCCCAACTGTGGTAATGTGAGCTCCATGAGTAGGGGTTTTTCTCTGGTTCATTTACAGCTGTAGCCTTAATGCCAAGTACAGCACCTGGCACTTAACAGGTGCTCTGTAAGCATTTGTTGAATGAATAAATGAAGGAATGCACCAACAGACCAATTAGGCCTTCCTGTTTTAGGATCTAAAGGCAACTGTGTGTGTGTGGGTGTGTGTCTCATTCATGAAGCAGGCTTCTCCTCAGCTTTTTTTTTTTTTTTTTTTGGTAGGGAATCAGAAGCAAAGGTTGCAAACCAGTAGACTGTGGGCTAGTTGGAGCCTGTGGATCTGTTGAAGTGGTTTGATTGGCCTCCCACCATGTTTTAAGGGCAAACTAACCAGGCACCTGTTATACTTGCAATCCCAGCTGTTCAATATAGTCATGTTATACCATTGCTATCTCACACATTTCTGTTACCTGCCCGGCTCCTGCAGCATGTGAGCTTCACCCGCCCTGGACTATTGGATCATTTGGACTCAGAGCATTTGATGTGTGGGTTCTGTAGCTTCTACTGCTGTCCTGTGGATCAGAGTTCATTTTCAGGAACCTGGATGGCAAACCAGCCTTCTCACCTGGGACTCAGCCAGGTTGCCAGTCCGGGACATGTCTATCACATTCCTAGGCTCAAGGGGTATTCAAGGCATGGCTGATGGCTTTCTTCTTTCCAGAGAAGCCAAGCAATTTTGACAGCCAAGAGAGAAGCATGGAGTGGAGGATAAAGATTTGGAACATCTCCTACGGGGATGAAGGGGGCAGCCCTCATGGGCAGGATCTGGGTCTGTTTTGTTCACTGCTTATGTCTTCAACATCCAGCATTGCTTGGAATGCAGTGAATACTAAGGAAACTCTCCCCAGCTTAAGGTTCTTCACTTAATCACATCTGCAAAAACTGCTTTTCTTAATGAGGTCACATTTCCAGGTTCCAGGGGTTAGGACCCGCTGGGGACCATTCCTCAGCCGACTACAGACAGTCTTCCCAGTTGTCCTGGGCCTCCAATGAGGCACTAGTAATTGCAAATAAGCTTCTGTGGGATCATCTGGATTTTCTGGTAGCCTCACTAGTGCCTCCAAATGAACAGAACTCATGACACATGTTTGAGAATGATATACTTCCAGAATCTTGCCCTTTGGGATAGCACATCAGTAGACATCGTTGCCGATTTGTTCCTGCCTTGGGGCCATCACATTGCTCTTACTCTCATGACTGTGCTCATAAAAATGGTCCCCCAGTCACTGCTGTTATTCCACACATGTGGGTGTCCTCTGATTCAATGCCCCTCTTCCTCCAGGATGCCCTCAAAAACCTACCTGGCCAGGGCCCTTCTGAAGGTTCTTTTTTCTCCCTGTCTTTTTTAAAAAATAATTTTAACTTTTATTTTAGATTCAGGAGGTGCACGTACAGGTTTGTTACCTGGGTATATTGTGTGATACTGAGGTTTGGGATACAAATGATTCCGTCACCCAGAGAGTGAGCATAGTACACAACAGTCAGTTTTTCAACCCTTGCCCCCAACCCTGGTTTGTATTAATCCTGTGTCTATTGTTACCATTTGTATGTCCTGGGATGTCCTGGGACCCATCTTCTGGCTGCCCCTAAAATCATCAGCTCCTGTGACAGTGCCTCTGACCCAGCAAGCTGTCTTTGCTCACAAGGCTCACACACAAGAGACTGCCTAGAAGTCCCATCGATGAGGGCCATTCTGGCTCTCTTAGCATAACCCATAGCTCTCCAGGCCGTGCAAGAAGCTCAATGGCAATTACCTGCCACCCTCTCCCTTCATCCTTTGTGGTTCCCAACACTCAGTGCTCCACAGTTCCTTCCCGTGTTGAGTTTGGAAGGTTCTCCGCTCTATCTGAAAGCCCCTATCCTCAAGTTCGAGTGACAGAAAACCTCAAATGTATAGAATGAACATTCTCTTAGTAGAGTGGGAATTGAAGTCTCAAAGTAACATATAAACTTAAAAACCAAAAATTCATGCCTGGCTCCTGCAGCATGTAAACTCACCCACCCTGGACAATTGGATCTTTTGGATTCAGATCCTTTGATCTGTGGTTTGACTGGCAGTCACCCAAACCACCCTGCCCTTTCAGTTGAGGCTGCACCCATATGCTCAGCATATAATTTCTTTTACTTCTGGAGGAGGTGTTATGATGGATGCCTGACCCTCAGTGACTGTCTTAATCAAGGATCCTCTGGCTGCAAAGAGTAGAAACATATTCAAATTAGATAAGGCAGAAAGAGGGTTGATTATCAAGTTCCAAGGATATTTCATGGAACCAAACACAGGAAATATGTCAGGACCTCATGAAGAACTGTACCTGGGAACCAAGATGATAATTATTGGTTTGAACACATGGAAGACATTAACTAGCATCTCTAATTCTCAATTCTAAATTCCCAGGAGAGACTGTTTGATGTAGCTTGAGCCAAGTGTGTGTAGCTGGTCTGGTCCAGATCAAGAGGGCTGGGTTATTCAGTCCAAATGTGGCTGCAGGGGCCCCTCCTGGGGGTGAAGGGGCTGCTCACAGAGAGATGGAGAATGAGCAGAGCCCAGAGTATATCTATCTTAGTGACTGAGTGCATACAAATCACATGTTTACCACTCTCCTAGGAAGAAGGCCCTCAAGACACTGTAATTAACAAATACATCCAAGTGCTGCTGTTTTAAAAAGACAAAATAGTCAGGCTTTGGCTATATAAATCAAGGATCATGCCTGTAATCTCAGCACTTTGGGAAGCTGAGGCAGGAAGATCACTTGAGCCCAGGAGTTTGAGAGCAGCCTAGGCAACATAGGGAGACCCTGTCTCCACAAAAAAAAAAAAAAAAAAAATAGCCGGGCATGGTGGTACACACCTGTAGTCCCAGCTACTCAGGAGGCTGAGGTGGCAGGATCACTTGATCCCAGGAAGTTGAGGCTGCAGTGAGCCATGACCCTGCCACTGCACTCCAGCCTGGGTGACGAGTAAGACCCTATCTCAAAAAAAAAAAAAAAAAAAAAAGAGGAAAAGAAAAAACCCTCATATGCACAATATTAGAAAGATAAAATGCAGATTTTTTGAAAAATTAAATTGCACTTATTAAAAGTTGAAACCTCATTTAAGAAGATAGTTTTCTAGAAAAAAATATTGACTCAAGAAAAACTGAATATTCCAACAACCATTGGAGTATTTGTAAATAATGTCCAAAAAAAAGTCCTGCTAGGCCGGGCGCGGTGGCTCATGCCTGTAATCCCAACACTTTGGGAGGCCGAGGAGGGCAGATCATGAGGTCAGGAGTTCGAGACCAGCCTGACCAACATGGTGAAGCCCCGTCTCTACTAAAAATACACAAAAAATTAGCCGGGCATGGTGGCGCATGCCTGTAATCCCAGCTACTCAGGAGGCTGAGGCAGGAGAATTGCTTGAACCCAGGAGGCGGAGGTTGCAGTGAGCCGAGATCTCACCACTGCACTCCAGCCTGGGTGATAGAGTGAGACTTAGTCTAAAAAATAAAAAAAAAAGTGCTGCTAGACCCAGAGATTTTATATATGAGTTCATCAAGTCTTCAAGGAACCAGGCTATTTATGCTGTTTCAGAAATATAAAAAATATACTTCCTTGTTTATTTTACTACTGAGTAACTGGATTACTCTGACAACAAACTCTGAATACAGATGCATAAAATGTGAATAATATAGGAGGAAATAGGATTCAAGTAAATTAGCAAAGATAAATCTGCATTTAGAGAATTTAGGGAGGCAAGGTGGGGGGAAAATGTGTAGTAGCCAAGTAGGATTCCTTCTAAGGATGCCAAGAATGTCTTGTTATTAGCATGCCTCATAATATAATTAAAGCACTATAGTGGGTCAAAAGAGGGGAAAATGCACAATCAAATGCATTGTTTTTAAATTAGGCATTGATGGAAGTCAATGGTCATTTCTGAAAACAAAATCCTAAATTAGGACTAGAGGATGGTCTTTAATGTAATCAAGAACAATTACCTGACTGGTTCCTTACATTATGTTTAAGGCAGCATTTAAAGCCCAGAACAACATGACTGCACTTATTTAGTATTGTTCTGGAAGGTATAGCCAATGTGACAAGACAAGGAAAAAGAAAAAAATAGACTCAAATCTTGAAGAGAAGTCATTGTTTTGTGATTAGCAGATGATGGTATTGTCTGCCTATAAAACCAAAGAAAACCAACTGACAACCTGCTGGAACTAATAAAAGATTTTGGCAGAGGGGAGAATTCGCGCAAGCACGTGCGCGCGCGCGCACACACACACACACACTAACCAATTTGACAATATGGTGTGCGTGTGTGTGTGTGTGTGTGTGTGTGTGTGTGTGTGTGTTGGGGCAGAGGAAGGGTTAATTGCAACAAAAACCAAAATGTTAAATATTTGAATAAATATGCAGAATGAATTTGTATGAAGGCTGGGCACAGTAGCTCATGCTTATAATCCCAGTACATTGGGAGGCTAAGGCAGGCAGATCACTTGAGCCCAGGAGTTTGAGACCAGCCTGGGCAACATGGCAAGACCCCGTCTCTACAAAGGGCAACATGGCAAGACCCCGTCTCTACAAAATGCAGAAAAATTAGCCAGACAAGGTGGCATGCACCTGTGGTCCCAGCTACTTGGGAGGCTGAGGTGGTAGTATCACTGTGGTGATTGTGGAGGTCAAGGGGATGTTGAGCCAAGATTATGTCACTGCACTCCAGCCTGGGTGACAGTGAGACCTTGTTTCAAAAAAAGAAAGATAAAAAATTTGCATGAAGAAAACTATAAAACTTTACTAGATAATATAAACAAAAGACCTGAGTAAGTACAGGGCCTGGCATATACCTGGATGTTAATTCTCCTCAAATTAATCTATTCATTTTATTCAATTAAATGGAAACCCCTATGAAAAGAACACGTTGACTTTTAAAGTTCATCTAGAGACTGGTGAGAACACTTGGAGAAAATCTGAACATGGAGAGTAGGATTATTATTTTAAAACATAAGTTTATAGTAATTAAAAGTATAGTACTGCTGTGGAAAGATCGGTGGGATAGAAGAGAAAATCCATTTTAAAAATAGAGTTTACTATATGGCAAGGTGGCATTTGAATCAGTGGGAAAGACTTATTTAACAAATAGTGTTGAGACAACTGGCTTGCCATTTGGAAACTAATTCTTCCCTCATATATACCAAAATAAGTCTCAAAATAATTGCAGACTTGCACCTTAAAAATGGAACCACTTTTTAAGTTATGGAATGGTGAAAATTTTCTAAGCATGGCACCAAAGACAGAAAACACCAAGAACAAGACTAAGAAATTGGACTACATAAAAATGTAAAATATGTTTACATTAGAAAATCACAAAGGCAAAGCAGCCAGCAAAATGGGTAATGTGATATGCAACATATAAAGTCGAGGTGTAGATATCCTGAACTTGTAAAGATTTATGACATATAAACAAGAAAGAGATAAACAACCTAACAAGTTGTGCAATGAACATGAACAAGCAACATGCAAAAGCAGAAATTCAAATGGACAATCAGCAAGTGAAAGAAAAAATACTTGACTCAGTAGGCATGAAAAAAATGGAGCAAAATAATGATAGCATTTTTTGCAGTTGAGAAACATGGAAAGGATCCACTTTTAGTGCTATTGTGAGTGTCATTTGGTACAACTGTTCTGGAAGAATATTTGGAAGGATATTTTGCAAAAGCTTTAGACTCAATCACATCCAGGGTATGTTTTTAGAAAACAATTTCAAGGAAATAAAGGGTATATGCCTATTTAACCTGGAGGATGTTTAGTATAGTTTTATTTGACTATTAAAAAATGCAAATAAGTGTCTGATATGGGAGATTGGTATGGAATACTATAAGCTCTTTGAAAAGATTAAGTAAATGGATGTAAACAACTAATACAGAATATTATCCATTGTATATGATCAAGTTTTAAAAGGTTACAGAATGATGCGCTCAATTTGTGTGATTCTGCTTTTTTAAAAAAATATTACACATGCACAAAAATTACACAGACATACAAATAAGAACATTAAAAGTCTGGAAAGATAGGCTGGGCATGGTGGCCCACACCTGTAATCCCAGCACTTTGGGAGGCGGAGGTGGGCAGATCACAAGGTCAAGAGATGGAGACCATCCTGGTGGCCAACATGGTGAAACCCCGTCTCTACTAAAAATACAAAAATTAGCTGGGCGTGGTGGCATGCACCCGTAGTCCCAGCTACCTGGGAGGCTGACACAGGAGAATTGCTTGAACCCGGGAAGCGGAGGTTGCAGTGAGCCAAGATCAGGCCACTGCACTCCAGCCTGGCAACAGAGCAAGACTCCATCAAAAAAAAAAAAAAAAAAAAAAAAAGTCTGGAAGGATCTACAACACACTGTTAATACTGTTTGTCCCTCCATGGTGGGAATGATTATACAAGATCTTCATTTTTTCCTTTACTTATTCGACGTGTTATTTCCATGTATATCAGCTAGAGAATGCAAAGTCAGGAAGTATTCTGAAGCCAACAGCAGTTAAGTTTCAGATCCATTTCTGAGCCTGGGCCCTACCCAGGACTGTTGTTAATTTAAAGATAAATTCATCCATGACCGTGCTCTATCTTACAATTCTGGGCACTGATTTGTTTCCTTTTGGTGTTAATTTTGCTGCTGCAGCTTTCTGAGGTCCCTGAGCTGGGGGCGCCTGTTTAACTACTAGTCCTTTGTGTCTCTTGCCAGATTTATTCAGCAGTTTATCTAGTGCTTTTCCTAATTGAATAAAACCTATAATTTCATTTTTAAAATACATGGACCCATTAGTGTCAGTAATTAGACATTAACTAGTATGAAGATGGCCCATTAATGAAGCAGCAGTTTTAGGAGGCTCCACTGGTAGAGTCTACAGGGGAATCACGTGTAAATGCTGTCCCTTGCTGATTTATGATGGGCCTGTTTGTGATCCTCTGAACAGCAGTGGGACCTACAATGAAATTAGCAATTTCCTAACAGGTACTAAACAAGCAGAACTGCAAATGAGATTTATGTTGTTGTTGGAACAGCCCGGAAGCCTAGTGAAAAGGGGCGCTCTGTAAAACTAGCCCTCAGAGACAGAGCTGATCCTGACTCTCTTCCTGATAGAGACCTCCCTCATCTGGCCTGCTGGACAAATCTTTGAGCAAAAGGTCTTCCAACACCCATGGGAGGCAGCATCGTGTTGTAGTTAAAGGCATGGATTTAGCATTAGATAGCTGTGGGTTCAAATCCAGCTTTGACACTTTCTAGCTCTCTAATCTTGAACAGGTTATTGCTAATTACTTAGCTGGCCCAAGACTCAGTTCCCTGATTTGAGATTATAGAGCAGGCCTCTGTTAAAAACTGTGTTAGTCTGTTTTAATGCTGCTGATAAAGACATTCCCAAGACTGGGTAATTTACAAACGAAAGAGGTTTAATGGACTTACAGTTCCACATGGCTGGGGAGGCCTCACAGTCATGGTGGAAGGCAAGAAGGAGAAATTCGTGTCTTACATGGATGGCAGCAGGCAAAAAGAGAGCTTGTGCAGAGAAACTCCCCCTTTTAAAACCATCAGATCTGTGAGACTCATTTACTAACATGAGAACAGCGCAGGAAAGACCCGCCGCCATAATTCAATCACCTCCCACTGGGTTCTTCCCACCACATGTGGGAATTGTGGGAGTTACAATTCAAGATGAGATTTGGGTGGGGACACAGCCAAACCATATCAAAAACCTAAGTTCTTCCACCTCCTGTTAATGTAGATCAGGGAAGCAAAAGGAGCCCTCTTTCAGCACCTATGGTCTAGCTCAGGTTGAAGGCAAAGCCTCAGAGTTCAATCTTAGTTTGGGTCACAGACTCCTTGAGAAAATTGGATGGAAATAGCTCATGTAGATTGAACACTTACTATGAAGTGTTATGCAAACATAGTCTTAAATTCTCACATTGAATTTAAAATGTAGGTATAATTTATTAATATCTCCAAGCCTACAGGTAAGGAAACTGAGGCTTAGAGAGAGATTTATACCCCCTTCTAGGGTTACAGAAAGTGGCCGATGTGGAATTTGAACTTGGGCCACTTGACTGTGGCACCCTGGGATACGCTGCCCTCCTCTGACTCGCTCATGCATATATCATACACAAAACAGCATTTCATGGTGTTCTGGACCCCCTGAAGCCCACCCAGAAATGCCTAATAACCTGTGGGGGCAGGAATAATTCCAGCATTAAAATGTATCCAGATATGACGACTGCTCACCCACTCTCAGCCAAGCCACCATCATCTCTTTCGTGGATGACTGGGTGCAGCTTCTAATTGATTAGTGCTCTGCCCTTTCCTCTCTTCTGTCTGTCCCCAGCAGAGCAGCCCACAGGTCTGCTAAAGCATAAGTCGAATCACGTCGCTCCTCTGCTTCTCATCTCATTCAGAGTAAACGTTGAAGTCCTTATACAGCCTCCAAGGTCCTACACCCAATGCCTGTTCCTGTTTGTCTCTCTGATCTCCTCCCCTGCTACTCTCTTTTGCCTGTTCTGTTCCAGCAACACTGGCTTCCTCCCTGTCCCCCGGAAACACCAGGTGCATTCTCACCTTGGGGACTGTGCATTGTGTTTCTCTCACCCGAAATATTTGCTCCTCTGAGAGCCTCATGCCCAGCTCCTTCACCCCTTGTAAGTCTTTACTCAAACTCCCCTTCTGAGGGAAGTTTTCCCCAGCCACCCTTTGCACAGTCTTAACCTCCCTGGCCCTCCATCACTCCCTTGCTTTATTTTTGCTGCTTAGGACTTATAACCACCTAATGTGGTTTAACTGTTAGATATAGATGATCCGTAACTTACAATGGTTCAACTTAAGATTTTTCGACTTTATGATGGTGGAAAAGCAATAAGCCTTCAGTAGAAACCATACTTCAACTAGTCATGCAGGCACCCTGTTTTTCACTTTCAGTATAGTATTCAATAAGTCACATGAGCTATTCAACACTTTTCTTATAAAATAGGCTTTGTGGGCCGGGCGCAGTGGCTCATGCCTGTAATCCCAGCACTTTGGGAGACCCAGGCAGGTGGATCACGAGATCAGGAGATGGAGACCATTCTGGCCAACATGGTGAAACCCCGTCTCTACTAAAAATACAAAAATTAGCTGGGCGTGATGGTGCACGCCTGCAGTCCCAGCTACTTGGGAAGCTGAGGCAGAAGAATTGCTTGAACCCGGGAGGTGGAGATTGCAGTGAGCCAAGATTGCACCACTGTATTCTAGCCTGGCGACAGAGCGACACTCTGTTTCAAAAAAAAAAAAAAGAGGGGTGGGGAGACTTTATGTTAGATGATTTTGCCAAACCATAAGGTGATGTAAGTGTTCTGAGCATATTTAAGGTCAGCTTGGCTAAGCTACAATGTTTACTAGGTTAGGTGCATTAAACACATTTTTAACTTAAGATATTTTCAACTTGTGGTGGATTTAGCAGGATGTAACCTCATTTTAAGTTGACAATCATCTATACTTTGTTATGCACCTTACTGTCTGTATCCCCACAAAAACACAATCTCCATAGGTCAGAGATTGTGTTTCTTCTGTTCAGTCTATCTCTAGGCTCGGGAACAGTACCTAGCACATAGTAGATGCTCAATAAATATTTGATGAATGAATAAACCTGGCCCAATGCCCTTCTATCCACAGGGGCCTGTGATTTGACAGGCAAAGTCTCAGGGAAGCCAGAAAGACTCCTACATTGAGGGCAGCTGCTAGCAGTAACACCTTTTGGGTTAGAAACCTGTGTGACTCCGACGCCAATATTGGTAGGGAAAGGATTCATTTCCAGGGCCAGGGTGGGCTCACCTGGGAGGTGCAAACAGACTTGGAATAGCCCTGCAGGGAAGTGACCAGGCGTACATACATTTCTTTTGGTACCAGTGTAACGATTACAGATGGTGCCAGTGCTTCTCCAGACAGTCTGTTTATTGTTGATGGAAATGAGATCTGTATACTTTAGATACCCAACGAGCCAATAGTACAGCAGACACTTCGAGATGAAAATTTCAGAACTTGGCTTATAAATCTGCTCTCTACACAGAAGTGGGACAATCTTGTGATTTGTCAGCTGAGCATTAGGATTTCAAATGGCAGCCCTAGAGATAAACCCAAGTAAAAGACTATTTAATAATCTGCCTTTCTCTTCTCATATCAACCCTAAGGATGATTATTCCAGACTTATTTTCAAGGAGATAAGTTCCCTCCTTCAATGCATTCTGATTTTTATTGTCATTTACCCAGAGCTTTATCTCCTATACCAAATATAGCAAATGCTGCTCTTGGATAATATTTGATCCAGAGAAGTTTTGTCGGGCTCATAGGGTATTTTGAGAAAAAATTCTTTTATTGGGTGCTGATTTAAAAATCAAAACATACCAAAAATTTATAGTTCTATCTAGAAAAATGAGGAAATTGGGCAACACTGGACCTGTATTCCTGCTTGTTAATGATCAGCTGGAAAGAAGTGGTTTCTTCTTTAGATGGGGCACACCCTCTAGGGTTCCCCACCAGCCCCACCCAGCCCACTGCACTCATCTGTTACCTGCCTGGCCCACGTAAGTACCTCAACCAGCAACTCTGACGTGGACCGCTGGGTGATGGACTGCCTCATTGAGGATGGGGAGAGAGCAGTCCTGGACCTGAGAATACAAGATTCTCCCTAACATCATCCCAGAGAACCCAAAACCTGGACTTATTTGGCAATCAGCTTCCCCACCTAGAGCCCTCATGTTGGTTTATAAGAGTCACATTGTATAAAAGCTATTTATATAATGACTTCCAGACTTTCAACCACCAGTACTGAGATCTCTGGCTGAAAGTGTAGGCTCTGGAGCCACAAAGCCCTGTGTCAAATCATGGCTCAACCTCTCACCAGACATGTGACCATGAACAAGTTTCTTAACCTTTCAATGCCTCAGTTTCCTTATATGTAAAGTGATGATAACAATATTTACTACTGTATTGGGCTAGAGTTGAGGATTAAATTATTCACATAAAGCATCTAGAAAAGTATCTGGCATGTAAGTAGTGGTCAAAAAGTGTCTGCTGGAAGAGGAATCCTGGGGTGTCAGCAAAACAGTCTAACTTCGGAGCTAGCAGAGTGGAATTCAAAGCCTGGCTCCATCACTCCAAGGGAAAACCAGCACCACTTCTCTGAGCCTCACCTTCAGTATGCGTAGAAGCAGAATCTATTTCACAGGTTATTAAATGGGAGTGGTGGGAGCAAAGGAAACCAAGAATTCTTTAAACACCAAGCTCAAAGGCTGGAACATGGCAGACATTTAAATGCTCACTAAATCTTATCTCACGTTAATGACAAGTTTCTTGGACCATTTTCTCAACTTCTAAACCTGTCGGGTAACAGATAAACTAGATTAGAAGAGTGAGAGCAATGGGAGATGGTTTTGTGGTTTCAGTGCAGGAATTTTTGAATATATAGTCACTGTCTTTGTTAAACTTTACAAATGACCATTCTGGGATGTTGTGGGCAGATATCCTAGTCTACCAGGATTAAGCCTAGTCTATCCTGGTAACCTCTGACAGAACAAAATCCATGTGTTTCAGTTTGCTTTTGTTGGGTAACAAACCACCCCAAAACTTAGTGGCTTAACACAACAGCCACTTACGGAGTCCAGCAACTCTACCGACTGGCAGTTTGGCTTGAGTTCACCTGGGCAGTTCTAGACTGAGCCTGGTCTAGCTGGGGTTGGCTGGATTCACTCACACATCTGGGATCAACTAGTGGGTCGACTGCGGCTGACTGATGGATGGCAGCTTGGTCCAGAGTGCTTGAGATGATGGAGGCCCCATCTCTGAGTGATCTCCCATTCTTCAGCAGGCTTGCCTGGGCTTACTCAATGGAGATCACAGGGTTCCGGGAATAGCAGGAGGGCAAGCGTCAGTGCACAAAAGCTTTTCAAGTGTCTGCATGTGCCATGTTTGCGACTATCCTGTTGGCCAAAGCAAGTCTGGAGCCAAGTTTTGAGTCAACCTGGGAGGGCACTACCAGAGGGGTTAATACAGGAAGGGGACTTCATGTAGCCATTTTTGCAAACAGCAGGCCCCTTCAGGACCATAAGCCAAGCTAGAAAACTGTTCCTTCAACTTCTAGTTGTCAACTGAGCGTTAGGATTTCAAATGGCAGCCCTAGAGATAAACTCAAGTAAAAGACTATTTAATAATCTACCTTTTGCTTCTCATATCAACCCTAAAGATGATTATTCCAGACTTATTTTACAGGAGATAAGTTCAGAAGGTGAGATTTCCTCCTCCACGTCCCATCTGCAAGTTCTCAGATTTGTGTGGAATTTCTTCACTGGCAATTGCACTAACCAGGCTTCCAGCAAAGCCTAGACACCGCTGTCCTCAAGCCTGGTTTCCCAGCGATCACGTCTGAGTCTCCCAATCCATGCTTCCATGTGTGTCCTGGCTTGACCATAGGCAGTGAGCCCATATGGCTGTGAGTCTGTCTCCTGGGTGCCAAACTCTGCCAGGCCATATGCTGTCTGGAACGAGGCATTATTCACTGTAAGTGTCACTGCTGAGAGCTGGCAGAGGCACCTGCTGGGGCTGGAACCTGTTACAGTCAAGACAGTACTGGGACCTGGCATACCTCCAGGCCCCAGGAAGCCAAACCACTTGACCCAATGACAAATCTCCTGGTTCTCCTCAGATTTCTGGATCCTACATTCCTAGACCATTAACCTTAAAGGGCTGCATCGCCCTGTGAGGCTCTCCCAGAGCTGAGTTGATAAAGTGGTCAGGACTCCTCTGCAGCTGAGAGTGTTTGGAGCCTGAGGGTCAATCCCAAATCACATACAGGGAAGGGCACAGGGGCCAAGGCTGCACGAATGTGTCCTAATGGGACAATCCTAATAGTGGCCAGCATTGACAGAACACTCACCTATACAGTCACGTATCATTTATTCATGGAGACGTGTGCTGTAAAATCCATTGCTAGGCAATTTCAGTGATATTGTTGATCCTGGCCCTGTGGAGGCCTAGGGTAATGTGTGTGTTTGTGTCTTAATTTTTAACAAAAGTGTTCAAAAAGTAAAAAATAAAATTAAAAAAATTAAAAATAGAAAAATGGTTATAAAGATATAAAGAAAGTATTTTGTACAGCTGTACAAAGATATTGAGCTAAGCGTTATGATGAAAAAGCCAAAATGTTAAAAATAAATTTAAAGGTTTATAAAGTAAAAATGTTATAGTGAGCTCAGATTCACTCACACACTTGTTATTGAAGACAGAAAAATACTTTTAATAAATTTATTTATTTATTTATTTATTTATTTAGAGATAGAGTCTCGCTCTGTCGCCCAGGCTGGAGTGCAGTGGCATGATCTCAGCTCACTGCAACTTCCACCTCCCGGGTTCAAGTGATTCTCCTGCCTCAGTCTCCCAAGTAGCTGGGATTACAGGTGCCCGCCACCACACCTAGCTAATTTTTTTGTATTTCTAGTAGAGACTGGATTTCACTGTGTTAGCCAGGATGGTCTCGATCTCCTGACCTCATGATCTGCCTGCTCGGCCTCCCAAAATACTGGGATTACAGGCATGAGCCACCGCAGTGTGGCCTAAGTGTACAGCATTTATAAAACCTGCAGTTGTGTACAGGAATGTCCTAGGCCCTCACATTTATTCACCACTTACTGGTTCTCCCAGAGCAACTTCCAGTCCTGCAAGCTCCATTCATAGTAAGTGCCCTTATAGGTATACCATTTTTAACCTTTTATACCATACATTTACTGTTCTTTTCCTGTATTTAGATACACAAATGGTTCCCAATGTGTTACAGTTGCCTACAGTATTCAGGACAGCAACATGCTGTCTAGGTTTGTAGCCTAGGCACAAGACTATACCATATAATATGGGTGTGTAGTAGGCTCTAACATCTAGGTTTGTGTAAGTACATTCTGTGACGTTCACACAACAAAGTTGCCTATTGTCACATTTCTCAGAACATATCTCTGTCTTGGAGTGACACATGTCTGTACATAATATTGCATTCCTTTCTTCCCTCCCAAGTTCAAAACCAGTCGAGTCAAGAGTCAGAGTCAATGGCCATCAAAATGTCAGCTATAGCAAACTATGCATCCGACAAAGGACTAGTAACCAGAATCTATAAGGAAATCAAATAATCAGCAAGAATAAAACAAATAATCTCATCAAAAAGTGGGCTAAGGACATGCACAGACAATTCTCGAAAAAAAAGATATACAAATGGCCAAGAAATATATGAAAAAATTCTCATCATCACTAATGATCAAGGAAATGCAAATCAAAACTACAATACAATACCACATTACTTCTGCAAGAATAGCCATCATTTTTTAAAAAAATAAAACATAATAGATATTGGCATGCATATTTTTAAAAAAATTAAAACATAATAGATGTTGGCATGGATATGGTGAAAAGGGAGCACTTTTATGCTGCCAGTGTCAACGACACCACTATGGAAAACCGTGTGGAGATTCCTTAAAGAACTAGATCTACCATTTGACCCAGCAATCCCACTCCTGGGTATCTACCCAGAGAAAAAGAAGTCATCATATGAAAAAGACATTTGCACATGCATGTTGATAGCAGCACAATTTGCAATTGAAAAAATATGGATCCAGCCCAAATGCCCATCAATCAATGAGTGCATAAAGAAAACGTGGTATATATATGCCATGGAATACTACTCAGCCATAAAAAGGAACAAAACAGTGGCAGTTGCAGCAACCTAGATGGAGTCGAAGGCCATTATTCTAAATGAAGTAACTCAGGAATGGAAAACTAAACATCGTATATTCTCACTTATAAGTGGGAGCTAAGCTACGAGGACACAATGGCTAAGAATGATACAATGGACTTTGGGAACTTGGGGGGAAGGATGGAAAGGGGATGAGAGATAAAAGACTACACATTGGGTACAGTGTACACTGCTTGGGTGACAGGTGCACCAAAATCTCAGAAATCACCACTAAAGTACTTATCCATGCAACCAAACACCAGCCGTTCCCCAAAAGCTTATTGAAATACAAAAAAAATGTCAGCTATATCACTGGTGAATGTGGCTGGGAGATATGACTTAAGTTCTGAAGTCACAAGAGCCTGCTGGGTTAGACTCACCCACCTGGTCACCTGAATGGCTGGGTGACTGCAGGCATTCCCCAAAGAGCCTTCTGTCTGCATGGATGGCACAGAGGAGCAGGAATACCTTTGTTTGAGGCTGGCTAGTCCTAGCAGGATTGACGGGGAGGATTGCTGACCGTGGCGTGCTCAGCGACTTCTCCTAAATTTGCCAACTAGTTGACTCAACATGAGCAGACTGGTTATAAGTGGGCCGGGAAATGGAGCTTCCTTCTAACACACTAGGTTGGCCTGGCGACTTACTGCAGAGTGGAGGATGCATGTCTTTCTTTATTGGCTCATGAGATTCTCACTTGGACAGAGGAGAGGATCTGAAAATCCAAGAGAGTTGTAGGACCATGACTTATGCTGAGAAGGGTGCAGGTTTGTATCAGCTTGGATTTCATCCCTGACCTACCCCTAACTCCAAAGTAGTAGGCAAGCAAATCATCCTACAGGATGTATGTAAGATGGTGTTTCACTCAACATTTATTAGCACCTGATATGAGCCAGGCACTGTGCTAGGCATGGAAGTAATGAAGAGGAAGAAGGCAGTGTTTACCCTCAAGGTGTTGCTTGTCTGACCAAGTAAGACAGTGCCGTGTAATGAGTGCAACAATACGGGTATTACAAGGTATTCAGGAGGCAGAGAGAAGCAAAGGATGAATTCTTTCTTGCATAGAGGGGGATAATGAGGGCTTCTTGGAGGAAGTGATGCTGGTGCTGATACCTGAAGGACAAGCAGGAGCCCACCCACAAGACAATGCTGGGAAGCACGTTCTGGACCAAGATGTGTAAAACTGTGTTAAGTGCTGGGAGAAACCTTAAATATTCCTGTATTATCAGAGTCCAGGCTGTGCAAAGGAGAGTGTCTAAGATAACAACTAGTACCAGATCTGGAAAGGTCCAAGTGCACTGCTCAAATATATTTAGAATTTATTGTGTACATTATGATGTCTTAAACTTCTGTCATTCATGTAGCCCCTTAGTGATTTTCTTCATATCAGCTACCTGAGTTTTTTGCTTCATTTTTTTTAGAAGTTCAACTTTTTAACAGTGCAGGAAATAGAAAACATGGATCCTTTGTTAAAGAAATAAGAACAACAAAACCCAAATGATGTTACTCAATTCTGATTAGACACTGTTGCCCGCTGAAGGCTCAGAGCCTGAGACCTGCCCTGTCTTTGTTAAGAAGGGAGATTAGTACATGTTCGAGTCACACTAACACTAAACTGAGACTTTGTCCTTGACTAAGGGAGGAGTTGAAAGGGATTAACCAGCTGGGTCTGTGATGCAGGGTTAGTTGGGCTCACTGACCACCCAAAAGCATCCTCCCTGTAAGCCAGGTGGAAACACTGAAGGATATGAAGCGGGGGCCTAACAGGGTCAAAAAAAAAGAAATAAATACATTATGGAGCATTTTAGAAGGTGGTAAGTGATGCAGAGAAAAACAACAAGAATTGAGGGTAAGGGGTACCGAGGGAAGGGTGTTCCAATTTTAGACAGGTGGTCAGGGAAGTGCCCCCGAGAGAGCAACATTTGAGTGCAGGCCTGAAGAAGGTGAGGGAGAAGCCGTGTGGATATCTGAGGGAAGCACTTCCATGCAGGGTGGATGGCAGGTGCCAAGGCCCTGGGGTAGGCGGGTGCCTGGATGTTCAATTGCAAAATAATCACTGAGGCTGGAGTGGAGTAAGGGAGGGCGAGATGGCTGGAGATGAAGTCAGAGAAGTTAGGGGAACAGGGCAGAGGGTCTCCTGGCGTTTGCCGAAAGCCCTGTCTACATATTCCTGCAACCATCTTAGAGGGAGAAAAGTTAAAAGGTCAGCTGGCCGCTTCATGCTCTGTTTTCATGAGCTGAGCACCCATCTCCATAAATCAGTGCCAGGGCCATCTGTGCAGACTGCCTGGGCTCTGGCTGCAAACTCAGCAACAGTGCTATGTCGTCAATGTCGTCACCAACCCAGCATCTCTGTCTACACAACCCCAAACTCAGGCTCTGTTTTCTGAGCAAATAACCAGTCTCACTGATTATTTCTTTGGATTCCAACAGAATCCACCAGGTGTTTCAGTGTCTTGTAGATGGCTTCCAGAGCTTTCTAACAGCTAAGGCCCCGCAGGCAGGACTGCTGGTATCACGAGCCCTCCTGCCTTCGGAACTGTTACTGGGCTCTCCAGGGGAAGGTAACTGAGCTCCTCTGAGGACTGTGTTCTTGCCAGGTGTTCTGCACCATGCCCTTGGAAGGATAAAGGCAGAGGGTGGATGGGGTGGGGGTGATGAGCACACTCTGCTGGGGGGCATCCCAGTTGGAAATCCACCTCAGGGATCGGACACTGAGTGCACGTGACCCGAGTGAGCTGGCCCCACTTTACATGAGATTAGCTGTGTCTGAGGTGTGGCAAGGGAAGGAAAGGAGCTCGGAGCTAATGAGCTGAGTTCCTGGCAGCATTAATGCGGCTGCACACCCAGCAGGCATTGCCATCCATCAGTCTGTCAGCCTCTCTGGGGGCCGCTGGAGTGTAAATTAATCTGGAGGTACCAACTCCACTGCTGAATTCTTCCTCCAATATGTTTGTGTCTGAAATTGTTCCCTGGGCCCCCAGAGAAGATAAGGCAGTCACTTCTGCCTTCTGCCATCAAAGCATGGGGATTTTTCATGACCATGAACCCCAGACTGGACACAGGGGCTTGGGAGGGAAACTGTGATTTCCAACTATAGACTGGGCTAGTCATGGTGAGAAAGAACAAGAAGCCTCTGAAAATGCACAAATCTCCATAAAGCACAGAGCTCAGCCTCTGGGACTATTGAAGAACATTCTGCTAACTTAGGTATTGGAGAGTAATCAAACCACATGAGGAAAGACTCATAGCTGCTAACTCTCCTATCTTGATTTGTCTTCTTTCCAATAAAAGTGTGGGGGCCGGGAGTAGCTCATTCCTGTAATCCCAACACTTTGGGAGGCCAAGGTGGGAAGATCACTTGAGTCCAGTAGTTTAAGATGAGCACGGGCAACATAGCAAGACCCTATCTCTAAAAAACATTAAAAAATTAGCTGGGTGTGGTGGCACACCTGTAGTCCCAGCTACATGGGAGGCTGAAATGGGAGGATCGCTTCAACCTGGGAGGTTGAGGCTGCAGTGAGCCATGATCATGCCACTGTACTCCAGCCTGGGTGACAGAGTGAGACCTTGTCTCTAAAAATGAAATAAAGTTAAATTAAAATTAAAAACTGGGGGAAAAAAACCTTCAGTAACAAAGTATAGACAACCAATGTGTACTCTGTCACCCAGATATATACATCTGTTGTCTATATTTTCTGTTTTACCTATTCGATCCCCTATTTGGCTGGTACCACTTTGATTTTTCTCTAGGAAGCCTTTTGTGCCATGTGGCCCAGGCTGAGGAGTGTACAGCACTGCCCTCCCCCCATGGAGATGGGCTCATGACCTGAGCTGACCACTCAGGGAACTCCATGCCTCCTGCCTGCTGGGATTTCTTCAGGAATGGCATGTGACTCAAAATGGGTGAATCCAAACCTCCCTAAGATACGGTCTATGGACTCTGGTAGAAATAAGTGTCTTTTCCTCTGGGATCAAGCTGTGAGGATTATGTAACCCAGGTGCCAATAGACACCTTTGCCAGTCACCTGAAGGGAGAAATCTGCAAAATGAAATCAACATACAGAGAACAGCAGAGTCGAGTGATGGATACAGAGAGCCCCAGGAACGCTGTTAGATCTGGATGGGCTTGAGACTAGATGCATCGCTGGACTTTCAAAGTATGTGTGGCAATACATTCCCTTGTTGTTTGAGAGAGTTTAAACTGAGTTTCCATCACTTGCAACCAAAGGACAGATCTCCATTCAAATTCTAGCTCTGCCAATTACTAGCTCTATGATTCTGGGAAAGAACTTCCCTCGTCTAAAGTCACTTCCCTCGTCTGAAAAGTAGAAATAATCACAGCACATGTCTTGTAGGGCTGCTGACAGAGTTAAAAGGAACACCTAGGGATGCCCCTGACCACTTCTTGACTTCAGCAGGTGATTTGTGAAATGCTGTTTCCCTTCCTCCTCCACTGCTGAGCGTTGAGAGGACACTCTGCCTGCTGCTGTGTGGAGCAGACATTTGCGCTGTCAGGAGGAGACAGGGCTGAGTCCACATGGTCACCTCAGGCTCCAAGGGCTCTCCTGGGTCCTGCTTCTTGCTCGGTCTCTACCCCTTCTCCTGTTTCCTCATCTCCTCTCAGTCTCCAGAGGGCTCCATGCTCTAAAGAGGGTCCCAAAATCCACATTAAGCCATATTGGAATGGAAAGAGCCAAAAGAAGCCAGTTGAGAGAAAGTAGAGCTTGCAGGAAGCTGACAGGAATGGGAACAAAGAGGTCAACATAAGGGAAGATGACTCTCACGACAGAATCCTAACTTCTCAGCAAGGTGAGGGCAGGAGGGTACTTGGGGGCCTTGGAAAGCTGGAGAAGACTCTTCACAGCATCTAAGAGACTTATGACAAAGGCTCGTAGGTTACTTTAATTCTGGGCAAGTTTCACAAGGACAAGAACTGTGGGTCCTTTGCTCACTTCTCTTCTCCCAGCATTTTCTCAGGTGCCTGGAATCGAACAGGTCCTTTGTAAACATCAGCAAAAGAAAGAAGAATAGGCCAGTGGCTGAGGCATGCAGGCTTCAGATTTGCAGACAGTAGCCTGAAGCATCAGGAGACACAGTTTATTTGGCTCTTATCATGTTTGTTTGTTTGTTTGTAGCTGTTGATGTTGTTTAAAAATAATTTGCCAAAATTTTATAACTGAGAAATTTTGCATGAAATCTTTATTTCTTACATCACATTTTAAAAATGATACACAAGGTCAGGTGTGGTGGCTCACACCTGTAATCCCAGCACTTGGGGAGGCCGAGGTGGGAGGATCCATTGAGCCCAGGAATTTGAGAGCAGTCTGAACAACATGGTGAGACCTCATCTCTACAGAAAATGTTTAAAAATTGGCCAGGCATGGCGGTGCACACCTGTGGTCCCAGCTACTAGGGAGGCTAAGTTGGGAGGGTCAATTGAGCCTGGGATGTTGAGGCTACAGTGAACTGTGATTAGACTACTGCACTCCAGTCTGGGCAACACAGCAAGACCCCATCTCAAAAAATTAAAAAATGATATACATAGGGTTTCCAAGAGAACCTTGGAGATCAGTGAGGGAGTGAACTTAGCTGCATTAAGATTCCCAGATCACTGGGTGCAGTGGCTCATGCCTGTAATCCCAGCAATTTGGGAGGCTGAGACAGGCAGATCACTTGAGGTCAGGAGTTTGACACCAGCCTGGCCAGCATGACGAAACCCTGTCTCCACTAAAAATAAAAAAATTAGCCGGGCATGGTGGCATGCGCCTATAGTCCCAGCTACTCAGGAGGCTGAGCCAGACTTGCTTGAACCCAGGAGGCAGAGGTTGCAGTGAGCCAAGATTGTGCCACTGCACTCCAGACTGGGTGACAGAGTGAGACTCCATCTTAAACAAACAAACAAAAAAGAGGCTGGGCAGGGTGGCTCATGCCTGTAATCCAAGCACTTTGGGAAGCTGAGGCAGGTGGATCACGAGGTCAAGAGATTGAGACCATCCTGGCCAACATGTTGAAACTCCGTCTCAACTAAAAACACAAAAGTTAGCCAGGCGTGGTGGTGCATGCCTATAGTCCCAGCTACTTGAGAGGCTGAGGCAGGAAAATCGCTTGAACCCAGGAGGCAGAGGTTGCAGTGAGCTGACATTGTGCCACTGCACTCTGGCCTGGCAACAGAGTGAGACTCCATCTCAGAAAAAAAAAAAAAAAAGATTCCCAGACCATAGCAACATTCCTGCTATCTGTATACTCCATTTGGGGAAAATTCAGATCACTTTATAGTGCTTGCAGAATATTATAAAGTGCCAGCAGATGCCAATTCCCAAGCACATGAGCCATTCTTGCCTCTGAGAACCACAAGATGAAAGAAAATGATTGTAAAGAAGCTCAGGAAGTGTCCCACCAGCCCAGCTGTATCAGACAACTATTGTCCATAACATCAGCCCTGCAACTCAGTCTGAGGGTTTAAACCCTTTCAGAGACAGCCAGAAAAAATTGGAGAGGCCAGAATGGCAAGGAAACTAAAAAACAGGTCCAATGAGAAACAGTTGGATGAATAGGAGATATTTTTCTGGGACAAAAGAGTTATCTAAGATAGAAGTATTTGAAAAGCTGTTATGTGGAAGAGAAATTGGGTCTGTGCTATGTAGGGTGGGTAGGAAGTCCAGGCATCCACAATTAGCACAATCCAAAAAATAAAGTGAGCTCTTTTAGAAAGTCACTCTAGTGGCTATAATAACTATGTAACTGGTTTTTGTTTTTTGTGGTTTTTTGGATTGAAGGCAAAATATTACACGATGGCTAAACTGTACACTTCCCTTCGGTTGAGGTTTGAAGTCAACAATTAATGCTTCTCTTCACTTTCTGGTTCTAAACTAAGTTAAAAAAATAGGTGCAGATGGAAATTAAAATATAATTTAACTTGTATTCCTCATCAAGCTAGATTGAAGAATGAATCTGGAACCCAAGGCCAAAATTAGGCATTCCATAGCTACTCATCACCTCTTAAACTTGACTTTGGGATCTGCCTGAAGGAAAAGTTGGGGAACCCACCCAGCCAGCCACAGAGGAGATCTAGACTTCCCTCACCCTCTCTGGGGCCTCACAGAGAACAATCATAAATGTGGCTTCCAGACCCACCTCTAGAAATCAAAACAACTCGGTCCTGCCCCACTGAGGATAAAGGCTCTATCATTTTTCTGCAATGGGCAAGTCACAGAGACAGAGGAAAAGGGAAAGACCCAGGGTCAAGAAAGGCATTGAGCTATGCTTGACCCAGATTCCACTGGAATTCACTTGTAAATATGAATTTTGACATCTGATACCTACAGGGTGCTTGTTATGTGTCAGGGACCATTCTTGGGGCTTCACATGATATCATGCATCTCATTTTATCTCATTGAATCCTTGTGACAACCCTATGAATTATTACTGCTACTGTCTCTGTTTTATAGATAGGAACCCAAGGAATAGACAGGTTAAATAATTTGTGTAAGAACACACTAGTTAGAGGTTGGGCTGACTTTTAAACCCAGGTTCTTCTGACTCCAAATTGAGCTCCTGCCGAGGTAGAAGGAAAAGCAGAAGCTTCATTTACAATAGTTTACGGAGAGGATGCGGGTGTTTGCGGGACTCTCCGTAACTTCTCATCACAGGATTCTATCCATAATAGAAGGAGCTTCACATTCTGTCTTCTTCTTCCTGAGCCCTGGGACTGGTCCTGTAGCTTCTGGGTTCAAACCTTTGCTTTGCCACCTTTGAACTGGATGGCCTTGGGTAACTTCCCTAATTTCAGTTTTCCCATCAGCAAAATAGAGAAAAAAATATATATATATATATATTATATATATATATATATGTCTACTCTCAGTTTTATCCCTTGTAGAAAGTTAGTCAGGCTCTGATCCCACCTAGACATCTATCTTGACCATCACTCCTTTTGACCTGTAGCGTTTCAGCCCTGAACCACTGCATTTTTCACTCTTTTTTCTTTCTCTCTCCCTCTCTGTCTTTTTTTTTTTTTAAACAGAGTCTCACTCTGTCACCCAGGCTGGAGTGCACTGGCATGATCTCAGCTCACTGCAACCTCCACCTCCCCAATTCAAGCGATTCTCATGCCTCTGCCTCCCGAGTAGCTAGGGTCACAGACACGTGCCACCACGCCCAGCTAATTTTTTTATTTTTAGTAGAGATAGGGTTTCGCCATGTTAGCCAGGCTGGTCTTGAACTCCTGACCTCAAGTGACCCACCCACCTTGGCCTCCCAAAGTGCTGGGATTACAGGCATAAGCCATCGCTCCCAGCCAACATTTTTCACTCTTATGTGACATATTGCCACCCCTCCCCCATCCCCCGTTTTCCCTCTTTAAGGATCTGTGAGAGGTGGCTTAGAAGAAAAAGTCTTGCCCCAACTTTGTTTCTGTAAGCCTCCAATATAGAAAAATCTTTCAGATGTCAATGCAATCCATAGTCCCTAGAGATAAAATTGAGAGGAGGGGAAAAAAAAACAGGAAGAACAGAATTTTGAACTTGGGGCTATTGCTCTTAAATCTCACTCTCTGCTAGAGGACCTCACTCTATGTCATTGTGGATCCCATTTAGTCCTCATTTTTCTTTTCTTTTCTTTGTTTTTTTTTTTGAGACAGAATCTCACTCTGCTGCCCAGGCTGGGGTGCAGTGGTGGGATCTCGGCTCACGGCAACCTCCGCCTCCTGGGTTCAAGTGATTCTCCTGCCTCAGCCTCCCGAGTAGCTGGGATTACAGGCGTGCGCCACCACGCCCGGGTAATTTTTGTATTTTTAATAGAGACGGGCCTTCACCGTGTTGGCCAGGCTGGTCTCAAACTCCTGACCTCAAGTGATTCACTTGCCTCGGCCTCCCAAAGTGCTGGAATTACAGGTTTGAGCCACTGCGCCCAGCCTAGTCCTTAATTTTTTACTGAAGATGCTCCTCTGCTGGGGATAAAGTGGGGAAGACTGAGCAGAAGGTTCTGCAGACAGTTACCCGGTCCACCCACTGTGGTCACTGGTCGACAAAATGCCTGGAGTCAGAGATAGGGACAGACCATCTGGCCCAGTCCAGCTCTCTCAGCCTGTCCCCAAGGGTCAGGCCATCAGAAATCAGCCTTTCTTTCCTGGCTCATGTGTGGAAGCCCAGGCTCCCTCATACCCTAAGACTGAGAGCTAAATGTACGTGGCTTACATGGGATGCCGTTAACACACAGATTATCTTCTAAGCAAAGTAGCCCTGGAGGTTCATTTTCTTTTCCCTCAAAACCCTCTCCAAGCAGCTACGGATTCTGTTTTATAGCTCAAGTTAGCTGCACAATTAAACCCAAAGCAGCTCATTTATGAATATGAGATGCCAAGTTTCCCTGCAAAACATAGCAAAGTAACAGATGCTTTAGAGCAATAAACAAATTGAAATATAGCTTTTTGTTTCTTTCTCTGATACTAATGGGCAGAAAACCTTTCTTGGGAAATACAACTTGGGGAGGTGGTGATGTAAAATGCTGTGTTCATGTCTCTCCATTGGACACAGGGCCTGGATGACCCATATTTGAAGATCTACATTGGCCCAAACCCCTGGGCTTCTTGTGTGAAGTGCAGGGATGCTGCCGGCCTCACGGAAAATAGACAGCGTGTAAGCCCAGCTATAGGGGAGACAGCTTGGTAAACTAAGTGAAGACTTGATTTCACCTCCTTTTCTCCCTTGGCTGGGCACCCTTGGCCAGAAAACAACTTAGCACAACTCTAAGTAGCGGGCCTGACATAATTATTTTTCTACCACCTAGAGAGTGACCTCTGTTTCATAGATTTGAAGAAACAAAACAAATTCAAGAACCCCAAAAGGGAGACATTTACTCTGTTTTCCTTTGCTGGCTTATACTTCACATTTTTAGTGTTACTGTGGCATCGATTCCACTTCTTTTTCTTTTTTTTTTTAAGAGAGGATCTTGCTCTGTCACCCAGGGTGAGAGCAGTGGTATGATCATGATTCACTGCAGCCTGAAGCTCCTGGGCTCAAACGGTCCTCCCACCTCAGCCTCCCAAGTAGCTGGGACTACAGGTACACCTAGTTAATTTTTAAACCTTTTTGTAGAGATGAGGTTTTGCTATGTTGCCCAGGCCAGTCTCAAACTCCTGACCTCAAGTGATCCTCCTGCCTCTGCCTTCCAAAGCACTGGGATTACAGACACAAGCCACCATGCCTGATCTAATTCCACTTTTAAATTATGAGTCACAATTCATCAGAGTCCCTAGCAGTTCTAGTGATTTATCGTGTGCACCTGGGAACCTCCCACTCTATTCCCCCAAAGGCCATTTCAAACCTTTCAGTCCACTGTAAATCTTTGGCCCTGCTCTTCAGCACATGACCTTGCTCCTGCAAATCCTTCCATTTCCCACTGTCTTCATTTGTTTGGGTGGCTTATACATAACAGAAATCTATTTCTCACAGTTTTGGAGGCTGGGAAGTTCAAGATCAAGGTGCTGGCAGATTCAGTGTCCAGTGAGACCCCATTTCCTGGTTAATTAATAGCCATCTTCTTGCTGTGTCCTCACATGGCAGAAGAGATGAGGGAGCTCTCTGAGGTCTATTCTATAAAGACACTAATCCCATTTGCTGGGCTCTGTCTCCATGATCTAATCACCTCCCAAAGACCTGACCTTCACATATCATCACCTTAGGGATTAGGTTTCAATATATAAATTTTGGGATGACACAAACACTCAGTCTATAGCACCCTCCAAACTATTTACACAGCTGCAGGCACCTGTAGCAGACACGATTGGTGCTTGGCTCAGATCCCTCTTAGTCTTCACCCTCACATGATGAAGGCTGTGACTCAGTAGGGGCATGCTTGGCCCATGAAGGCCGAGGTGGGAGGATCGCTTGAGGCCAGGAGTTTGAGACCAGCCTGGGCAATATAACGAGACCCCATCTCTACGGGAAAAAAAAAAAAACTAGCCAGGCATGGTTGTATGTGCATACAGTCCCAGCTACTCGGGAGGCTAAGGTGGGAGGATCACTTAAGCTTCTAGGAGTTCAAGGCTGCAGTGAGCCATGATCATGCCACTGCAAGCCAAAATTCTGGAGACTTCATAAGCCTGGAGCCAGCCCTCAGTGAATAACAGACAAAGATGTGGAAGATAAATACAACAGCTTTCTTGTTCTTCAGTTGGGACAACTCTAGGTTGGATCCCACACTGCCTTCCAGAGCTCCCAGTGGGACCAAGCCTCAGTTTCCCACAGTGGTAACTGGCTTAACAGCACCCTCTTTATTGGCTTCCTTTCTGACCTACTCTCTGGTGTTTTCTTAGGTCACCTTCCAAATACATTTATTGAATTTAAATCCTTGTCTCTGTGTCTGCTTTTGGAGTGGGGACAGGAGAACCAAATCTGAACACTCCCTAAACCAGTCGCTATTCTTTCACTCATTCAAGCCTAACTGATCTGTGCTCTTATGCCCACCTTTTACTAAGGCTGTGTAATCTCACAGATACAAAGGCTACTTTTCAAGAATGTCTCTGGCTTTTCTTTTTTTTTTTTTTTTTTTCTTTTTTTTTTTGAGACAGAGTCTTGCTCTGTTGCCCAGGCTGGAGTGCAGTGGCACAATCTCAGCTCACTGCAACCTCCACCTCCCGGGTTCAAGCAATTCTCCTGCCTCAGGCTCCTGAGTAGCTGAGATTACAGGCGTGTGTCACCACACCTGGTTAATTTTTTGTATTTTTATTAGAGACAGGTTTCATGATGTTAGCCAGAATGGTCTCGATCTCCTGACCTTGTGATCCGCCCGCCTCGGCCTGGCAAAGTGCTGGGATTACAGGCGTGTGCCACCGCGCCTGGCTCCGTCTCTGGCTTTTCTTAGCATTAGACACCACTGACCATTTGCTCCTTCTGGAAACTATATGGTCTGTTGTTGCCTGCCACTTCATCTGAGTATTAGTTTGGATGTAGATTTAACCAAATTAATGTGGGCTTAACTGAGGCACTCTTGCACTCTCTGGGACAGAGTGAGGTGCCACTACCTCACAGGTTCTCATTGCACCTTGGGTGCATTTCCACCCTAAGCATTTCTCTTTGTTTTGTAGCCCTTTGTCTTCTTGGCTAAAACATGAATTCCTTAATTAAGGCAAAAATTTGCTATCAGCACCAGGGACAGTGCATAGAACAAACAAGTTCCCCTCTCTGTCAATGCTGAATGAACTGGTTGATGAAACTGTATAACAGCCGTGGCATCGTGACAGTCGAGGTCGGCCCATCTTCCTTTATGCTTTAGCCACACACAGAAGTGTCTACCTAAAAATTCACATGCAAAAACTTGGACACACTCACACAAACACAGCCACACATTTCCTAAAAATGGACAAAGGATTAAGCAGAGAGAACAATGAAAGCTTCAGACTCACAGACTTTGGTGACAAATTTACAATCAAAATCGAACTTATTTGAGATGATAATAAGTACGGAGGGAAGTTGCGAAGGGCATCCTGTAACATGTGCCAACACTTCGTATACAATTATTTAATCATATAAGTCATTCACTGAAGCCTCACAAAAGCCCTGTAAGAAATATACAGGTTGACCATCCCCAATCTGAAAATCCAAAATTTGGAATGCTCCAGAATCCAAAGCATTTTGAGTGCCAATATGACAATTCAAGGAAATGCTCACTAGAGCATTTCGGATTTTGGATTTTCAGATTCGGGATGCTCAATTGGTAAGTATAATACAAATATTCCAAAATCTGGAAAAAATCCCCAATCTGAAACACATCTAGTCTCAAGCATTTTGGATAAGGGATACTCAACCTGAATTGCTTTCTCCATTTTAGATGTGTGGAAACTGAGACTTGGGGAGCTTAAGGGACTTGCTCAGTGTCCCTCAATTTTTAGGTGATGGAAACAAGATTTCAACTTAGATTTGTGTTTTTCACTAAAATAGTTTCCAGTGGGGACTACCCTTTACACATTCAACAGGTTTCTACCACAACCAGGAAGTGAGATGAGATGGGAGAGTTTGGGAATTGCCTATAAATTTCCTGGAAATAACAGACTTTTGACAAAAATATTTTTTAAAAAATAAAGTAAAATACAACTGACTAAATTATTGCCTTTTCAGCAGTGACTATTCTTAGGATTGACTTCAAGATATAATAGTTAACCAGTGAATACTTTCCTCTATTTCAAGATTCTTGGCATAATAAGGAAAAACCCATGTATCCTTCATGACAATCTTGTACAATCAGAAAAGAAAAAAGCTTCGGATATCTCTCCTTTGACCTCCTTGCTAATCTGAAGATTACTTTCCACACAAGGGCTTGGAGTTAACTAATAATTAGTTACATGTATATGACAACCTGCCCATTGAAAAATGGGGAGATATGAGAGATGCCATTTAATAATCACATTAATAATCAGACTTTGGGGTTTTCTACAAGGATTTTCTTTTTAAAGGAGCATTGCTTTATTTTTTTCTCTTTGAAACCATTGAAATGTTTTTCACCATAATAGAATGATACTTTTTCTCATATTTTACTTTTAGGGATATCTAATAAACCAGTTATTTATAAGCTTATCACAGAGGACAATGTGAATGTTCTTTGTGATTGCTTTTATCTTGCTGTTAAAGCTTTCTTTAAAGAGATCCCAGTTATATACATTTTTGTGCAATAGGTGACCTTCTTGAGGAAGGCTCTTTTAATGCAAAAACACATATATCTTTGTTTTGTCAAACTTTTTAGGTCTTACCCAGTACCAGGCACTGTACAAAGTACATCACACTTAATTATTACAATAATCCCAGGAGGTTAAGCACCACAATTTGACCCATTTAACAGAGGAGAAAACTGAGGCTTAAAGAGGTTAAATAGCTTACCCGTGATTACTCAGGAGGTGGGCAAGTAGAATTAGAAACCACGTCAGGCAGATTCCAGAGTCTGTAGGTTTAACCACCAAACTCTTGGGCCTTCCTAATTGTAAAGAGCTGTCAAACTGACCTATTGCATGAGAAGTGCCTTTCCATGGATTAAGTAAAAGTTAGCCTTAACCATCCAATTCTCCGCATTCAGCAACTGACTGGAGGCACCAGTAGACAGAAGAAATCACCTGTGTTTAACAGAAAAGGGCCAGAGTTTGCTGACATATTTAGCTAATCCACATAGAGCTTGCTGATGAGGATTCTGTTTAATTAGTTGTGGAATTTTAAAAAACGAGCAGATGTGCTATGGTGAAATGCATTTTACTTCCTGAACCCTAGGGGAAAGCATTGGGTATGTTCTGAGGCTGTGTACTTGCCTATCTTGATTGAACATTCAGCTGCATGTTTTGCAAGACTCAGGTATCCTGGCCTGGTTCCAACATGGATAATTACATTCTGCTTCAGTTCTCCCTACAGCTTCAGACAGGTACGAGGTTAATCATAACTACAGCTAGCAAGCGCCTACTACGCATCAGAACATACTGAGAAATTTCCACGCATCGTCTCGAAGTCTTTCCACAGTTCTGCAGAGTGAGTTTTATTTTATCCCCTTTAATGGGGAAGCTGAGGCTCAGACTGAGGTTAAGTGACTTGCCTGAGGCTGCACAGTAGTAAGTAGCGAAACAGAAATTCAGACTTTTCCCTTGTACGATCTTCATTTGAAAAAAAAAAATGCACTTGACCCAAGAAGTCAAAGGGTGCAACAAGGATATAATTTGTATTTCCAAGGATTAACATTACAAAGGATTAATTTAAACATTAATTCATAATTACAATTAAAAAATCAATTTTAAAATTACAAAGGACTTAATTTTTTATTTCTTTGACGTCTAATGACTGAATATTTTGCAATATTTCTATCTTCTTTCAGGAATTATGTCTCGCAATAAAAAATGAGTTTCCTTCCAGCCCTTAGCCCTTCAGTTCCCTCCTCAGAGACCCGATGTAATATGTTCTTATGTATCATGCAGTATATTCTATGCATCTACACCTGATTTTCTCTTTGAGGTTGTTGCTATAAGTTGTTTGGCTGAAATGGACTCTACCTCTGTACTGAAGCTTCCTATTTCGAATTTATAAGTGCACAGGGAGTAAAGCAGTGAAGGGTTTTGTATGAAAATCAAAGAATAGGCTGTTCTACACATCTTTCAGGAAAAGTCATCAAGAACTGCAAGTGGGCCGGGCGTGATGGCTCACGCCTGTAATCCCAGCACTTTGGGAGGCCGAGGCAGGTGGATCACGAGGTCAGGAGATCGAGATCATCCTGGCCAACACGGTGAAACCCCATCTCTACTAAAAAAAAAAAAAAAAAAAAATACAAAAAGTTAGCCGGGCGTGGTGGCAGGTGCCTATAGTCCCAGCTACTCAGGAGGCTGAGGCAGGAGAATGGGGTGAACCCAGGAAGTGGAGCTTGGAGTGAGCCGAGATCGTGCCACTGCACTTCAGCCTGGGTGACAGAGCAAGACTCTGTCTCAAAAAAAAAAAAAAAAGAACTGAAAGTAGTAAAGTGGTATATTTTATATATAGTTGGGAGAAGTAGACAATACCAGAGTATCATGTAAAAATTTTGTCTTCCTTTTAATATCCAAGTACACAAATACACAGACCAGTTATTGTGCATATGAAGTATTTTCTGACTTTTTTAACCTACCAATTTACACTGGCATTTTCCCTATATCTCTAGCATTTTCTAAAATGTTATTATAATCACAGCATAGCAGTTCATTAAATGAATGTGCTATCATTTAATAAATATTAGTATTATGTTACACTTAGGTTGTTTCTATTATTTCACCACTTTAAATAAATAATACTAAGTTAAGCATCCTTATCCATCTTTTTGCAAATATCTTAATACTTTGACAGGATAAATTATAGAGAGTGCCTTCCATAAAATTTAAACTTATCTGCAATCCAAATAGTGATCCAGAACCACACTGTTTTAATTACTACAGCTTTACAATATATATATTAATATGGGCTATTACAATTCCATCCCCCACGGCTCTTCAAAATGCGTTGGCTCTTTTCATTAATATACTGATCCAATAGAAACTTTATAGTTATTATGTCAAATTCAATTTTTAAAATCCTTTTGGGATCTGGATTGGAATTACACTTGATTTATAGATTCATTTGAGAAGAATTGATGTCTGTCGAACATTATGATTTTCCATCTCTCCAGTTATTAAAGTTTTAATTGAGTTGTCTACACATTATAGAACAATATTAAATATTAATTGTGTTAGGGGACATCTTTGCCTTGCCTAACTTTAATGAGACTCGTAGCCTGGAGTTTACGGGGACAGGTACTAGAGTCAAAACACTTGAATTTGTATCTTAGCTTCGCTATTCAGTACCTTGGGTCTTTGGGCGGGTTACTTCTCTGCCTAATTCCCTCAAATTATAATAAGGTTAAAATAAGGCTATAAAGTTAATAGTAATAGCTCCTTGATGATATTCTGTGGTATTTATATGAGATAATACATGTAAAAGCTCATATAGCTATGCCTACCACAAGGCTCTCAATAAATGTTAGCTATTGGTATTATTTCATCCTTCAATATGCTAGTGCCTATGGGGTTGAGATGGATATTCTGTTTCACATTAAAGATGCAGCCTTCCTGATTTCTTAAGATTATCAGCTTTTGTCCTTAATGAGTAATAGATGTAGAATTTACTAAGTGCTTTTTCAGAATGTGTAGAGATGATAATTTTTTCTTTTGACCTATTTCTGCACTGAATTATAACTGGATTAGACGCAATGGTATTGATCTTGGTGGGATTTGGCAGCTTTTCTTTTTTCTTTTTTTCTTTTCTTTTTTTTTTTTTTTAAATTTTTTGTTTTACTTTAAGTTCTGAAGCTCAAAGCCATCATTCTTAGCAAACTAACACAGGAACAGAAAACCGAACACCACATGTTCTCACTCACAAGTAGGAGTTAACAATGAGAACACATGGACACAGGGAGGGGAATGTTTTTTCTTTTTTTGAAGCAGCGTCCCACTGTCGCCCAGACTGGAGTGCAGGGACACGATCATAGCTCACTGCAGCCTCAACCGCCCAGGCTCAAGCGATCTTCCACCTCAGCCTCCCAAGCAGCTGGGACCACAGGCCCATGCCACCATGCCTGGCTAATTATTTTTATTATTTTTAATGTTTTTGTAATTTTCTTTGTTTGTTTTTGTAGAGACTTGGTCTTACTATGTTGCCCAGGCTGGTCTTGAACTCCTGGGCTCAAATGATCTGCTGTCCTTGGCCTCCCAGAGTGCTGGGGTTCCAGGCATGAGCTACCACACCCGTCCATGCTTTCCTTGTAATACATTGTGCTCTGGTAGATTGGACTCGACACTTTGACTGGTCAGTTTCTCTTGAGAGGGCTCCTCCGCTTGTCAGGTGGGAGTAGCTACACTGCCTGCCAGCGTTCTAGCTTGGTGCCTCACCCCGTTCTTCTCTGTTCCCTGTGTCACTGACCCTGGGGGCTCCCTGGTTCAATATTTCCAAGACATAATCTTCCCTCTGCTGCCCTAATAGGTGCAGGGCAGCGGCCTGGCTGTGGGTAGGGGGAAGGCTCTGTGGATGTAGCTCCTCTTTCTAGAGACCTCTAACATTGATTGTGCCTTTTCCCAAAACGCTCACCGCCACTGGGGTCACTGGTGCCTCCAGTTCCTGAGCTTTTGGAAGGTTCTGTGTCAAGAACTCACTTTCTCTTCCTTAGTGACACCTCCTCTCCCACAGCCACTTGAGTTTCAGCCTTCTCCTCTTTCCTAAGTCCAATGCCTCTCACAAATCAGCCTCAGGGCCGGGTGCAGTGACTCACGCCTGCAATCCCAGCCACTTTGGGAGCCCAAGGTGGGCGGATCACTTGAGGCCAGATGTTCAAGACCAGCCTGGGCAACATGGGTGAGACTCCGTCTCTTAAAAAAAAAAAAAAAAAGGAGTTGGAGGCTGTCGTGCGCCGTGATCGTGCCACTGCACTCCAGCCTGGGAGACAGAGGGAGACCCTATCTCAAAATGAATAGTTAAATCAGTAAAAACAAATTAGCCTCCCTTCTTCCAAAAATATGCCTATATTTGTTGTCTGACACAAACCCTTCACCATTTCTCTTTGACATTTTGATATTTATATTTTTTATCCACTTATTATCAATCTAGTGCTAATCAGAGAGGGAGTGGAAGTAAATGCTGGGTTTGATTCAGCGTGTTATGTACAAGTTCCAACTATGAATTGGTCCCTTCTTCTTTTCTTTCTTTCTTTTTTTTTTTTTTTTGTTGTTTGTTTGTTTTTGTTTTTGAGACAGTTTCGCTCTGTTGCCCAGACTGGAGTGCAGTGGCATGATCTCAGCCCACTGCAACCTCCACCTCCTGAGTTCAAGCTATTCTCCTGCCTCAGCCTCCCGAGTAGCTGGGATTACAGGCACCTGCCACCAGGCCTGGCTGATTTTTGTATTTTCAGTAGAGACAGGGTTTCGCCATGTTGGCCAGGCTGGTCTTGAACTCCTGACCTCAGGTGATCCGCCTGCCTCAGCTTCCCAAAGTGCTGAGATTACAGGCACCTTTTTCAATATTGAATGATTCACTTTGTCTCATTTAATATCTTTTTTCCTAGGATTCTACTTTCCGTGGAATTTCACAGAAATTCTACAGAATTTCTACAGGAAGTAGAATCCTATCTCTAGCTTTCTTTAGAATTACATTTTCCTAATGTATCTTCACCTCTCCATTTTCATATAAAATGTTCCTGCCTCTGTATTCTGGGGTGGTCGTATGAACACAAATGTTCTCGTTGTTGTCATTTTGAAAATTATGGTGTTTGGCCTATTTCCAACAATTTTTAATATTAATACAATCCGTCTTTTATACTTCTGTCAACTTGCTCTAAAAGTTTTGCTTTTCTTTTTTTCTGCTTTCTTATCCCCTGTGTCTTTTGTTATATGGCCACACAATTTTCTTTTCTTTTCCATTTTCCAGTATTTTGGAAGGTATGTATCCTGTTTATAATAGTTCATTTTATAGTTTTCTAATACAGTAAATGAGTAGACAGTATCTCTTAGTAAAGAGACTTGTGTAGTTTTTCTCTGTCCTCTCTCCTTTTCTTCCTGTTTTGCCAACTTTTCGGTCTTTGTTAATGTGGATTTGATGTATCAAATTATTAATTTTTATCTTTTTTTTTTTTAAGAGAGAAAGGGTCTTACTATGTTGCCTAGACTGGACTCAAAATCCTGGGCTCAAGCAATCCTCCTGCCTCAGCCTTCCAAGTAGCTGGGACAAGAGGTGCACTCCACCATGCCTGTCTCTATCTTTTTTAAAAGCATAATGTTGACATTAGAAGCTACATGTATTATTTATTTGGGGTTAGTGTTTGTTTAACCCCATCACTGTCCTTTTATATACAACTTTTCCATTCTTGAGCTTTTCCACACCATCACTCAGAATGTTGTTTTTCTTTTCAAGGGATTTTTTGAAGAGCAGGATCTAATGCTTTTCAAGATGTTGCATGCCATAAAACTTTTCTTTTGCCTTCACAGGCACGTTAGCTCTCGGATGTGGGTTTTATTTCGTTCAGACTAGGCTGACCTTTTAATGTACCCCACATAGCCATCTTATATCTCTGGGAAGGTCTCTTTAATGAAATCTTTGCCTATAGCTCTGTCCAATTTGTTCTGGGTTTCTTCTTCAATAACATCAGCAAACTACAAGTTGCCTATAACCACTCTGTCTTCCATTCTACTTTCTCTCTCATCAGCTCAATGTTGTGAATTTTATTTTAGAAGCGTAAGATCAGGCTCCGGTTTGTTCTAATGTTTATTTTTGACATCGCTAATTCTGCTCTTTACTGCTGTCAGCGTAGTTGTGTTTCTTTTTTATTCTTTTTGGTACTAGCTTACTTCACCCATACCTTGATTTTTCTGGTCTTAACTGTGTTTTCATGTCATCTTACTGTCTTTTCTCTTTCTTTCTTTTGTTTTCTTTCTTTTCTCTTCTTTCTTTTTTTCTTTTGTTAATTGAGACAGAGTCTTGCTTTGTTGCCCAGGCACTGGAGTGCAACGGCGCAATCTCAGCTCACTGCAGCCTTGACTTCCTGGGCTCAAGTGATCCTCCCACCTCAGCCCCATCAAGTAGCTGAGACTACAGGTATATACCACCATGCCTGGCTAATTTTTGTATTTTTTTGTAGGGACACGGTTTCACCATGTTGCCCAGGCTGGTCTCAAACTCCTGAGCTCAAGCAATCCAGTCACCTAGCCCTCCCAAAGTTCTGGGATTACAGGCGTGTGCCACCACGCTAGCCTTGTCTTTTTGCCTAAGCCTATGCTCAACTCTTGTCCTTCTGCTCAAATGTCCCCCAGGTTTTCTCTGATCACTTAATTTCCTCATTACACTTATTCTCTTTCTTTTCCTTTATCACAAGTTGTAATTATTTTTTTTTATTTTGCCCATTATCTCCTCCACCAAACCAGAGGCCCCATGAGGGCAGCAAGTACTACATCTATGTTATTTATAGCCGTGACTTCAGCACTTAGCAAGATGGCTGGTGAAGAGTGGGTGCTCAGCAAATATTTGCTGAGTAAGTACATGCCCATATTACTCTGGTTTGGATTCCCTTTGGCTGCACCAATATTGTTTTGAGTCAGAGGCTCCCAAACTTTAGTAATTGAAGGACCAACTTTTTACCATATTCAAGGACTTAGACTATTATTTTCTTAATATTTGTGTTTAGATCAATTTACATTTTCTACCTTCACTATGTGTTTAAGCTTCATCCTAAACGATGAAGTTGGTTAAGTAAAAGTGATGACCTGGTTCCAATTTTCTAAAATACATTAAAATAAGCATCTTTGCCTTGCCTAACTTTAATGAGACTCGTAGCCTGGAGTTTACGGGGACAGGTACTAGAGTCAAAACACTTGAATTTGTATCTTAGCTTCGCTATTCAGTACCTTGGGTCTTTGGGCGGGTTACTTCTCTGCCTAATTCCCTCAAATTATAATAAGGTTAAAATAAGGCTATAAAGTTAATAGTAATAGCTCCTTGATGATATTCTGTGGTATTTATATGAGATAATACATGTAAAAGCTCATATAGCTATGCCTACCACAAGGCATGTAAAAATGTAACTGTAAAAAATGTAAATTTCATCCGTGAATCACTTGTGAGCCACAAAGACGATAAGTAAACACACTTTGGGAAATTCTTTCTAAAGATCTCGGGCTACTGCATTTCCTCCAGGAGCTCACGTCTTCTTGATTTAGGCTTTGATTCCTTCCCATCTTATTCATTTAACAAGCACAATATTTGGTGGGTATGATTCATTCTCTTTTGCCTGCCTATGATGGCATGGCACAGTGACAAGGACTGAAGATACCACAGCCAGCAAGCAAGACACTGTGCCTTCCTGATGGGGTTCACAGACTAACTAGGGGGAAGGCAATAAACAGATATGCAAGATAATTACAGGTTGTGCTTAGAATGATGAGGAAATAAGCCAAATAAACCACTTCAGAGAGTGACACTGTGCCTTCCTGATGGGGTCCACAGTCTAACCTGAGGGGAAAGGCAATAGATAAACAGAGAGGCAAGATAATTACAGATGGTGCTTAGAGTGATGAGGAAATAAGCCACTTCAGAGACTGACATTTGAAAGTGGTGATATTCTAACTGAGACCTGAGCATGAGAAGGATTGAGCCACAGGAAGAGCCAGGGTAAAGTGATCCAGGCAGAAAGAACAGCACAGCCCTAGAGACAGAAAGGGAAAGGACTGGGGGATTCAAGAGTGTCTGCTAGTTCATCTTGCTGGGTTTTGCAAATGCCTTCCAGAACTGACATGCAGAGCTGGACCATTCTATACCAAAGCCTAGAAAAGAACTCACATGTGTATAGTTTAGGCAGGCTTTGAACCTGCAGGAGTATTAGTGACCCAACAACTACCCATGTGGTTTTAGGCACATCTGAGACATGAATTATATGTAGGCAGCTGACTTCCCAGTGCATGGCCCTTGCTCCCTCTATGATGAGAAAACCAACTCCTGCTCACCCCTTGCAATCATGGAGCTTAATGTATCCTGGTACGACAACAACATTCGGGAGTCAGATGGAAAGCATTCCTATCATTGGTTAATTTCCTCCAAGGAGGCAACAGGTGTTGGCTCCAACCACTGCAATTGGATCACCTCCAACTACCCACTAGGGGGCGCTGCTATGCTGCAAGAAGTGGGGCAGGCTTGCGGAACTCATCCCTGCAAAACCATTAATACCCCCGGGAGACTGAAGTGTGAAGTTGTAAAGCTTGGTGTTAACAAACAAAATAAACTCACTGACTCATGCAGTTGTTGGCTGAGGAGTTTGCCTGGGAAACATTCAGATCTGGTGGGAAAGGATGAGGGTGCAGATGGTGGAGGGTGGGGACTCCGTGGACAATTCAGGCAGGAAACTGGGAGGTGGAGGAGGTTTCAGAGCAGGGAAGCTGGCGTCAGGAAACGGCTGGGTTGACCGGCTCCATACTCAGCCTAGTGCTGGGCAGAATAGAAAACGTTATGTGCTTAGTAGCAGGATATTGAGAGCACTACATTCTAATGGTTTCTATATTCTCTGTGGAATGGGATGCAAGGTCACCTACTAAGAGTGGCAAGAAAGGGCAGGGTTTGGTCATTTGCAGAGAAAGGGAACGGTCTGAAATAGTCATGCAGAGCTAGAAAGCCAGTTGTCCAGAGACACATGGTGGAATTGTGCTGTGTGCTAAAGGCCCCTGAATTAGTCTGTTCTCATGCTACTAATAAAGACATACCCAAGACTGGGTAATCTGTAAAGGAAAGAGGTTTAATAGACTCACAGTTCAGCGTGGCTGAGGAGGCCTCAGAATCATGGCGAAAGGTGAAGGAAGAGCAAAAACACGTCTTACATGGCAACAGGCAAGAGAGAGAGCATGTGCAGGGGAATTCCCCTTTATAAAACCATCATGTCTCATGAGACTTATTCACTACCATGAGAACAGCATGGGAAAAACCCACCCTCATGATTTAATTACCTCCCACCAGGTCCCTCCCATGACACATAGGAATTACGGGAGCTACAATTTGATATTTGGGTGGGGACACAGCCAAACCATATCAGCCCCCTTTGTGTTGGCAATCAGATATCTGGAGTGGAACCAGCCTTTGATTTCAGGTGTTCTCCAGCAGTGCTCTGCCCTGCTGAGTATAGAGAGAGGGCACTCAGGTGCTCCTGGCACCCAGTGTTGCCTCAGGAAGCTTCTTGCACAGGTCCCTGGCCCTTTTTGAGGGTCTCCTGCAGGTACTCAGGGATGATCTGTCATTCTCTCTGGAGGTGGTGGCTCCAAAATTTCTATATGGGGGAAGGGGTAGGAGTGGCCCCATCAGAGGAAGGATAGAAAGCTTGTCTGGGAGTTGCCATGCATGCTGTTTCGTGGCATGCATTCACTCTGATTGACTAATGGAGACTAGAGGGGGATAAAGATCCCTTTGGCCTCCACTTGGTACCATCACTGTCCCCATGTGCCATTTTGTTTCCTGGATGCTAATGTCACTGGGGAACATCTCACGAGAGCAAGCTGACTCAGGCTGGAAGCTAGAAAGTAGAGCCTAGCTAGAGACAGGCACTGGGCTGCTCCCCACAGTTCTGATCATGAGTGAAGAGAGCTGTGGTGGGTCCTGAGCTGGCTGGGACAGACGTCAGAAGGGAGTGAGTGAGAGGTCACCAATTGAATTTGGTTATAGATTAGACATGGGTGTTGCTTGGACAACTGGTGAATGGTGGGGCCATTAACTGAGACATGAGAAGTGGTAAGTTGAGGAGAAATAACTGAAGTGTGTATGGAGAAAGAATGGTCAGTGGGGGGCAGGGGCGGGGAGGAAGAAAGAATGTGTTCCCAAAGGAAGAAAAACAAGTTTCAACAAGCAGGGAGTGGGCAAGTGCTTCAGAGGCCACAGAAAAGTGAAACATGACCAAGATTCGAGATGGAGTTGGCATTTAGGGTTGTGTTCGGAGAGTACCGCTTCAGAAGACGATGGGGTGGGAGGAGATGGAGCAAGAGGAGGATGAATGTGAGGTGAGGAAATGAAGCCATGCAGCTTTATTCCAAGAACTCTGGCTGGGAAGAAAAGGAGATATACAGGACTGTCGCAGGAGCAGGTGAAGGGATAGATAGCTGGTTTTTTTGAAAATGAAAAAGGCTTGAACTAAAGGGGGAAATCAAGTAGAGAAAGAGGAACCTGCTAATAGATGGTCACGGTGCATTACACTTTATACGGGACTCTCGCAGCTTTGACCTCACAACAGCCAAGTGAAGTTGGCATTACCATGATCCACACATTGCAGGTGAAGAAACTAACACGAAAGTCACATGGCCAGGAAAAGGAAAAGCTGGGACTCCAATCCAGGCTTTCTGAATTCAAGTCATCCGCAATTTTTCACCCAACATCAATTAGCCGATTCTGATTAATGCAATAAATATTCACTGGCTATGTCCTTTGTACCAGTATTGCCAGGGCTGCCTTAAGACCTTGCAATTCAACGGGTGGCCCAAGGAGCAGCAAGTCGGCCTCACTGTGGAGCCTGCTAAAAATGCATACTCTTAGCACCCCCTCCCTAGACCTACTGAATCAGAAACTGCATTTCAACAAGACCCCTACACGAGATTCAAATGCACATTAAAGTGTGACAGGCACAGGCTTATGGGGTCCACTTCCAGGGAGAAGGGAGGGCAGGGAGAGAAATTAAGCCCAGACCACAGAAGAAGAGATATCCTGGGAGTTACCTCCAGATAGTGTCCCACGGTCAGCTGCAGATAGGACCAAAGAAATTGAAGTCCAATTGCCTGGAAATGTATCAGAGCTGTACATGCAGCAGCAAAAACATTCCTTCAACACCCACGATCACCGTTCCTCCTTTCCAAGAGAGCTTCTTGAGAAAGGAGCTATACATTTTCACCTTCCATATCCTTCCTTCCCGCCCACACCTCAGCCACTCCAGACATGTTTCCTCCCCCTCACTCCACAGTAGAGGCTTTCTTCATCCTAAATAATATCAATGGAGACTTTTAAAAATAGCTTTTCATTAGATAGTTTTTTTTAAATGACAAAAAATACATGCTCATGGCAAAGAGAAAAATAAATCCGAATGCAAAAAGCTAAAGGTGAAAACGAAGTCCCATTCTACACTACAGCCCAGCCCAGATCCCCCAAGGTTATTTTCCAAAGATAATAACTGTTAAATGTATTGTGTATCCTTTTAGAAGATGTCTATGCATATAGGCACTAGCACGCATGTGTATATTTTGTATGTAAATAGGGACATATTAAACTTACTGTTCTACAACCTGCTTTTTTCACTTAATAATATGTTGATTCCTTTAGGTGTCAATATTTGTAGATCCACCTCATTTCTTGACAGCCAGATCATAATCTATCATATGGCCTCACTGTGGTTCTGATAGAAATGTGGGTTGTTTCTGGTCTTTTTTTTATTACAATGTTGCAGTAGCTAACTTAATGCTAGCTGCTATAACAAACAAACCCCTAGGAAAAGTTTATTTCCTGCTTAGACAATAGTCCAGGGGTGTTGTTTTCTAGTTGTAGGTATCCTCCCATACCCTTTCTACCTTTTGGACCTGCCCTCCGGGAACAATCTATGCAGGTGTCCTTGGGAGATGCCTCCTCATGTCAACTGCAAATACTGCAATGAACACCTGGCACATGAGTCTTTATGCACTTGTGCAAATACATTTCCAGGAGTGGAATTGCTGGGTTAAAGGGTATGTGCATTTTACATTTTGATAGATAATATATAATTGTCTTCCTAAAGACTGCATCAATGTATATGTCTACCAAAATTAGGAGAGTGTTAGTTCTTCACATTCTTGCCATCATAATTGTTACAATTAAAAAAATTTTTTTTCCAGCCTTACAGGTGAATAATATTATCTCATCATGATTTTAGTTTGTGTTTCCTTAATTTTAGAGATTTATCTTTTCATATGTTTATTTTCTATTCATAGCTCTTTATTAACTCTTTTCTCACGCCTATGATCCTTTCTTCTACTGGCTAGTTCTCCTTTACTTATTGATTTGCAAAGTGTCTGGAAAAATATATAAAACATAAAAAGATATGAAAAACAGATATGAAATCAGCTCTTTGTGTTTATAGTGTAGGTGCTGCAGATATTTTTCCAATTAGTCATTTTCCTTTTATTTATGGTATTTTTCTATTCCAGGGACTTATTTTTTTTTAAGAGTCTAACTTTTCCATCTTTTCCTTCATGATTTTTGTCTCATGCCTAGAAAGGCTGTCCTCATGCCAAGATTCATTTTTATATTCTCACGTTTTCTTCTTGTGTGAGAGTCACACTTGAATCTGGATTCTGCAAACTGGCTGTGTTGCTTTGCTGATTTACTTTAGTTCTCTGTGTCCTAGTTTCCTCAGTACAAAAACTGGAATAGCATGAGTTCCTACTTTGTAGGGTTATTGTGAAGATCAAGTGAGATGATTTAGAGTTTAGAACAGCAAGTGGCCCACAGTCACTGCACAATAAGTGTCAGCTATTGTCTTGTTTATGTCCAAAGCATCGATGACCACGTGTATGGCTGATGACTGCTGCGTACCCATTTTTTATGGTTAGCAAGTGACAAGACTCAGGTCTTTTTGATTCCAAATCCTGTACTCATACCCAGCCATTAAACTAGCCTGTAGCTGAAAGTAGCTGAAAGTGGATCATAACTGTCACATCTCTATATTGGCAATGCTTAGTCCTGTGCCTGGCATGCAGTAGTGTATTCATTCCCGAGGCAAGTGTTTACTGGGCACCTACTATACACCAGGGGTACAAAGATAAGCGAGGTGCAGTCTCTTTGCTCAGTGGTCCTCTATGTGGACATACCATGTAAGAAGGATCCCTTTGTAGTCTCCACTTGTCACACAGCAGGACTAGGGATAAATTCCACAATACACAAGGGGTGGATAAAGGAATAGGCTTTACTGGGGAAACTTGCAAGCCGTGGGTCACAATAGAAGAGGCAGAAGGACAGCATTACCCTTTCTTCTCACCATGTCATTGAGGGGACTGCCAGGGCCTGGACCCCATGTGGTTTATGCTCCAAGGATGAAGGGACTCTGCCCCTTCAGCTTTATCAACTTCCCTCTTATAGCGCAGGGATTAGAGCAGCCTTGTCAGTGAAGGAATAATCAAACAACTGGCTGATTGGATTTAGATACCAGCTATTTACAGGAGTTATCTGGGACACCCAGCTGCCCAGCACCTGAATACCTGAGGACCTATGAGAAACTGGGTTCAGGGATAACCTTTCCCACCAGAGGAAGAAAGCTACCACTTCTCATAGGAAGCCAGGTTTAGGTGCAGCCCTCACACTAGGAAAAGGGGACCCTGCCACCTCCTGTCCCAGTTGGTCCACAAAACTGTTAACTCTTTGAGGAAAGAGACTGCAGCTCACTTATCTCTGTATCCCCAGCATACAGTAGGTGCTCAATAAACGCTTGTCTCATGAATAAATCCATGATTGCATACCAGCAGAGGACTAGACACTGTCAATATAGAGATGCCACAGTCATGATCCCTGCCTTCAGGGACACTGAACTCTAGAGGGATGATAGACTCAGATAATGTATCAAAAATGGGTTATGTCTATAGTGGGTACCATGGAATCACAAGAGTAAAAAAACACCTAACTCCTCCAGGAAGGGAGAAATAATAAGGGCACAGTCAGGGAAGGCTTTATGGTGGAGGTGACGATGAGCTGAGAGATGTTTTGCCAGGCAGGTTAAGGAGGGCTTCATGCAAAGGGTACAACATGTCAAGGTTCCCTTAGCATGAAAAATACAGTTTTTGGAGGAGTACAGACTGGCTTCAAATAATCTAGTCTAGCCAGAGCCCAGGAGGGGCCATGGGCAGGATCAGGAAGAGCCACAGAAATCCTGGTAAAGACTCTATCTTGTGAGCAACGAGAATGGTCGCTGGAGTATGAGCTGAGACTTAGTGGCCTGCTCCAGGTTCACATAAGTATAAGGATTTGGGGCTGTGGACTTGGAAGGAAATGGTCCCACGGTATGAGAGGGGGCTCATGACTTCGCTCAACTAGGCGAGGATAAACGGCCACAGGTGCTGTGCCTGCCACATGGCTCAGTGTGTGGGGGTTTAGCAGGTTTAGTTTTAAGAACCAGTTTCTTGCAATAAGGCCTTTTCCCTCCTCTTCCGCTCTTAATTATCTCTCCGGAGACTGCAATGATTTTCAAGGAGCTTGGTTGCCCAGTTAGAAGCCAATAAATCACCACAGGCCTCCAGGCAGCCGGGTCTTCCAGAACACATATAAAGAGTGTACAAATTTAGCAGAAAATGAAATCTTCCAGAGAATCCTATCAGTAATAATCAGTGGTGTGCCAGTTCTGTAAGTTTCCGATGATGGCCCGACATCAGGCAGGTTCCCACTTGCTTGCATGTGCAAGGGATGACCCTTGGGTGGACAGTGGGTTCCAAGGGAGCTGTCCTGTGTTCCACTGCGTAGCCCAGTGTGGGTCAAAAATATAATTTCCAGAAAGCCTCAGGATGACAAGAGAATACTTGGGTGTTTTTTTGTGTTTGTTTTTTTTTTTTTCTCTTTTTTTGGAAGGGGCTGCAGGAAGTCTGTGATGTTTCCCTTAGGGTGAAAGAGTATAGACTTTTATAGCATGAGAAAGAGGGACATATCTTCACCAGTACAAACAATATGATTCTGCCTCATTGTTCCAAGATTAAAGCCTTGTCTTTATTATTTTTTCTCTTCTGCAAGTATTTTCTGAACGCTTACTAAGTACCAGCCTTTGTCCAGGTGTAGAGAATACAGCAGTGAATAATATAGACAACAATCTTCACTCTCAAAATTTACCATCTACCGTGGGATGGGATGGGTGTGGCCAGGGACAGTAAACATGCAAATCAACATCAAATATATTAGGTAGTAATGAGTGTGCCCCTGTTACTTATGAGAATACCTTTTGTTAAGGTGGTATGCTCCAAGCTTCTCTGATCGTAAGAATCATGGGGGAGCTTGTTTAAAATGCATATTCTTGAACTGCACCCCAAACCCACTGAAATTGGAATGTACAGAAGAGGGACCTGGGAATTTTTTCTCCAAGACGCACCCAGTTAATTCTCATGAGCAATTGTATTAAAGGACACGTGGCTAAAGGAAGGTGCAGTCTGCCACAGTGGTTCTAAGCACTGGTGGCCCACTGGAATCATCTGGAGAGTTTTAAAATTGCAGGTACCAGCCGGGCACGGTGGCTCATGCCTGTAATCCCAGCACTTTGGGAGGCTGAGGCAGGCAGATCACGAGGTGAAGAGATCGAGACCATCCTGGCCAACATGGTGAAACCCATCTCTACTAAAAATACAAAAAATTAGCTGGGCATGGTGATGCACATCTGTAATCCCAGCTACTTGGGAGGCTGTAACAGGAGGATCGCTTGAACCTGGGAGGTGGAAGTGGCAGTGAGCCGAGATTGCGCCACTGCACTCCAGCCTGGCGACAGAGCGAGACTCCATCTAAATAAATAAATAAATAAATAAATAAAATTTCAGGTACCTGGGCCTCGTGCCCAGAGTTTTTGATTTAATTAGTCTGATGTAGGACCCAGACTTTTGCATTGCTCCAAAACCCCCTCAAGTGGTCCTGGCATGCAGCTTAACTTCACCACCCCTTCCCCACCAGCCACAGGGCAGAGCCTTGGGCTAGAGACAGTGTACAGGTGGCAAAACAGAAATGGCATGAGACGTTCCTTTAAATCTCATTCTACCTTCCTACATTTGGAAAGTTTGGTGGAAGTAGAGCTTGGACTCCCCCTCAGTCGTGAGCCAGAGCCCCTGTGGGCACAATGAAATCTTGAAAACAACAGAAAATTTCCCTCCAGTACTAGCTGCCCAAGGCCAGAATGCTAAAAAAGGGCTGAGCTTTATAAATCAGCACTGACAACTTCTGAGGACTCAAGGGCCGCTTCTCAATGGGCATCTACCTCTGACACTGGATCTTTGATCCATTTACTGAGCACCTATGGTATGCCAGGTATGATGTGAGGGAGGGAGAAATGAACAAGAAACGTGCAAGTTGCTGAGGATCTGTGGTATAAATGGATGCATAACTAACAATTCCCACACAAGGGCATGAGGGTGCTAGTAGGCGGTTATACAAAGTGCCATGAGGTTACACAAAGAAGGGTTTACAGAGGGTGTGTGTGACTTTTGGTTTGGATTTGGAAATGCGAGTAGGCATTCACCAGGACAAGAGACAAGTAAGATGGATCAGAGTCTTAAAAAATAAAAATAAAACACTTGGCAAGTGCAAAACACATATGAAAGGGCAGGTTCATGTTTGGGGAGAGGATTTTATGTTCAGCATGGCATGAACATCAGGCTACCAAGGAAGTGGCAAGAGATTAATTCTAGAAAGGTAGACAAGGGCCTCAAATGCCAAGCTAAGGAATACAGACCTTATTCAAAAGAATCATTGATGCCTGACTTAATTGGATTTGCTCCAGAAAGCTTAGGATACATGATTGGATTCCCTGGTGGACATGAAATGCAGAATGAATTGAAATGGGAAAAAACAATAGGAGCATGGAGGGCAGAGAGAAATCTGTGGTCTGAGGAAGAGTTGACAAGGGCCTGTGGCTGTTTTCATGGACTAAGGGAGGAGGCTGGAGACTTCAGAAGGTTGGGGAGGTAAAACTTACAAGAACGAAAGACACTGGATTTGAGGAAGAGTTAAGAATGATTCTGAAGTTTTCCTCCTTTCATGATGATATTTGCAAAAGCAGGCAAAAGAGAGAAAGAAAGAAATTTGCAAAAGCGGAGGAAAATGTTCAATTGTTGAAGTGAGGTATCCAGTCTATAGACAAGCATTCTAATTAAGAACATAGGAAAGCTTTAAGTTGGAGCTGCAGTTACAGATTTGTGTGTCAGCATCTCTTAGGTGATGGTTAAAGGCTGGGGAAGGAATGAGGTCATCCAGGAGGATCACATAGAATGACAGAAGTGGGCCCGGCTGCAGTGGCTCACACCTGTAATCCCAGCACTTTGGGAGGCTGAGGTGGATGGATTGCTTGAGCCCAAGAGTTTGAGACCAGCCAGGGCAACATGGCGAAACCTTGTCTCTACTAAAAATACAAAAAATTAGCCAGACACCTGTGGTCTCAGCTACTTGGGGAGCTGAGGCAGGAGGATTGCGTGAGCCTGGGAGGTCGAGGCTGCAGTAAGCTGAGACTGTGCCACTGTACTCCAGCCTGGGAGACAGAGTGAGACCCTGTCTGAAACAAACAAACACAAACCAGCATGAGAGAAGTGGAATGTAGGCCATTGAGAAGATCCAGAATGGTTTGGGGAGAGTTAGGAATTTGTAAAGGGGATGAGGGCTTCAATGAGTAAATGGATTAGATAGGTTGTTGGCTTCATTTAAACTTCAAAGATACCGATAAAGATCTTACTTGTGCCATGGATTGTGGTGGACTCGGGAGATACAGCTGCAAATAAGATACACCCTGCCCTGCCCTCATGTAATTTATAATCAAGTGGGGTGGGTATAGCTTCAACAGAAAATAAGTGTCTTAGTCCATTTTCTGTTGCTCATAACAGATTACCTGAAACTGGATAATTTATAAAGAAAATGAATTTATTTCTTACAGTTATTGAGGTTGAGAAGTCCAAGGTCAAGAGGCTCCATCTGGTGAGGACCTTCTTGCTGTTGGGGGCTCTCCGTAGAGTCCCAAGGCAGCACAGGGCATTACATGGGAAGGGGATTGAGTGTGCTCACTTGCTAGCTCAGTTCCACTTCTTATAAAGACACCACTTCCACTCTCATGATAAACCACTAATTCATTAACACATTAATCCTTTAATTCATTAATCCATGAATAGATGAATCCATTCATGAAGGCAGAGCCCGCATGACCCAATCACATCTTAAAGTCTCCACCTCCCAATAGTACCACGTTGAGGATTAAATTTCAACATGAGTTTTGGAGGGGACAAATATTCAAACGATCGCAAGAGGCCAGACTGTAAAAGATAGGTTAAAATTCTTGGATTGCAAGCAACAAAAACCAACTCTAACTAATTTAAAATAGTAGAAACTTACTGGAAGGATGTGTAGTAACTCACAGAATCCAGAAGAAAGGGGAAGAGCCAGGTCTCAGAAAGGGCAAGAACCTAGATAGCTGCAGGGATTTGGCAACAGAAACTAATGAGGAATCTCTTCCAGGGTTTTATATCTGATTGGAATTTCAATCTTTATGACACCTTTTTAGTCTTTGTAACACAATTGGTTCCTAATAGCCTAACTTTGGACATGCATCCCCACCCTTGGCCCATCAAGATTTTGTCCAAAGCAGGAGTAGTAGTCCTCAAGGAAAAATCTGGGGCTGTTACCAGATGTAGGGAAAATAGTTCCTGAGCAATTTAAAATAACAGGTGGGAGGAAAGTCCAAACAATGAGCATTAGATTATTCTTTCAGTAACTTTTGCAGAGCTACATAGAAAACAAAGGAGACAGAAGCTTAAAAGGGTTGCAGGGTGAGAGAAAAGTTCAGCTGTTTGCTAGCAGCTGGAAACAAGTAAGCAAAATTTAAACAGTGACATAAAGAAGAAAGATGAGCCCCAAGGAAGTCTAATCACGTCTTCCTCCAATGTGCACAGGGCATGGGAAGGTATACACAGTACCTTTGCACGTTATCATCACACAGGACTCCAACACTCTATTCCAATGACCCAAGGAGAAATAAATATTCAAGGGTGTTTTTTGGTGGGATAGAGAAAATTTGAAGTACCCAGGAGCCCTTTGACTTGTGGCATGACTACAGCATGTTTGCAACCTGATTCTTATATCTTCTTTAGTATTTGCCATTTGGTTTTGCAACTGATAACACCAATTAGAAATTAGAAGGGTGGGCCGAGTGCGGAGGCTCATGCCTGTAATCCTAGCACTTTGAGAAGCCAAGGTGTGCGGATCACCTAGGTCAGGAGTTCGAGACCAGCCTGACCAACCTGGTGAAACCCTGTCTACTAAATACAAAAAATTAGCTGGGCGTGGTGGCACATGCCTGTAATCCCAGCTACTTGGGAGGCTGAGACAGGAGAATTGCTTGAACCTGGGAGGCAGAGGTTGCAGTGAGCTGAGATTGTGCCATTGCACTCCAACCTGGGCAACAAGAGCAAAACTCCATCTCAAAAAAAAAAAAAAAAAGAAAGAAAAGAAAAGGAAAAAAGAAGTTAGAAGGGTGGAGCTTCACTTTAGTGCACAGATGGGGGAATAATGTGATACTTTGGAGATCACTGGATTTGGTCAGCATTTTCCAAACTGGTAACAAAAAGAGATGTTAATTGGTGCTTCACAGCTCTATAGTCAAGTAAGCTTAGAAAATCTGTCCTCAATTCCTTTCTTGGATATTCTTTAGTGTATTGAAGGATATTGCAAAGGAATCTGTTTAATGGCAAGTCAAGTCAATTTCCTTGTGCCAGGGAAGACATTTATTGCAACAGCCCCTGTAGAATTTGGGAAGTCTTTAAACACAGTTTAAATGCGCTGTTACACTTATGTAATTTCATCTATTCCTGTCATACAGGCCAACACCTGATTACCATATATGCCACAGTCACGATCTAATATATCCAGATTTCTAAGAAAATCCAGCCAAAGAATTCTATTCAAGTGCCCTTGTGATTGTTTGCACATAATGCAAACAATGTACTCAATACTACTTTTTTTAATTAGTTCTACTCAATTTTTTAAAAATTGTTTTTTAATTGTCTACTCAATACTAACAAATGCTATTAATTGTCCTACTCAATACTAATAAATACGATTTCAACTTTCAACCAAAAAGGGTCTACATAGACTTTGGGCCTAGAAGAAAAAGATCAGTTGTATCAGTCTAGCAATGAATTAGAAGGTTCAAGGCGCCAATGGGTGGGTTTGCAGGAAAGGTAGAAGGGGAAGGGATCTAAGCACAGGTGGATGGGTGAGCCCTTGCATACCTTGTTCTCGGAGACTAGCAGGAGGGGCTCAGGATGGTTGCACATAAGGATTAGCTTTAAGATGGAGGAGAGGCAGGTTGAAGGAGTTGAGGTGTTAGGTTGAAAGCTTATGCCTTTCTAGTGTCATGGGTGACTAGCTGCATGTTAAGGGTGGATGAAAGGATTCAGGCTGGGAGTGTATGATGAGAATTTGAAACATTTACTATGAAAAATGATGGAAAGGGCCTGAAAAGACAAATATAAGATCACTGAGCAGTACTGAGGGTTCAATGGAAGCTAGAATCCATGAACATATTAAGGATATATTTGTAAGTGACAGCAATTTTCTCCAGTGCTGTTTGGCAACCCAGGGACAGAACTGGAAAGGATAAAAGGCTGGAAGGATGCATTATTAGAGACTGGGGAGAGCAATTAGAACAGGAAAATTGATGAGGATGAAGATGATGCTATTGAAATGATTGTTCATTGGGTACAGAGAAGGTATGGAATAAAGTGAAATCAAGAGAATCCCAGATGAATTTGAAAATGGGTATAAGAAGTTTGAGACTGTGGAAAAGGTAGAAAGGGACAAGGTTGTAATCTGTAGTTTCCTGTGGCTACCATAACAAATTACTGCAAACTAGGTGGCTTAAAACAACCAAAATGCATTATTTCACAGTTCTAGAGGATAGAAGTCTGAGACCAAATTGTTAGCAGGGTTGGTTCCTTCTGACTGCTCTGAGAAGAATCTGCCCTGTGCCTCTCTCCTAGCTTCCGGTGGCTGCTGGTGGCAATCCTAGGTGTTCACGTCTTGTAGACATCTTACTTCACACTCTGCCTTCATCTTCAGGTCACCGTATTTCCTGTGTGACTCTTCTTCCCTTCTCTAACAAGGACACTCGTCATTGGGTTTATGGCCCACTCTAATCCGGGATGATCTCATATGCAAGTCCTTAACTTAATTACATCTGCAAAGACCCTTTTGCCAAATAAGGTCACGTTCAAATGTTCTGGGTGGGCTGGGTGTGGTGGCTACACCGTAATCCCAGCACTTTGGGAGGCCAAGGCAGGTAGATCTCTTGAGCCCAGGAGTTCAAGACCAGCCTAGGCAACATGGTGAAACCCTGTCTCTACAAAAAATACAAAAAATAGCTAGGAGTGGTGGTGAGTGCCTGTAGTCCAAGCTACCTGGGAGTTCTGAGGTGGGAGGATCACCTAAGCCAGGGGAGTTTGAGGCAGCAGTGAGCCCTGATGGCACCACTGTACTCCAGCCTGGGCGACAGCATAAGACTCTGTCACGCACACACACAAAAAACCCCAAAACAGAACAAAGGTTCTGGGCGGACATATCTTTTGGAAGGTCACCATTCAAACCTCTACATAGTTTTAGAGTGAAATTTCTGAGTTAACCATTTCAGAGTTAGGGAAATTGCAATGACATGACCCAACGTATGGCCATGAAAAAGAGTTGGTGAAGGGAAGAGAAAATGGAAATACTTGGAGTGTCAAAGGTCAAAGAACTGCGAGGCCAGGGTATTGGGTGGAGATAGTGATAGGAGCCAGGAAGCAGAAAGCTAAGAACCAGGAGTTGATATTCCAAAGGATGTGAGAATGAATGTTCTGGGGGTTGGTAAATCATAGTGTTAGTGATGCAGGGCAGGCGAGCCTTGGGGAGTTCTTGGCTTTGCCCAGGAAACAATTCAAGGGCAAGCCGGTGTTGTTAGACAAGCAACTTTTATTGAAGCAGCAGTGTACAGCAGAAGCAGAGGCACTGCTCCCTGCAGAGAAGGGCTACCCTACAGGGGTGTTGTATAGGCAGTGTATCCAGTGTAGCAGCTCGGAGGCAGCTCTGCAGTCATATTTATACCCACTTCTAATTACATGCAAATTAAGGGGCAGATTATGCAGAAATTTACCACCCTACAAAAAGGGTGGTAGCTTCCAAGTCATCAGGTTGTTGCCATAGAAAGGGATGGTCACCTCGGGGCGTTGCCATGGCAATGGTAAGCTGACAGGGCACACAGGTGGGCGTGTCTTGTGGAAAGCTGCTTCTTCCCCGCCCTGTTTTAGCTAGTCCTCAATTTGGTCCTGTGTCCAAGCAAGCCCTGCCTCCGGAGTCTAGACCCGCCTCCTACCTCATTAGGATTGGGAAAGGTGTTTCTCAACTCTGCCTTCCCATTAGAATGAGCTGAGGAACTTTATAGAAGTATATCCCTTCCCTGAATATTTTGAATCAGTTGTTCTAGGACAGAGCCCAGACATGTTTATTTAAAAAAGAAAGAAAGAAAGAGAAGAAAGAAAGGAAGGAAGGAAGGAAGGAAGGAAGGGAGGGAGGGAGGGAGGGAGGGAGGGAGGGAGGGCGGAAGGAAGGAAGGGACTTCTCGGGTAGTTCTAACGCGCAGCCAGGATTAAGAAAAATGCACGTAAGGGTCAACTATGACCTTCATCAAGAAGTAGCGGTTGGGAACCAGGGATGCTCCCGTCCATCAAGGCCTGAATGAGATGCTCCTGGGAAAGAGACTTCAGTGCTTCCTCCCACATCCCTTAAGGTCTCAAGCAGAGCCAGGAAATTAAAAAGCAAGGGAAAGAGAGGTTACATAGCCTGACTCCTGACTGAGGTCCCAAGCAGCCTGGAGTTCTGTGCTTGTTCAAGCCTACACAAAGGATGTATTTCAAATGTTTTTCAGCAGAAGACGTCAGAACTCATATCTAAAACAGTTGCTATTCCTGCAAGACAAGACTTTTTCCCCAAAAAAAGATTTTCTTAATATATTTGGAGAAATATCTTTTGCCAGAACAATATTCAGTGGCTTACTTTGTAATTTTTGAATATGTAATAAATGCATTAAAATTTTCAAGCAGCTTAAAAGGTTATACAATAAAAAGTAATTCTTAGCCAGGTGCAGTGGCTTGTGCCTATGGTCCCAGCACTTTGAGAAACCAAGGCAGGAGGATCACTTGAAGCTTGGAGTTTGAGACCAGCCAGGGCAACATAGTGAGACCCTATCTCTACAAAAAATACAAAAAATAAGCCAGGCATGGTGGCTTACACCTGTAATCCCAGCTGCTCAGGAGGCTGAGGCAGGAGAATCACTTAAGCCCAGGAGTTCAAGACCACCCTGGGCAACACAGTGAGACCCCATCTCTACAAAAATTATTAAGAATCAGCCAGGAGTGGTGGCATGAGCCTGTAGTCCCGGCTTCTTGAGAGATTGAGGTGAGAGGATCAATGGAGCCTGGAGTTCGAGGCTTCAGTGAGCCATGATTGTAACTCTGCACTGCACCTTGGGAGACAGAGTGAAGTGAGACCCTGTCTCTTAAAAAAAAAAAAAGCAATTCTCATTTATCCCTCATCTTCTAATTCTGCACTCACCTCAAGTTTCCTCCCTAGAAGCAACCACTTTTATTGGTAACTTATTTATCCTTCTTAAGATATACAAGCTGTATCTTGCCTGTTTTCATTTAACACTGTATGTTGGAAATCATTCCATATTAATGCATACAGATCTACCTAACCCTATTAATTGGCTATTCCACAATTTATTTAGCTCACTGTGATGGATGTTTAGATTGTTTCCAGGCTTGAAGCAAACAGGTTAAAAATTAAATAAGAAAAAAAGCCTGTAATCCCAGCACTTTGGGAGGTTGAGGTGGGAGGATTGCTTGAGCCCAGGTGTTCGAGACTAGCCTGGCAACATAATGAGACCCTGCTCTACAAAAAATAGAAAAACTTAGCCAGGCATGATGGCACACACCTGTAGTCCCAGCTACTTGGGAGGCTGAGATGGGAAGATGGGAAGATGGGAAGATGGGAAGATGGGAAGATAGCCTGATCCCAGGAGTTGGAAGCTGCAGTGAGCTGTGATTGTACCACTGCATTTCAGCCTGGGCGACAGAGTGAGACCTTGTCTCAAAAAAAAAAAAAAAAAAAAAAAAAAAAGAGAAGAAAAGAAAATCAACAAGATTTAAAGTGAGTACCTCACCAGGTGAAAGCTTTGAGTGGAACAGAGGCCAGGAGGAGGATGCAACAGGCCCCTGGGTGGAAGGGCTGATGTAGCTGGGCCTGAGGCCTGGCCCCAGGGAAACCTATTTGATGATGTATTCCTTCTGCCCACACAGGAGCCTGATGCCCAGGACCCTCGAGAGCCAGATCACGCTGGAGAAGACGCCCAGCTACTTTGTCACTCAAGAGGCTCCTCGACGCATCTTCAACATGTCCCGAGACACCAAGCTGATCGTGGTTGTGCGGAACCCTGTGACCCGTGCCATCTCTGATTACACGCAGACACTCTCCAAGAAGCCCGACATCCCGACCTTTGAGGGCCTCTCCTTCCGCAACCGCACCCTGGGCCTGGTGGACGTGTCATGGAACGCCATCCGCATCGGCATGTACGTGCTGCACCTGGAGAGCTGGCTGCAGTACTTCCCGCTAGCTCAGATTCACTTCGTCAGTGGCGAGCGACTCATCACTGACCCGGCCGGCGAGATGGGGCGAGTCCAGGACTTCCTGGGCATTAAGAGATTCATCACGGACAAGCACTTCTATTTCAACAAGACCAAAGGATTCCCTTGCTTGAAAAAAACAGAATCGAGCCTCCTGCCTCGATGCTTGGGCAAATCAAAAGGGAGAACTCATGTACAGATTGATCCTGAAGTGATAGACCAGCTCCGAGAATTTTATAGACCGTATAATATCAAATTTTATGAAACCGTTGGGCAGGACTTCAGGTGGGAATAAGCCCACGAAAGGAAAGGGCTCTCAAGGGCTCTTCTGCTCATCTCTTCCGTGAGATTTGCTCCCAGACCCTCTGATCTCCCTCCAACAAACCCTGGCTCCAGCCCCCTTTCCCAACTTGAGTTGCATCATCTTGGAACCAGGAAGCCCAGCTAAAGCCAAGAGACCAGAGAGTCCCTGCCACTAGTTTTCATCAGTCTGTTCAAGCAAAGTTGATCTGCTCCTGGCACGTCCAGTAAATTCCAGAATCATTCTCCTTTCTGCCCATAAAGGGCCTTGGAGAATTGCTTTAAGAAGAGTGAATGTTCCAATGATGATAGATATTATAAGCGATGATGGTTCTGTTGCTATGAACACAGCAGTCGGTCCCTGTCATTGTCCACCCAGGAGTGGCCTTGTTAATTCCAAGTGGCATGTATCTTCCCTCTGAGCTTCATTTCTTCAAGATGCTCTGGGTGGTGGGATGGGAGACCATCCTCAGCCCTCCTCAGACCTTATCAATTCATTGAGAGATTGCAAAGCTGAAAGCACCTCCGGCCACTCCTGGGAGACAGACCCTTTGGTGATGAAATAAACCAGTGACTTCAGAGCCTATGGTCTCAACTGTGCTTGAAAAACACTGTCTCTGAAAACAACTTTGTGATTCTCCCTGCTCCCTGTGGACAAAAGCACATAATTCTGCTGTTACGGGTACTTTGCTCATACGAGCTTTCATGTTCAGCATGCAATGGAATCATGCTTGTCCATGTGAAATAAATATGGCTCTCTCGTGTCCTTAATGCTGGGCTTTTCTCTGTAAGCTGGTTCTGCAGCACAATTCATTAATTAAACTTCTCCCAGTGCAAGAAGGCAGCTGGTGCTGGGGGTGGTCTGGGGGGTCAGGGAGGAGGGCAAGGACTACATGGGGCAGAGGCAAGGCGGTGGTGGAGATGAGGAAAGAAGTTCTTCTTGGCAGAAGCTGGGGCAGAAAGATCACATGAGATCTGTGGGGACACCCTCTATCTGAAACATAAGTCTGTGTTCATTCTCTGCTTAGAAATTTTAGATCTGAAGTGCTACACTGAAGGTCCGAAGGTTGATGGGGCATCAGATATCTTTTTGGTTGGCCAGCATGATATTTTGAAATAACTGTCAACAGTTAGAAACTGGGAGCATTCATATGTAAAAAATATGGATTTTCAGCTTCTTCTTAAAAAAAAAAAAAAAACAAGAGAGACTTGGCTACACTGAGCCTGCCCTGCAGCATGGCAACAATTGGCTGCTGCCTTTGGATGGGGCCTGCGCTCCCCAGTTTTACAACTCCCCATGTAGGCACCCTCCCTTGCTGATTTGTGCCATTTGCCAGGCTCCTGTAGGCATTTGAGTTCCCAGCCCTGCCTTGACTGTGTCTCATAACTTCCTGTAAAGCCCAAATCCTCCCGCATGGCACCCAAGATGACCCCAACTTACAGTTTCTCCTTCATCCTCTGCTCTAACCTTACAGAATGATGTGCCTTTTCTTGAGTTTTTCAAGTCTCCTTCACCTGGAATGCTTCCTTCCTTCACCTGGAATGCTTTCTTCCCTGACACGTCTCCAGCTAATGGAAACCCATGCTCCCAGTAAGACTTCACTCAAGTGTCGTTTGCTTGATATTTTTGAAGCCTTCTCCAGCTAAGCTATCTGCTCACTCTTCTGTTCACTTGGGAGCTTGTACATGACTCAATGGCAGCTTTTGTCACACTAGATTATAATTATTTGTGTAAATGTCTGCCTCCATCATAGATTTGAACTCCTCGAGAGTCAGGACTGTATCTTGCTAAGTTGTAGTAGGCACATAGCAGATGTCTGATGGTTGAATGTGTGAGAGGGTGGATGGATGTTGGAAGTCTGGGTTCGTGGATGAGGGTGTCCCAAGGAACTGCATTTCTGGGGGATGCTTCCCAGATACCTCCATGTGTCCATAGGAAGCAAGGAAGGATTGCTGAACATCTGGGGACTGCTTGGATTTTGTGTGCTCTGTCAGGCACAGTAGAAACTCCCTGAAGATCAGATTGACTTATAAGGGTGGAAGACACTAAAGTGTAATACAACAATTCTGCATCATGGCCCATCTTCCTTACCCAAGCATCTTACATGGAATCAAATGACTGGATCCATGGCATCAAGAAATCAGTTCTGCAGGTCTGCCTCTGTGCTTCCCCTGTGGATCTGGAGAAGTGACAGGGTAGAAGCCGTTCCTGCTTTGAAGTTGGGGCCCTGGCCGTCTGGTGATCAGAAAAAGGGCAGATTGTATATGTGCATTAATTAATTGCCCTTATACATTTCCCATCCAGAAGTATTTGGTGTTCTGTAACTCTGGGCCTTATAGGGGCCAAAGCCATATCCAATGGGAGACAGAAGTGCATTGAGACACAAAGGAATCACCTAAGAAAGAGTCAATGAAATTTGCTTGTTTATTCTGAAGAGATCAGTCAGAATTCATGAAAATTTTGAATTTTTCAATTTTTTGCACATAAATGCAGCTTTATTCCTTCGCATGACAAGCACATTCAGACTGCCCGGACTAAGTAAATTTCAAGTATTAATGAATAGGTATGAGTCTCTTGTAATTAGCATCTCAATCATTGTGTGCAAATGAAAGATGCTTAAAAATCCTAGTTTAAATGAGTAAAATCTGGAGTACATGAATCTGCTCAGCAAACTCTGATTTTTTTAATCCAGTGCAAATGGACCCTTTTACCCAGGCTGCCCCAGGGCAAACTTGCACAAGTTCCAAATTAGTATGCTTTAAATAGATGAAGTTTGAGTGTTCAATCTGAACTAGAAAGGCTCCTCAGGGTGTGTGTGTGTGTGTTTGGTTAGGTTGCTGAAACAGACACAAAATGGCAGTGTCTTAAAAGACTGAAATGTATTTCTCTCTTACTAACAGCCCAGAGTGGACGGCAGTTCCATGACACCAGAGACTGGAGACCCTTGCATCCTACTACATCTGCATTCCACTCAGCAGGAAGAGGGTGTAGAAATAAATGAAGACTATCCAAAAGAGAGCAAGCAGAGGTCATTGATTCAGAGCTTGCCCTAGCAAAGAGTCTTGCATTTGGCAGAAACTCACAGGCTGGCAGAACAGTGAAAAAGGTTCACACTGGAAAAGAGAGAAGGCTTCAGGGGTGCCTGATTGGAGGTAGTTGGCGTAGGAAAGCTGGAAGTGGGCTCATTAGAAGTGGGGCATCCGGCTGGGTGCAGCAGCTCACACCTATAATCCCAGCACTTTGGGAGGCTAAGGCTGGCAGATCCCTTGAGCCTAGGAGTGCGAGACCAGCCTGGGCAACATGGCAAAACCCTGTCTCTATGAAAAAAAAACAAAAGAAAAGAAAAAATAGCTGGGCATTGTGCTACACTCCTGTAATCCCAGCTACTCCGGAGGCTGAAGCGGGATGATCACCTGAGCCCAAGGAGGTTGAGGCTGCAGTGAGCTGTGATCACACCACTGCACTGTACCCTGGACATCTAAAAAAACAAAAACAAAAACAAAAAAAAGGAAAAAACAAAACAAACAAAAAACAAAACAAACAAACAAAAAACGGGCATCTTATGTGATTGATTCAGAGGCATATGTGACTTTCTGTAGTTGATCCTGAGTTGGAAGCAGGGACAAAAAATGGAGAAGCTGGCAGTTATTGACCAAGTCTTGCCCATTCTGGGCCAGTTGCTGCAGGGATTGTGGTCTGGCTTCCCAAGCAGGTTGCTGAAGAGGTTGTGGGTCAGAGTTCTATTGCCATTGTTCGTTGGTACATTCAGTCTCTTAGGAGGAAAAATGGGCCCAGGAAGAACATGCCTTTTCCTTTTGAGGTTGTAACATCATTTCTACTCTCAGCATCTTCATATTGTGAATTGTGCCTCCTATGGTTGTGCAAAGGTAGTGGTACCACTTTGACTTACATCCTCTTGGGTAGAACATAGTTATTTGGTCACACTTAGATGTGAGGGAAGCTGGGAAATGTAATCTTTAATCTGGGTGTTACTATGCTGAGCTAAAAATAGGATATTCTGTAAAAGAAGGGGAGAACAGATATTGAGGGATATCTAGCTGTCTTGGCCACAGAACCTTTTCCACATAGCAAAGCCTCCAGGTGCTTCTGGTTCTCTCTGTGGCTTTGTGTCAATATGTGAGTATGCTTCTCCACACATATTGGAATGTGTCTGTACCTGTTTCAGCCCCTGCTTTCTTTCCCCTGCCTCTGTCTAGGGACAATATGGTATAGAAGCAAGCACAATTTGCTCAGACCCAATAGGTCCAAGTTTGAATCCCACCTCTGTTATTCCCTAGCTACATGACCTTGGGGAAATTATTTAACTTCTTTGAGCCAATTTTATCATCAGTAAATTGGGACATAAATTTGTACCCATGATAAGGGGTTTTTGTTGTGAAGATTAAGCAAGAAAACACTTGCCTCACACAGAGTAGGCAGTCCATTCATATTCCCTTTATTCCTGGCAGTGGAATCCACCACTGCTCCAATACTCCTGTTGGCTGAGATCAGCTGCATCTCTAACAGAACTACAGAATTGCTCATAGCAATTTCCTTCTTCCTATGAATGGGTGAATTAAATCACTTTCACAACCCAGGATCAAGTGGCTCAGTCTAAATGCTGAGCTCCAGATTCTCTGGCCAAATAAACCTAATACCTATGCCCCCTAAGGTAAGGTGCTCATTCACTCTGATTTTCCCAGTTCAGGCCCAGTTTATACCTGTTGTCCTGGCGTAATTATCAACATTGCCTCTTCGCTCTCAACCATGCCCCACTTGGGATGGTAAATCTCTGGGTGTCCTTATTGTCCCTAAACTCTGACACCAACTTATTCCTCCTAAAGGGCTAATCTTCAAGATTTCATGGCCATCTCTTTCTTATCATCCAGTTCTCAGCTCAAATATCTACCCAAAACTTGCCCTTCGTCTTCCCCAGTCACTCTCTATCTTGCAATTCTTATGTCTATTATAGCATTTATCACTATCTGACATTATATATTAGTTTACTTGTTTGATATCTGTTTCCTCTAGAGGTCTGGGAGCTACATGAGAGTGGGGATTGTGCCCATGTTTTTCAGCATAGTGCCTGAAAATTAAGCATAATTATTAAGCATAAATACTTAATAATTATTTGAGTACATGAATGAACTTCTGGGGCTCTCTAACCTGAATGTTAGCCTTTTTGATCATTGCTTAACCACAAGAATAGACCCTGTTCCTCGGCTCTATTTTCTGCCTGAGATCCCTCAGGTCTCTTGGGATCTTTATTGCCATCATTAGCCTTTGTGAGAGTTAGAAAAAGGCACTCCTCATTGGCAGATAAATGAGAAAAGGTGCGTCTTTGGGGTGGACACAGTGTTTTGAGTATACAGCATGGCGAATGGAGTACAGATTGGATATCAGCCCCCACTCTGCCCCCCAACCCCCAGGTGGCATCTTTTTGTAAGGCACAAACTGCAGTCTTGCATGGCAGCCTTGTCTGCAGTTCCTCCCCATTCACTGGGATTCCATGTCCCTGAATGCTCCAGAAATTAGCACTGGATACTTCTGCCTTTGGACATCCAAGACTCTTTCTATTTTTCTAGCTCTGCCTTTCAGGAGCTTCTCCAATTCTGCTGGTATCCTGATCCTTAGTGATTCCTCATACTCCACATTCAGTCCTTTTGGTATGCACATGTGTGTCTCTCCATGGATGCATACTTATGTGTGGGTTTGTGTCTTCTTTTGTGTATGTGTCTCTTTATTATATCCTCATAAACACTTATTAACACTCAAAACTATTCAACAAAAATTTACTGAATGTGTGCAAAAGGGGAGTACAGATGTAATGACAGCTAACATTTATTCAGTGCTTTTTGTATGCCAGCGATTGTGTTTTCCGTATCTTATAATAACTCTGTAAGGCAAGTACTATTTCAAAGTGTAGCAAAAGTAAAAGCACTGGTTGTGGTGGTTAAGAGCATGGATGCCTAAGTTCTAACCCTAGCTTACTACTCTCTTACTCTGGGATCTTAGGCAAGTTATTTTATGTTCTTGTACCAGTTTCCCCATCTATAAAACAGGGGTATTAAGAATTGTACCAATATCATAATGGTTTCATGAGGATTCAACAAATTTAATTCATATGAAGTGTTTGGAATCACACTCAAACGTGATAGCTGATATTGATGCTCTCTTCATTTTGAGATGAGAAAAGTAAGGCTTAAAAAAAGTAAAGAAAATGTCTAAAGTTCTCACACCTGGTAGAGCCAGGAGTCAAATCAGGCTCTAGTCTCAAGGCCACACCCTTGATTGCCACAGTATGAGCACTATCCTGGAGCAAGTCACATAGGAGACACATGAGACAGTGAGCAAAGTGCTATAATTGAAGCAATGCAAGAATTTAAGGTCATATAAACGAGGAGAACAACACAGAATCAGCAAGAACTTCATGAAGAAGGCCATGGAGCACCTTCCTACTCTTCTCCCACTTATGATAAATCTCTTAACCTCTTAGATGAAGTTCAGCTTGTTACCCACACAATGGATGAGTTTGGTAGCTTGGCCAGTGACAGCCCAATGACCACAACCAAGAGGGGTTTAACAAGGTGGTTTTTATTACTTGCAACAAGTACAAAGAACACCAGGGATAGTTTCCAAAGCAGTGGCCCCTTGAGCTGGGGCTGGGTCAGGTTTTATAAGCATAGGGTAATGAGGTGCAATCTGATTGGATCTTGAAATGAAGTGATGTCAGGAGGCCTGATCTGACTGGGTCCTGCCATGAGGTGACAGCAGAGCCTGATCTGATTGGATTCTGGATCCTGCCGTGTGATACCTGCTTCTCCATTCAGTCCCCACTCCTTGGTCTGAGCACTTAGGGTGCCCCCAGAAGTTGCAAGCTTGGTTCATCTGAGCATGCTTAGGTTACATGAGCAGAGGGTTTGTGGCAGCTGAGAAACAATTGACAACTTTGTTACATAAAAGTTGAACCAAATTGTTCATTGGACAGGCTTGCCCCAGAGGGACAATGAGGTTATAATTTTTCCTTAAACTTGATGAAGAACCTACTAGATGAATTTTTAAAAATGAGTAATTGATGGGATTTAATTCTTTTAACCTTAAACACTTAGGTGTACTTGCCAGGCTCCAGAGACGCACAGTTATATTGGCCTTCCTTCCTGCACCCCCATGGAGCCCCCAAACTAATGAGAATTAGAGTTGTATAAACAAATAATTACTATATAATGTAATAAGTGGAATCTATATGATGAAGGGCACAGAGAAGAGAATGGAGACTTTCCTGGTGAAAATCGGGACAGGAGGAGGTGACAGTGGAGCCCTGTCTTAAAGAATGAGAGGAATCTTCATCTTTTGGAAGAGTGTTACATGCCAGTCTGAAAAGCATCTGGAGGCATGATTGTTTTAGGTGGGGGAAATTGGGACCAAGACTTAAGGCCACTGGGCTAAATTCTGGTCACAGGATTTGGCCCCGGACCCATCTACACCATATCCCAGTCCAGGGAATACGCTCAGCTTTCCCATAGATTCAAGGTGGATCTCACACCTGCCTACCTATGCTAGGGGCAGAAATACAAACCCACCTTTCCCAGGATAAGATGGGCTGCTGGTCTCCTTCCTGTTTAGTCCCCTTCCTAGGTAGACATACGCAATCTCCTCACCCTCTCACCCCACCTCCCAATGTTCAGCACCAGAGATCTGAAAAATCAACTTAGGTCAATAAATAGTTGTCTCAGTGGGGCTCCTCACATTGTGACAATGAACTTTGCCTTTAGTTTTCTGGTAAATACTGAGAACATGTTGATTTTATCATTTGGGGGGAAAAAGCAAGCCCCCCCCAAACAACTTATAACACATTTTATTCCATTTTTCTAGTGTGAAATGAAAATATGAATGTGCCTTCTAGGAACTGTATTCCTAACTGCTTTTTATTGACAACAGTGGCTTAAATAAATCAGCAATTTAGTCTCTCAAATCAAAGAAGTCTGGAGTCGGACAGTTAAGAAGTGGTGCAGCAGCTCCATTATGTTATCAGGGACTCAGCCTCCTTTTATCTTTCTGCCACACCATCCTTATTCCATGGTTTCCATCCTCATGGTCCAAAATGGCTGCTGGGGCTCCAACCATCATATCTATGTTCTAGTCAGAAAGAAAAGGAAAAGAAAGAAGTTACTCCTTCTAATTAAATCAATCCCCCTTGAGGATATTTCCCAGAAATTCTACCCGGTAACTTCTTTCTTCCTTTTTTTTTTTTGTTTGTTTTTTGAGACGGAGTCTATCTGTTGTTGCTCAGGCTGGAGTGCAATGGCATGATGTCAGCTCACTACAACCTCCACCTCTGGGGTTCAAGCAGTTCTCCTGTCTCAGCCTCCTAAGTAGCTGGGATTACAAGTCAGCGCCACCACACCAGGCTAACTTTTGTATTTTTTGTAGAGATGGAGTTTCACCATCTTGGCCAGGCTGGTCTCGAACTCCTGACCTCAGGTGATCCACCTGCCTCGGCCTCCCAAAGTGTTGGGATTACAGGCGTGAGCCACCACACCTGGCCCAGTAACTTATATGTACATCTTTTTGGCCACCTCTAACTGCAGAGGAGACCAGAAAATGTAATCTCTTAGCTGAAAACATTGCTTCCCTGACAACCGAGAATTGCAGTTTCTGCTAAGGAAGAAGGAGAGAATGAAGACTGGGAAAAAATTTAACAATCTGTGTTACAATGAAATTTCAACTATCTGAAAAAGCTGTGTCTTAGCTTACCAACATTTTCCAACCAATCTTCAAAATGACTCCAGCCCTCCCACATTAGAGACCTCCAATTTGTCTCACTATCCCTTCCACTTGACTTCTCAAGGCAAATGCCCTCAGCACCAACTTCTCCCTGCCTTTATCTCCAGCTAATAAAATGGCTCTCTGAGGGAGTATCAGGGGAAGGAAAGACATCTGATTTGCAGCACCTGCCAATTTCCCTGGTGTACATACACTCACCTGGACCAATTTCAAGCTACCAAAGTGACATCACTGCATGCAAATTAGGAAGAGACAAGCACAATCAGCTCTCGGGAGACAGAACTAGCAAGCTCAGGCACACCACTCTCCCTGCTTCCCGTAGCCAGGGAACACCTGAGAGAATACATCGAGGCCCTGGAGTTTCCTTATGCACTTGTGTGCCTGGTGCCTGGATTTAGCCTGAGCTCTGGGCACTGGACCAAACACATTTTCAACACCTCTGAAACGAATCAGATTGCATTTCATCTGATGATGCAATGGAGTCATCTCATAAAGCATTTAACTCACCTAAATCCAATCCTATTCTATCGAACTGAGAAAAAAGAGATGACTTAAATAGTATAAGCAATTTTACCTGCTATCTTGTTCATGAACATATACTGCAGAATAACCATGAGAAGGGAGGCATAGATCTTTTGTCCTTTCAATGTCGGCATACCCTTCACAGTGTGAGCATTTTTCCCTACTAATTGTGATTCTAATGTTAGTTATTATTTATTTTTTATCCTCCATGGTCCCTAAATGCAAGCCACCTACTTCCTCTGACCAACTGAATAGACAGAAATGTGCAGCAATGATGGAAGGCAGTATGGTTTGAGTGTTTGTCCTCTGCAAAATTCATGTTGAAGCTAAATCCCTAATACAACAGTGTTAAAAGGTGGAGCTTTGGGGAGGTTTGGCTCCACCAAAGCTCCACGAGGGCTCCACCCTCAGGGATGGGATTAGCACTCTTATAAAAAGGGCTTGAGGGAGTGGGTTTGGCCCCTTTTGGCCCTTCCATCCCTTCCGCCGTGTGAGGACACAGCGTTCAGGGCGCCATCTTGGAAAAGACCAGGCTCTCACCAGAAACTAAATCTGTCAACACCTTGATCTTGAATTTCCCAGCCTTCAGAACTGTGAGAAAGACATTTCTATTATTTATAAATTGTCAGGTCTGTGGTATTTTGTATAGCAGCCCAAACACACAGTAGGTAAAACTGGTAAAGTTGGACTGAGGGGATTTCTCAAGGCGATTTTGCTTCCGTGCCTTTGTGGTCTGACCTGTTCACTCCGGAACCCCAAAGCTGAGTAAGATGCTGCTCCGCTTTCTATGTCCCCCACCGTGGCATCTGCTGAGTACAGAGCACACTCAGACTGCAGGAAAAGGGACCAGATGGTAATGAAAGGTGGTAAGAGAAGAGCCAGGGAGGATGGAAGGGCTTCTAGCAACTTCTTAATTCTTACATCAGTGCCGGGCACGGTGGCTCACGCCTGCAATCCCAGCACTTTGGGAGACCCAGGCGGGCGGATAATGAGTTCAGGAGATCAAGACCATCCTGGCTAACACAGTGTGAAACCCCGTCTCTACTTAAAATACAAAAAATTAGCAGAGCGTAGTGGCGGGTGCCTGTAGTCCCAGCTACTCGGGAGGCTGAGGCAGGAGAATGGCGGGAACCCGGGAGGCAGAGCTTGCAGTGAGCCGAGATCGCTCCACTGCACTCCAGCCTGGGCAACAGAGCGAGACTCCGTCTCAAAAAAAAAAAAAATTCTTACATCAGGCTTTTTCCTACATGCTGCTAGGGGCACGTGGTTTGTGCCCCTTTCTCATGCAACACAGTGTTTGATGGAAATGCACCCAGTAGGCATGTGTGTGACTGATGTTTATTTTACTCCCACAAGCCTTGAAAAAGTGGAGATGAGTTTGTGTGACTGACGTGTGTCTGGCTGATCCACATCTGACCAGAACATGATTGACTACACACGGCTGATTAGATCGTGGCTGACTGACACATGCTTAATGGATAGCGCCCACCCCAGCACACCTCAGTCTGCAGCTTGTCTGTGGAGTTCCAGTCAGTTGACATATGCTCAGCCTTGCAGTGGGGCTAGCATCTTGCCATCTATTGATGGGCCTGCTATCCTGCCCTCAGGCTTCTAGGAAGGGACTCTGTTCCTCTCCAGGCCTAGAGGCAAGGATATATTTATAGCTTGACTGTAGCTGCAGCTCAGCCCCTGACCTAGCTGCCCTTCCACGCTGGGCGTTTTGCTGCGTCGCAGATCAGCATGGGCTCTGCAGCTCACTGTACTCAGATGAACCTGGCCCTCATGGGGTAGAGTTCCAGGGTCCTCACTGTGGCTTTAAGGGCAATTCACGCCACTGTCAGAGTCCCAGATCCTTTTCCAAAAGCTGTAGCCATTCAAGCCCTTGGGCAGAGGCATAGCAAGGAGCTTCTGGGTAATAAGAAGAAACAAAGATAACAGAGGCTAAGTACTTAGGGCACGAAAGTATTTTATACAGGACTTCAATTTTCCTCCTGCCTTTGAATAATTGTAACATGACTTGTATATTGGCTCAAGGAAATAAAGTCCTTTCATATACTTTATATCATTTAGTATTTGTAATAACAAAGATTTTTATTCCCATTCTGCAGAGGGAAGAAATTGAATCCCATGAGTTTTTTTTAGAAGTGACTTGTCTGAGGTTACATAGCCAGCTCAAATCAACAACTTCTAACTCTAATTTCTTATCTTTATGAGGAAAAGATTTATGCTGCAACAGTAAAATTTAAATTGTCTTTTAAGAAGAACTTGCCATCAGCAAATTTGTTAGACCTGGGAGTAGAGAACAGATGTACATTGTCTTTTTCCTACTGTTCATTAAGTCCAGTATATTATTAACTGAGAAGAGGAGCTCATACTAAGAAATTAGACACAAATCCTGGTGCTCTGTTTGTAGCAACAAGAACAAGCAGACAGGGGTATAGAATGGGAACGTGACCAAGCCTGCTCTCCAAAACTAAGCTGACATGTGGGGGGTGGAGTTGCTACAGGGGTCAACACAAAATTCCAGACAAAAAGTTAAGTAATTTTAAATTCAACCCGTCAGAGTAACTAAAATAAATGAGACATTACAAGCAGATGGCTATCTCATCTAAACTTCTAAAAGTTTATATTATGTTAAGACGTATGAAATAGCTACTTTTGTAAGTCAAAACAGCTAAGTATTGGCAATTTCATGTGGAATCAAGAGGGAGGTAGAATCATACAAAGAAATACTATAGTGAGAAAAGCTCTCTGATGATTGAGCTCAAACATAGATGTGAGTTTCCTAACAGTAAAAGCAAAGAGAAAACTGATGGGTGATGTGTCTCTTATGATATCATATGGTCTAATGAAGTGAGCTCCAAGGAGACAGGGCTCATTTCCTCTTTATATAAGAGATGCTGGTCAACATAATGGATCCTCTATAATTATTTTTACAGGAAATCCTAGGATAATCCTCATATTGCTATTTTCTATATAAACCCTAATGATAAGTATGAATTAGAAAGCATATGACATAATGGTTCTATTAGGGTGATTCTATGTGGGATCAAGGTGATATAGTGCAAGAACTGCGAATTATAGGTGGTATGGATTGATAGAGTGAGAAAGTCTGTAGAATTCCAAGAGGTGAATAATGATGATCTTATTCTTCCTAGACCCTCCGCCATTTGATTTTGGCATTAGCTGGAGGCAAACAATTCACCACTAATGTCACTGGTGAGTGTATGAAAGACAAGTATTCTATGACATCGTATGAAAGAAGATCTATCTGTTAAAAAAATTGGGCAAATAGTCCACAGACATTATAATTTCTAGTTATATAATCATAATTGAAATATGAAATCACTTCACGTCTTGCTGGTTAAGATGACCCTACAACAGACTGTGTACATCCAATATTTCCATGCCACCGAGAGTCAAGAGCCAAGAGTTTGTCTCCCAAAATGTTCTCAGTTAATTAAAAAATTCAACAAGCACTCCGCTGAATCTCCAAAATGCCATCATGGCCTTAGCCATAAAGATTCTAAGGTCAGAAACTTCCAAGGTGCCACTTTCACCTTGTAGCATAAATGCCTGCCCCCACTAATGTGATCCACCATTTTCCCAATGTTATTTTTTAAAGTGTTCTGCCAATTTGAGTTTGTAAAGTTGAACCACATGAAATTGCCAATACTTAGCTCTTTTGACTTACAAAAGTAGCAACTTCATACGTTTCAACATAATATAAACTTTTAGAAATTTAGATGAGATAGCCATCTGCTTGTAATGTCTCATTTATTTTAGTTACTCTGACGGATTGTATTTAAAATTACATTAATATATGAATTTAAAATACTGCTTTTCCCCTCAAATCTTATGAAATGTTATTATTTACATGTTCATTAATCTTTGACATCAGGATCTTGTTTTGCATTGTCTAACAGCTGTCTGGGAAGCCCCAGTTTTCAAATCCATGTATGGTGACACCAGGGAAATTTTCTCCCAGCCCCATGCACCCATTCCCAAGACGTTAGGACAGTTGACCTATCTGGTGTTTGGTCAGGAAGGGGTGGAGTCATGATCCCAGCAGTTTTTTTTGTTTTTAAGTGATTTGTCTGAGGTTACACAGCCAGAACCCAAATCAACAACTTAAAACTCTAATTTCTTATCTTTACGAGGAAAAGACTTATGCTGCAACACTAAAATTTAAATTGTCTTTTAAGAACTTTCCATCAGCAAAGCTTGTTAGACCTGGGAATAAAGAACAGATACACGTTGTCTTTTTTTTTAGTCACTTCACATCTGGCTGGTTCAAATGACCTTCCAGCACATTGTTTACATCCAACACTTGCACTGTGAGTTCACATCACCAAGAATAAGCACTAAATCTGTGTTAAATTTCTTTGCCTTCTCTGTTACCAAGTCCATCCGGTGACCTATATAAACATTCCAAATTAGCATTAAGTCAGCTCATATGAGACTGTACAAACAGTACTTCACGGTTCAAAAGAAAGTAGAGAATGCCTTTTAATATACAGACTTTATAAGGACTCAAATATAGGATGGCTCCATCTTTTCTGAGGGGCTTTTTTAGTGGGGGCAGCTGTCATACCTTATTTAAGTATGCTTGCAGAGGGCTTTTGATTTTGAGTTCAAATGTATAGCAGTCAACCTTTCAGGGAAAATTGGCAGCAACGTGGCCCCCAGGTAACAGAGTGAATGAACCTCTGGGGTAGAATAATTTAATGTCATCATGTGGATGCCAAGATTTTTCTGCCAAATCCATGTTTTCTTTTTGGCATCAGTCACATTTAGCTAATTCTGCCTGGCACCATTTAGTCAATAGGTTTGGCTGTATCACGTTGCCTCCTGGAAACTGTGACTATAACGTTGACATGTAATGGATAAAAGGAAACTGGTGTCCCTGTTTGCTATGGTGGTAGGACATGTTTCTAGTTCATCTAAAAACTGCATCAAATTGTTGAAGGATACAGTCTCATTTCATGCCATTTAAAGGTAGAATTTGGTATCCTACCCACTTAGATTCTCTCAGTGAATTTTTAAAAAGAGAGAGACAGAAAGAGAGAATTAAAAGCCTTGGATCAATACTATTAAGATCATATGACTTGACCCATAAATGATTTATGTATGTGAAATCAAGGCCAATAATATGTCAGGGGTCGTAGTTTATTTGTTCTAACCACTCTATTGAGTGAAACCAAATCAAACCATGATCAGTGGTTGAAGAACTAAACTAAAGCCTTCTGTTCCTTTTCTGTCCCTTGTGGAAAACATTAGGACAAGTGACCCTGGTCTTCAGTTTATGAAGATGAAATGTGGCATTGAGATTTCAGGGAATAGTCAGTGGGCCAGTATTTCCCAAACTTTGGACATTTGAGCATCATCTTTACAATTTTGCCATATCCTCATACTACGTGTACTATTATAACCTTAATCTTCATTTAAGTTATCTCCATTTTATTTACTTCATTTAAAAAGGAGAACTTATGTTCCTATAATAAATAGAAAATCAGTTCCACTAATCCTAATTCATTAAAATACAAAAGCAGCCGGGAGCAGTGGCTTATACCTGTAATCCCAGCACTTTGGGAGACCAAGGTGGGTGGATTGCTTGATCCCAGAAGTTCGAGACCAGCCTGGGCAACATAGTGAGACCCTGTCTCTACAAAACAAAACAAAACAAAACAAGCCCCACAAAATTAGCTGAGTTTGGTGGCATATACATACATTCCCAGCTACTCGGGAGGCTGAGGCAGGACTATTATAAATGAAAAATCAGTTCCACTAACTCTAATTCATTAAAATACAAAAGCAGCCAGGTGCTGTGGCTCAGGCCTGTAATCCCAGAACTTTGGGAGGCCAAGGAGGGTGGATCGCTTGAGCCCAAGAGTTTAAGACCAGCCTGAGCAACATAGTGAGACCCTGTCTCTGCAAACAAACAAAGAAAACACACAAAAAAGCAAAATTAGCTGGGTGTGGTGGCATGCACCTGTGGTCCCAGCTACTCAGGAGGCTCAGGCAGGAGGATCACTTGAGCCCAGGAGGTTGAGGCTGCAGTGAGCTGTAATCACACCACTGCACTCCAGCCTGGGTGACAGAGATCCTGTCTCTAAACAAATGAATGAAATGAAATAAAATAAAATAAAATACAAAAGCATAACTATTACTATAAGGGAATACCTTCCCACATTCATCTGGTTTCAAGAGAAGGGGTTTTCACAAAACACTCCTAGACTTTGCTTAGTCCTTCTCCTCACAAAATTTATCTGGTTGGTGGGTGCAGTCATTGGTCATTTCCTGGTTGGGTGGAGATAATTTATCATAAATCCTCGTTTGCTTGTTTTTGTCTTTGTTTTTGAGATGGGGTCTCACTCTGTTGCCCAAGCTGGAGTGCAGTGGTGTGATCTTGGCTCACTGCAACCTCCACCTCCTGGGTTCAAGCGATTCTCCTGCCTCAGCCTCCTGAGTAGCTGGGACCACAAGTGTGCACCACCACGCCCAGCTAATTTTTGTATTTTTAATGGAGAGGGGGTTTCACCATGTTGGCCAGGCTGGTCTCGAACTCCTGACGTCAGGTGATCCGCCCACCTCAGCCTCCCAAAGTGCTGGGATTACAGGCATGAGCCACTGCACCTGGCCATAAATAACTCATTTTTGTCTCTTTCTCCTTCCTCTCCAACCTGACTAGAGTCAGGCAGTGATCTGGGCAAGTGAGTCTGTTTCTAAGAATCACACTTACCCTCAGGTGGGCTGCCCAATGTTCCAGCTGGGGGACGAGGTGGGGTGGGCATTAGTAGGGCCCTTGACTCTAATAAAATCAGATCACAGCTGAGTCTTTACCACAATGAGAATGTTATTGTAATCTCCCATCTGACTTAGCTTCATCTTTTTCTCAATTGGATCAGACTTCAGATGAAAAAAATAATAGGGTTGTGCCTTTTTGGTTCTCTCAAAGCCCAACAAATACTAAAAGAAATTTTTTGAACCATCAATGCACTACTTAAACACACCAACAATAAGACATTCATTCCACATCGAGATACACTGAATATGGATAATGATTTGGGAAATTAGAGGAGTGTATCCTTTTTTTCTAGCTAGAATAGATTACGATTTGAATTTGCCCTGATGGACTCTATTCAAAGAGTTAATTACAATAATTTATAATAATTGGGGCACACAAAACTGAAAGCAAAACCTAAAGTGATCTAATGGCCAAACATTTTCTCCAAGAGCAAGGTGGTATTCCAAAAATGTAAAAACCAGTGCAACATTGGCTCTGACCAATGAGACTAGATTCCAGCCGCGTACAGCTAGGGTGGCTTCCTTCCGCTTGAATCCTCTAAGACTCTGCTACCCAAAGTGTGTTCTGCAGACCAGCATCATCAGTATCACCTGGGAGCTTGTTCAAATGCAGAATACCAGTCCCCACTCCGACCTGCTGGATCAGAATCTGCATTTTTAACAAGATCCCCGGGTGACTCATATGCACATTTTCATGTGAGAAACACAATGCATTTCTAAAAAGCTGCCAAGGGATCCTGGTCTCAGACCCCACCTTGAGTAGCAAGGCTCTAAGGGATGGAGTGGATGTCTCTAGACTCTGGAATTGGGGGAAATCTTCCCAGGCATTAAACCAGTATACACACCCTCCAACTTCCCTCCCTGAGTCTGTTTAACAGCAGCACTGCCCCCAAACCTGAATTGGTTCCCCTGATAGCCAGGTACCCGGCTTCTCTGGCAGTGCTAACTGTCTATTTCATTGTTAAGCAATGAACTACTTCCAGGACTTAGAGAGTCCCTGAATTAGCTTTCTCTGAGTACTGAAGTCTTCATTTAGAAAAGGAATACGTATCCACAGAAAATTAAAAAAAAAAAAAGTTCGCAACAAACAGGGAAGATGTTAACATGTGTTAAACTTTCATGGTGGGTATGTGGATGTCTGTTATATTATTTTCTATATGTTTGAAGTTTTAAAATTGAGAGATTAAAAACGATCAATTAAAAGTAACAGATACCCAACTGAGATAAGAAAAATTGCAAAGAAAAGAATAAAAATCACCTATAATTCCACTACCCAGATATATCTTTGAATATTCATCCTTTCAGTCCTTTTTCTTGTTAAAAAGAAAATTTTTAATTTGCATTTTCATTAGAATACTTGAAGCTCCTGCTTTTAATTCCTCTCCTTCATAAAGCCCAATTGAAATGGTCACAGAAATAGAAAAAATGGGTGGGTTGGGGGAGACCCTCATCAATACCAGGAGATGGGGAAGCTAGCCATTCAAAAGCCGGGGCTGGAAAGGGATTTCCACAAAGATCCCTCCAGCACAGAGTGATGGGACCAGGACAGGACACAGGACATGAGACATGGGCAGCATTAGCGCTAGACCATGGAGCTGTCCACCCTGGCAATTCCCCTGGACAGTGCACCAAGCCAAGCGGAGGCATTTCTGCAGTGAGCTCTTAATGAGGACACTTAGAGGAGAGGGCAGTGCCCTACTAACTTCTGCTGCCAAAATAAACTCAGAGAGGAAACTGCTTTGCCTAGCAGGAAACTTCTCTTCTGCAATGCTGACTCCCCCAGAAACTCACTTCCTACTCATTATCAGAAGCAACCCAAATCCCAATCCAGCAAAAGAAAAATACAAAAAACAAGCTCTCCCATTTCCCCTTAGTATGAGACAAAAGGATCAAACAAAGACCCATTTAAAAAAAAAAAAAACCCAGGAAAGAACAAGAAGATCTCCCTCTGTAAAGGTGTCCAAGGAAAGAAAAATTATAGGGGAAAAGGAAAAAAAGAGAAGATTCAGGAGTTTAAAATGAGATTGCGCTAAAAGTTTCTTCTCAGATGTAAGCCAAGAAAAATGAAAAAATTTTTTATAATTATTCCTACTCCATATTTTCTTGAGACTTGAGAAGATTACGCTTGTAAAAAGGGAACGGTTAAGAAATATTGTTTTCAGCCAAAAGAAGGTGTAGGTTAGGTGAAAAGGACAAGCTTTGGAGTTAGACAACCTGAGTTCAAATTTTGGCTCTGCCATTTTTCAGCCATGTGAGTTTGATCAGGAAAACTTCCCTATGCCTCAGTTTCTTTAGCTGTTAAAAGGGCTGGTGATGATAGTCCCTACCTCACAGACTGCTAGGGGATATGAAATGTGACAATATGTACCAAGTCATATATGGCAAAGCAGTCAATAGTGGTACATATTATTTTGCTATAAAAATAAAATTGCTGGCCAGGCGCAGTGGCTTACACCTGTAATCCCAGCACTTTGGGAGGCCGAGGCAGGTGAATCACGAGGTCAGGAGTTTGAGGCCAGCCTAGCTAACATGGCAAAACCCTGTCTCTACTAAAAATACAAAAGAAATTAGCCGGGCATGGTGGCACATGCCTGTAATCTCAGCTACTCAGGAGGCTGAGGCAGGAGAATCGCTTGAACCTGGGAGGCGGAGGTTGCAGTGAGCTGAAATCGAGCCATTGCCCTCCAGCCTGGGCGACAAGAGCAAGACTCCGTCTCAAAAAACGAAAACAAAACAAAAACAAAAACAAAAATTGCCACATTTTAAAATGCAATAAACAAACTTTGTTTGCTAAAGGGTAAATCTAGCCTCTATGTTTACCTCTATTCCTTCCCCAAATGCCACTGCAATGATACAAATTTTAAAACTGTAGAAAATCTGGAAAAGAAGAGAAAGGTACTACCAGTAGACAAGAAGCTCTGGGGAATTCTTGGAAGACGTGAAGTGACACTGTTAAGCTGACAGAAAACTCCATCTGGGCTGAGCGCTCCCTACTCTGCAACAGAATCCATAGCGAGACAGCAGTTGCCCAAGGCTCCTTGGCTGTTCTCCCCTCCCAGGAAGCAGTGCTGTCTGCAGAGGAGGAAAGGAGAGAGTCGAAGTTGCTGACTAAGGAATTGATAAAGAATGGAATAACCTCTTTAAAGAATTTTAGGAAGTATTTCTTTGGATCCACGATGTATGTTGATTTATTTTTCAGGAGTAGGAGTGGTTGGCAAGAGTTATACTGTGTGTGTCTGTGTGTGTGGCTGGCATTTGCAAGCATGTGTATGTGCATGCATGTCCATGTGTGTGGTGTGTGCATGCATGTGCATGTGTGGTATGTGTATGTATGTGCATGCATATGGTGTGTGCATGCATGATGCGTGTGTGTGTATGTATGTGTGCATATTAGAGTGTCTATGCATAAATCCATGAGTGGCTAAGCAGGTAGCTTTTGCAGGACTGTATTTGCAAAGTGTTTGGAGTGGATTTTTGGATGTCTGTCCTATCCAGAAGTGTCAGCAGCTGTTTGTGAAAGGGTATCTGTTGGCAGGCAGTGTGTGAAAGTAGTGAAGAGCCCAGACCAGAGTGAAATATTGTTTTCAGCCTAGGTTTAATCAAGACTCCATCCTTTACTAGTTCTATGACCTTAGGCAAATAACTCATAATTACTCTGTGCCTCAGTTCCTCGTTTGTAAAAGGGGACTAGCTGTATCACCATCCCATAAGACGATATGAAGGCAAAATGAAAACATAGAGAAATCACCTAGCTTTTGCCAGGTATGCAGAAAGCACTCAGCGAATATGAGCCATTAATAACATCTGTAGCTGTGTGCATGTGTGTGTATGTGTATACTTGTATACCAGGTCCTCAAGCACAGCCTTGGAAGTTCCTGTCTAATGGAAGGTGACTAGATGGGAAATTTGAGGAGTGGTAGAGAAAGAAGCCCTCCTTTTGTCAATTACAAAGGAAGTTGCAATTTGTGGCAAAACATGTAATCAAAACTCCTAGGCAGCCCTCTTCATTCCTCCAGGGTCCATACATCTTCCCCAGAGCAAGAGGACTCAGAGAGACATTGTTGCTTGATAATGATTTCCATAATCCTCAGTATCAGCTACTAAGCCAGCAGCCTACTGCACATAAGCAATAATAATTTATAGTTGCAGTTAATGGGCTGTTTTATAGGAACCCACAATTATAATTGGATGTCAAGTGTTGTGAATCTCAATGGATGGAAAGTGACAAGCACTGGGGCCTGGTGTTTAATTTTTTCATGTGATTATTAAATTTCTTATCTCCTTGCTCCTGTATCTTCTCTCATTGTGGCTTCCAGCTGTGGCCCCATTCTCTGTCAATCCTGGCTCTGAATCTTGAAATGTATTTCTGTACACCTGTTTCTGGCCCTATGGGCTTTTTAGTGGGCTTGGGTATACAGCCACCTGCTGGCCTAGAACCTATAGAAATTTGGCAGTACCAACTTTTCTGCTAGGAGCTCCCTGACCTCCAAAAAAAAAAAAAAAAAAAAAAAGAGGTCTCCAAAACAACGCATCCCAGCTCCGTTGATTTGCTTAGCTTGCTTTGCACACACTGAACTGCACAGCACATGGCCTGGTGGCCCCCAACCCCTTCAGAAGGTGACCTTAAGGTCACCTTCAATCCAGTGACCGTGAGCCCTTAGAAACAGTAGTCTTGGCATTTTGCAGTCAGAATCTGTCCTAAGAGTTCTTCTAGACTCTAGGACATAAGATTAACACAGGATTCACCAATAGCAAGGATTAAGGAAGTGGTAGAGTTATTTTTGGGAAGTGGCAAATAGATTAAAGAACCATGGAAAGTTTGCTTTCATATTTTCACACCTGGGTGAAGGAGAAAGTATGGACTTCATTCAATGAAGTTGAGGAAAACTTCCCAGGAGATGAGATGGTAGGAGCTGATTGAGCAAGAGAAGGAGAGAGAAATCAAAGAGAGGCCAGCCAGGGCATTGAGATCTGGTGGTGGCCCTGAGCCCACCTGCCTCATCCATCTTAGATTCCAGCCCAGCCAAGATACTGGTGTTCGAAGCCAAGTGCAGAGATTAATGGAGCGCAAAACTTAATCCCAAGCCTAGCGAAAACCATAGCTATGTAAAGACCTAACATTTCCCAGTGCAATTCAGACACAAGCCAAGGTCTAATCCAAGTATAATCCTAGAGCCCTCTCCATAACCCATATTAAAGCACTCTCAGGCCCAGAACCCAATGGAACAGTAGCTCTGAATTCAGTATTGCCTAAAGCCCATAACCAGGGCCTAAATCCCAAGCTCATTTCAGGATGAAGAACAAAACAAGAAGCCAAAGTAATTGAGTAACTGAAAACCATTGCCCATCGATCATTACCTGAATCCAGAACCCTCTGACCCAACATTCCTCTACTGAGAAGGAATCACACCCTGGAAGTCCATGAGTGACTTGTCTCATAGCACCCAAAACACCTTATTTCACATGGACTTCCAGTTCTCTGGGGACATAGACTATCTTCCAGTCCACTAGGAAATTCTAAGCCTAGCACAGGGTCTGGCATAATAAATGCCTGCTCAGTGACTACATGGAAAACACGGAGTCGATTAAGAAGGTGGTTTTTGGAGTCCATTGGACCTTGGTAAGAATTCCTACTCTGCCACCCCTTTTTTTTTTTTTTGAGACGGAGTTTCGCAATAGTTGCCCAGGCTGGAGTGCAATGGCGCAATTTTGGCTCACTGCAACTTGGGCCTCCCAGGTACAAGTGATTATCCTGTCTCAGCTTCCCAAGTAGCTCAGATTACAGGCATGTGCCACCATGCCTGGCTTTTTTTTTTTTTGTATTTAGTAGAGACAGGGTTTCACCATGTTAGTCAGGCTGGTTGCGAACTCCTCAGGTGATTCACCTGCCTTGGCCTCCCAAAGTGCTGGGATTACAGGCATGCACCACTGTACCCGGCCCTACTCTGCCGCTTTTAAGCTGTGTGACCTTGAATTTGTCCCTTCTCTCCCTCAGCTGTGAAATGGTGTTCATGGGGATAGCTGTAAAGAGAAAATGGAAGAATGACTCTAGGCTACCTGGCACAGAATGTTGGTTTCCTTTTTCTTTTTCCAAGGGCAATGTCTCCGAGGATGGTATTAGATAATATCTAATTTTTTTTTCCATCCGCCACTGAGTGCAGACTCCTTAGAGGGTTTCAGATTCCCAGAGTTCTTGTGACCTGCTAAATCTACTCTTTCATCCTGCTGTCTAATATTTCATTGTGCATCTTCGCAGGATGGAGTCTCCATAGCCTTCTATACTTGTCATCTATTACCACAGTAGTGCCATGTAACAAGCAATCACAAAACTCCAGTGGTGTACAACAATCAACATTGATTCTTGTTCATGAATCCCTGGGTTGCTGACAGGGGCCACCATTGGCTGATCTCTTGCATCTGCATCAGCCGGGGTCCTCAGCTCTACTCCCTAGGGTTTCTTGTCCTCCGGCAGGCTAGCCTGGGCTAGTTCACATGGCCATGGCAGGGCTTGCACAGAGTGAATGGATGCCCAGAAGAGCCCCAGAGGCCTGGGCTCAGAACTGGCACACTCTCACTTCCATAGCAAGTTTCAAGGCCAGCTCAGTTTCAAGCCAGCAAGTTTCATAGGCAGCCCAGTTTCACGGGGTGAGGACATAAACTCTGCCTCTTTTTTGATTGTTTATTTGTTTTAGAGAGAGGGTCTTGCAGGCTGGAGTGCAGCGACATCATCATAGCTCACTGCAGCCTTGAACTCCTGGGCTCAAGGGATCCTCCTGCCTGCCCCTCCTGAGTAGCTGAGACTAAAGGTGCACACCATCATGTCCAGCTGTTTTGTTTTTTTTTTTAATTTTTGTAGAGATTGGGTCTTGCTATCTTGCCCAAACTGGTCTCAAACTCCTGGCCTCAAGCAATCCTCACACCTCAGCCCTCCAAAGTGCTGGGATTATAGGTGTGACCCACTGCACCCAGCCAAACTCTGCTTCTTGATGGGAGAAGTTCAGAGTCCCATGGCATAGGAAAAGGATTCAGAGAATGAAAGAATTGTGACAAATGTTGGCAAGCAATCTACTATTTATTCTTTCTCCTCCTTAAGTTTCTTTGGTTTTGAGAAGGTGACTAAGACGCTGGAAAGAATGATATGCTTGAACTAGAGACAGAAGCATTTGCATTCTAACCCCAGCCCTACCACATGTATTACTCAGCCTTTCTTAACCTCAATTTTCTTGTCTATAAAGTGGTGTCAAACATAAGAACTGCTGACCTCCTCTCTTATCCCCTTTACTCCTTTGGGACATGTCCAACCTTCTGGTGTTAGTAAGAGCAGGAAGAAAATTTTAAGCAGTAGATTGTCAAAATCACTGCCTGGTGGTGCCCTGAGAGGCAAGGATTGACTCTAGGCTGTGCGTCTCAGATCCCAGGTCAACCATGACCCCAATGTTCAAAGCTAAGTACAAGGCCACAGATCACCGGGAAGATGGTCTTTCACCATTTCCTGTGAACACATTTCTCCAGGAGGCTATGCCAGTGTTGAAAAGGACTAGTCAATGGGGATAAGCAAGTTCATTATTTATTTCCATCCCATTTTTTTCCCTAAAGTTTGTGGGAGATGCCAAAAATACATGCCATGCCAAGTTATCTCAAGGTAACTTTTATACATAACCCAAATGTTTTCCCTCCTGCCCTCCTTTCCTATCTCCCTTCTCCCAAGATGGCATTCACTAGGCACACACAGTTCTTTCTTGACTTCCTGTTTATTTCATTTTCATTTTCTCATTATAATGTTATTATCCTAAAGTGAGGATCCTATTACTGGGGCAACCAGACATGGTGCCTGTGTGGATTCAGTCTTTACTGAGACCTCAGTTTTCCTAGGTCTCAGTAAAGAAAGATTTTCCTAAAATCTAGGACTCAGAAACAGGAAGTCAAATATTGCATGTTCTCAGCTAAATAGTGTATGCACATGAATATAGGGCATGGAAAGATAGACATTGGAGGCTCAGAAGAGTGAGAATGTGGGAGGGGCTGAGGGATGATAGACTTTGGAGACGCAGAACAGTGGGAATGTGGGAGGGGCTGAGGGATGATAGACATTGGAGACTCAGAAGAATAGGAATGTGGGAAGGGCTAAGGGATGATAGACATTGGAGACTCAGAGGAGTGAGAATGTGGGAGGGGCTGAGGGATGATAGACATTGGAGACTCAGAAGAGTGGGAATGTGGGAGGGGCTAAGGGATGATAGACACTGGAGACTCAGAAGAGTGGGAATGTGGGAGGGGCTGAGGGATGATAGACATTGGAGACTCAGAACAGTGGGAATGTGGGAGGGGCTGAGGGATGATAGACATTGGAGACTCAGAAGAATAGGAATGTGGGAAGGGCTAAGGGATGATAGACATTGGAGACTCAGAGGAGTGAGAATGTGGGAGGGGCTGAGGGATGATAGACATTGGAGACTCGGAAGAGTGGGAATGTGGGAGGGGCTAAGGGATGATAGACACTGGAGACTTAGAAGAGTGGGAATGTGGGAGCGGCTGAGGGATGATAGACATTGGAGACTCAGAACAGTGGGAATGTGGGAGGGGCTGAGGGATGATAGACACTGGAGACTCAGAAGAGTGAGAATGTGGGAGGGTCTGAGGTATGATAAATTACTTAATGGATACAACGTACACTATTCGGGTGATGGTTACACTAAAATCCCAGACTTCACCACTTCACAATATATCCATGTAACAGAACTGCACTTCTACTCCCTAAATTCATACAAGTTTAAAAATAAGAAAAACACATTTAAAATCCACTCTTGCTGTCAAAGAACAAAAAAGCATCCCACAATTCTGCCTACCGTTGTTGCTTATTTTGTCTTTCTACAAATAAGACTTAATCGACCTCTATGGTCTCTCCTGAACATGCTCACATAATTCATTTTACTTTCATTCAGCAGCCACAATACCTATCTCCTCATCTAAGCGGACTCCCCTCTGATCAATACTGCCCACTCAAAACCTACTTTGTGGGGTTGGGGTGGGGTTAAACGGATAACACATTTAAACTCTTCGTACGCTCCTCAGCATACAGTAAGCAACTCAGTAAAGATTAACTACAGTATTCCCATTAACATTAATACTAATGTTAATATTAGTATGTTATCACCCTCACTAGAGCGTTTTTGTTGTTCTTATTTCGACACCCTTTGTCCTATTTCCAAGACAAAAAGCCTCCTCTCACCCCACTATCTATAATCCTCCCCTCTCAGTAGATGCCCCTCACCTCTGACCAGGTTAACCAGGTCAAGGGACTGTTACTAACTAATTTGGCAAAGAAGCTTCTGGGGCAAGTCCAGGGAGGAAGAGAGGAGACTTGCATGGTTTGAATGTTTGTCCCTTCCAAAACTCATGCTGAAATTTAATTCCCAATGTGGCAGTATTGAGGGGTGGGACTTTTAAGAGGTGATTGGATCATGAGGGCTCTGTCCTCATAAATGGATTAATCCATTCATGGATCAATGGGTTAATGGATTAATGGATTATCATGAGAAGAGAAATGGTGGCTTTAAGAGGAAGAGACCAGGAGTTCAAGACCAGTCTGGGCAACATAGGGAGACCTCGTCTCCACAAAATTTTTTTTTTAATTAGCGGGGTGTGGTGATGTGTCCCCATAGTCCCACCTACTCAGGAGTTGGAAGCGAGAGGATTGCTTGAGCCCAGGAGTTTGAGGCTGCAGTGAGCTATGATCGAGCCACTGCACTACAGCCTAGGTGACAGAGCAAGATCCTGTCTTTACACAAAGGCATAAGAATGATATAATCGACTTTGGGGACTTGGGAGAAAAGGTGGGAGGGGAGTAAGGCATAAAAGACAACACATTGGATACAGTGTACACAGCTCAGATGAAGAGTGCACCAAAATCTCAGAAATCACCACTAAGGAACTTATTCATGTAACCAAATACCACCTGTTCCCCAAAAACCTATTGAAATTTTTAAAAAGACCCTGTCTCTTAAAAAAAGAAGAAGAAAAGGAAAGAAAGAAAGAAAAAGAGAGGAAGAAGGACCTGAGCTAGCACACTCAGCCCCCTCTCCATGTGATGTCCTGTGCTGCCTGGGGACTCTACAGAGTCCCCACCAGCAAGAAGGCCCTCATCAGATGCAGCACCCTCAACCTTGGACTTCTCAGCCTCCATAACTGTAAGAAATATATTTCTTTTCTTTATAAATTACTCAGTTTCAGGTATTATGTTATAAGCAAAAGAAAACAGACTAATACAAGACCTCACCCCATACTTTGTCTGTTGACTCTTGACCCAAGCAGAGGCCAGCACCATAGGGAACAGGTAGTTCCAGGAAGGTACCTGTGGGTTTTCCTTCAGAACTAAGTTGAGGAACCCAGCAGCTGGTAGGAAAGGAATATGACACAAATGCTCTGCTGGAAAAGCTATAAATAGGGAAAGTCAATGGAGTGGAAAAGAAAGCATTTAACAGCTAAGTGTTCTTTGCAACAGCAGGCTCACACCTCATTTTATCAGACATTATTTACACAAAAGAAGGTGTGATCATGCTTATGGCATCATTAGGCATAGATTACTTCCTTAACTATGAATACAGAGCCCAGGGGAAGCAACTCCTGGAGAACTCCTCAAGGATACCCTGGAAAGCAAGTATAAGAGGCCTGGCCACTCCCTTAGTCAACCGGCAACTCCGTCATTATGCCCCATCTATTGCTTCCTCTCTCATTTAGTTCTTATCCCTCCAATAATAAACACAGAGTGGATGGGAATCTCTGTCTCAAAAGTGTAGGGTGCAAGAATGGTCACATCTCCTTATAAAAAAAAAAAAACTGCCAAATTTCCCATTCTGAACCTTATGGCACTAGCAGGAACTTCTGCCTCTGTCTCTTAGAGTGGCCCTCAGCTCAATGCATCTGTACTGCCAAAGATCCGGGATCTTATCCAGTGCCAAGGCATGGAGTGTGAGATCTATGGTGTCAATTACTCCTGAGAGTTCCATTCATCTGTGTGGTGCCTTCAGCTCCAAGTTCTGTCTGCTGCTTTCACCCCAGACATGGGACCCAAGGATCTTCGGCGAGGCTGGGGATCCAGGTCCCTGTGGTCTTATGTCCATGGACACATCATGTACCATTTCTCCCTGGGGGCTTTCTGCCTGACTATTGCTCTGGGAACCCACTAGATACTCTCTCTTACCCCAGCCCAGAGGACATCTCTTTTTCTTAATCTCAGGGAAGTCTCTCTCTCTCTCCTTTCTGAGTCATCTAAGCCATTCCGCCTCCTCCCACAAACCTATCCTCTCATGTTTAAGTTTTCAGCAACAAAGACATAAATCTTGGGGGATACTTCTGCCTTCAGTCCTGACACATTCCTCCCTTAAAGCAATCAACCACCAAGCCAGCCACCTGCCTGCATGGAAGGAAGGAAAAGAGAGAAAATACAAATTAATGTCTCACAACAGTATCCAAGCAGTACCATTTGAGAAATTCTGATTATATATTCTATCTACCCAGACAGTCTGTCTTTCTAGGAACACACTTAAGGCTATACATTCCGAGTGTTGATGGTCTGTTTAAAAAAAGCCTTGAAGATATTCACTCGCCCACCAACTCCTCACTGGGTCAGCTTGGAGTGTGTAAGGTGGTTCAGGGAGAAGGCAGGTGGATGAGTTTTTGGGAGCGCAGATAGAGCTGGGCAGGATCCTGGTAGACTGACCTTGTCCTGCAGTTTGTGTCTCAAGTCATTTTCTCTGGGATGTGAGGAACCCCTCTGAAGAACAAAATCACCATGTTGCATATACTGAAACACAACCACAATACAGTGACGACATGAAGCCATTGCCTACCTTGGTTTCCATTTAGTCACCAAATGGAAGAAAGTTAGTGGTTGCCTACTGCATGTCCAGATCTCTGCTGGAACCTGGGGAAGTGCCAAATGGTCATTCATTTTAAAATTTATTTAATTGATACTTTTTCATTTATTCAATTGATTATGACAAGCACTGTTCTAGGCTAGAGGGATATCACAGAAAACAAGATAGCCAAAGTGTCTCCTGGGCATAACCTTTTAGAGTAGAGGACATAGGATAAATAAATAGGCAAATAAATTGATGACATAAAGAAAAGAAAGAACAGTAGGGGGATACAGAAGGATGAGGGGCTGTATTTTACGTAGGCTGATCAGGGAAAGTCTCCCTGATGAGGTGACTTTAAGCAGAGATCAGGATGACAAGAAGATGGGAAGGGAATAACATTTCGGGCAGAGAGAGTAGCAAGTGGGATCGCACTGGGTGAATGAATAACTGAAAGGAAGCCCGTATGGCTGAGTGGCAAGTCCTGAGGACAAGAGGATAGGAGATGAGGTCAATGAGACATGAAAGGGCTGGAATCTGTAGAGCCTCTAGTCATTGCAGGAATTCTGACTCTCTTCTAAGTGCCATGAGAAACCATGAGAGAGTTTTAATCAGAAGAGTAACATGATTTGTTTCAGAAAGATCTCTCAAGTTCAGTGTGCAAAATGGATTGTAGGGGGAGAGATGAGCATGCGACCAAGGCCATCTGGGAGGCTGGGGCAGTGGTGCAGGCAGGAAATGATAGTGGCTTGGATCAGGGTGTGGGCAGCAGAGATGGAGAGAAAGGGACACATTCAGTATGTATTTTGGAGTTGGAGGCGGCAGGTCATGCTGAAGCACAGGATGTTGAGGAGGAGGGAAAGAAAGGAACCAAGCATATTTAAGACATTGTCCCTATTCTAGAGAAATCCACAGTAGATTACAAAAGACCCCTTCCCACACCCAGGCAAAGTAGAGGTCAAGGTCTCATCTATTTCACACTCACACATCTTTATTATTATCAGTCTCTAGTCTTTGCTCTAAGAAACTTCTGAAATCCTTTATTTTCTATTAAATGCCAAGGACCAGTTTCTTATTACCTGGCTTGGAACTTTCCAGAAAGATGTATGTTTACACGCTCTGGTTGCCTGCTCATGACAATCTAAAGCTTAGATTTCTACCCAGGTGGTCTCATGGGCTGGAAAAGACTTCCACCAAACTGGGATCTCTTTGGGTTTGAGGAAAAGCAGCCTCGGTAGTGGAAGGGATAGTGGTTGGATTTCAACTCCAGCATCCCAATGACACCAGCCTCTGCACAAATTCTTCCCAGCGATGGTGAGCTCATTACCTCCAAATGGCTTTAATCACTTTGACTACTAGCTCAACTTCCCTGGTGAAAACTGTTCTGTGAACCAAATATGAGAGTTCATACATCTCTTACTTGAACTTATTTTTCTTCAATGCAAAAGGAGGTGGAAGAAGATCAGGAATTGAGGTCTTGAGAAGAAACAGAGATTGAATAGTCCCTGGACAGTGTCTTCCATTCTCTCTCAGTTTTGCTTCATTTACTAGATGACCCTTTCTGAGGGAAGATGAGAATAACCCTCTATACATGCAGTGATGACAAGGTGCATTAGTCAGCATAAGCCAGTTGCTGTAACAAACAATCTCAACATCTTAATAACAATAAAACTTTGTGTCTATCTTGCTTAAACCACAGTCTGTGGCAGGGTAAAGATGGCCAAACATTCTTTTTGGCCATTCTTTTGGTTGAGAGGGGAGATCCTTTTCCCTTCCCTGGAACCTATGATCAAATCTATGATTGATTGGATCAAAGAAATTTGTCAGAAGAGATGCTGTGCCCTTTTTAGGCCTTTAAGAGAGGCCAGACAGCCTCTGCTTGCACTCTTGAGGGGATGCTTTCCCCATGTGAGAAGTCAGATTACTCTGAAATTACCATATTGTGAGGAAGCTGAAGCCAGTCACAAAAAAGGCCACGTGAAAAGAAAGTGAGTAAGAGAAAGAGAGGTGCTGGCTGGCACCCAGCTGTTTCAGCCATCTCAGCACAACCCCCACACATGTGATGAGAGAAGCTATCTGGGACATTCCAGTCCACATCTCTGTGCCTGTCTCCCTCATCCTAGCTCAAGCTTCAAGTAACCCCCAACACCATCTTTCTTGGCTATCACCCAGATAAGATGGCCCCAGCTTCTGTGAGCAGGAATTCAGACAACAGAGGCCTCATGAGAATAGCATGGGCTTCTTTAGCTTTGTAAAGACAACATCTCCACGTGTGTGTGTGTGTGTGTGTGTGTGTGTGTGTGTGTGTGTGTGTGGTGTTAATATGTGCAGGATGTCCAGAGGTCAGAGGTAACCCCAGCAAAACCCCCAGGAAAACCATGATACACAAACTTGCTGTTTTTTTTTTTTTTTTTCAAAATTGCTCTATTTTATTTTATTTTATTTTATTTTTTTGCCCACAGCTTTATTCAAAATTTCTTTCTTATAGACACTTTGGTTGCTTTTCCAACCAAATTATTATATTAGCCATGGGTAATTCACTTCCCAATTGGTCTCTGTTGCTCACATTAACAATTCTTACTATTTAGTTACTGAGTTCTATTGGGTGCATTGCAGTGACTAGCTACAGAGCATGCTGTTAAGACCCAAACTCAAAAACCCAAATTGCCTAGGTTTGAATTCAGGCCATGCCACTTATTACCTGCGGGACCTTGAACAAGTTACTTGACTTCTCTGGTTCTCAGTTCTTCATCTGGAAATGTGGATAATAAGACTACCTACTTCACAGAGTTACTGTAGGGATCAAATGAATTAATATATATCAAGCAGTTAGTACGGTGTCTGGCACAAATATTAACTTTTATTGATAATGTGAATGTGACCAGCAAGGATGAGGTGCTGAGTTGTGATTGGTTGAACTGGCTTAGAATCTGATCGATCCTAATGTCCATGAGTGTTGGTGGTTCTTAGATTGGGTTCCCTAGGAGCCTCAAAATAATGATTCATCTGAAGGTAATTTACTAGGCATGCTCTTAGGAAAAGCCTGCAGGGGAGTAGAAAGTAGGACTGGGAAGGGAAGGAATGAAGTCAGGATGTGGCATCAAGCAGAGTAGATTCTGCTTATGCAGCAGAACCTAATCCTAACAAAACAATGATGCATGGTCACAGCTCTGTGAACTCCACTGTATCTGTATTAGTTAGGTTTCATGCTGCTGATAGACACATATCTGAGACTGGGTAATTTATAAAGAAAAAGAGGTTTAATGGACTCACAGCTCCACGTGGCTGGGGAGGCCTCACAATCATGGCAGAAGGTGAAGGGCATGTCTTATGTGGCAGCAGGCAAGAGAGAATGAGAGCCAAGAAAAAGGGGTTTTCCCTTATAAAACCATCAGCTTTCATGAGACTTATTCACTACCATGAGAACTGTATGGGGAAAACTGCCCCCACGATTCAATTATCTCCCACTGGGTCCCTCCCACAACAGGTGGGAATTATGGGAGCTACAATTCAATATGAGATTTGGGTGGGGACACAGCCAAACCATATCAATATTTCAACTTCACTATGTCTTAATATTACTCTAGTTAACCTTTATTGAGCAAATGTCATGTGCCAGGCTCCATGCTAAGTGATTTACATACATTATCTCATCTAATTTTCCCAACCTGATGAGCTATTACATAATACGTCCTAACAGGTAAATGATACATCAACATTTTCATTTGTTTTATGTAAATATCTAATGATGTTGAGTTTATTAGATTCTGCAGATGAAATATCCCCAGACACATTGTCATCTTCTAAATAATGCTGAGAAGATATGTACATTTATATATTGGCCAACACACACTTCTCTAGTGCAATGAAATTTGAACCACAGTGATGTGCAATTGCAGATTCTTCATTCTTAAAAGAGGCTAAAAACATCTAATTGTAATGAAGTTTGATGCCCATGATTTGGCAAGGCCCAAGGCCAGTGATGCCCTGAAGGTTTCATGCTGTGCACTAATTGATCAGAGTGTGGAGCACCACATTGAGTCTATCTAGGCTTAGCGGGAACGATTGTGTGGATCGATTAGTCCTCTGCATGGCTTAGGATCGGCAGCAAACTGTGTGTGCCAATCCTGTAACAGCAACAACAACTCGAGGAAGCTACTTTATAATTCCATTTTGCGGATGAGGAAACTGAGGCCCAAGGAAATAATTTTCCTAAAGTCACAGTTAGTAAGAGGCAAAGCTTGAATCACCCCTAAGTGTGTTGGGTGCAGGGCTGATGCTGGCAGCTCTCATGTTATTATGACAGCACCCCCTAATGTGACACCAACCCCTGTCTGGACCTTCAGCAGAAACGGGATAATGAGGGCTGCTTCTGGTTGGAGTTGCAGCCCCTTTCAGCTCCAGAATCCAAGTTCCACTTTTCTGAGCCCATCCTCCAAACACTTCCAACCACCCCAAGAGTTCCTAGGATCTGGGGGCTCCAGGTGGAGTCTCCTCCTTCCCCAGCATTCCGCGGGACTGGGAGGACTTGTCGTGGCCTGGCTTCCAGAGCATGCCTTTTGGCATGGCCGATCCCCAGCGGACCCTCCACCCCGACCGCACTGCACTCAGGGTCGTGCAGGTCCAGCACTCCAGTCCTGTCCTCCCCGGGTGAGGATTGATCCCGGCGCTTCCCTCAGCCACCTCTGTCGAGAGATGCAATTTACCACCAGCTCGGAGGTCACCGTAGAGGAACCCGGCCGCCTGCAGGCGCTTTTCTGCTGCTGCAAAAACCACTGAAAGGGCCACTTTGTGAGCCGCAGCGCTGCTTTCACAATCAGAGGAGCAGCCATGGGTCCGCAAGCTCTGGAGCCTCCTTGCGACTCCCCAGTAGGCTCGAAATCCCAGAAACCTCGGCTGCACCCCGCTCCGCGCATTCAGGAGAGGCTATGCCAGGACTGGCGGGCAGAGCGCAGCCTGCACGCGCGCCCCATGGCGCAGGATGGGGAGGAAGACGCCACAGAGACCTGCCGACACTCGTCATCCCTAAGCTGCCTGCACCCCTGCTTTGGGCCAGGCATGCCTGAGCGACTCACTCCCCTTTCGATCTTTGTATTAATAGCAGCTCTGTGAGGGAGCAGGTACTGTTACTATCGTGCCCATTTCTCAGAGGGCAAAACTGAGGCTCTGGGAAGTTAAATGACTTTCCGGAGGTTTCTCAGCAGGAAGGAGCAAAAACCTGGATTTAAACTCGAATAGTTCAACTCCAGAACCAATGGTTTTAAGGTAATCCCGGGTGACTCCACAGCACCCACAGTTTGATAAAGATAAAGTCACGATTTCAGCCTCAAAAGCCAACTGCACAGGGATCATGCGCCACGTGGCTTAACAGCAACAAAGGTGACAGATCCTTGGCCATAAGCCCTTCCCACTCTGGTCGCCTGTTCAACTGCGCCACCTACAGGTTGAGTTGCTCACTGTTTCTTTGGAGCCACATGGAGTTCGTTCATTCCTTCCTTCGTTCGTTCGTTCATTCATTCATTCATTCATTCATTTGACGTGTCATTCCACAGACATTTATTAATTTCTGTTCTGAGCCAGGAGCACGGAACTGGGCAGGATGCTGGGGTACAAAAGATGTCTATAGTCTAGCACAGGAGACAGACAAACTACCATAATACAGGATCAACTGATAGTGAAAAGGGAGAGAAGGAAGGAGGGCTGCCTGGAGGAGCAGTCTTTTCAGTTAAGATCTGAAGGATGAGTAGAAGTTATCCAGGCAAAGTATGGTCAAGAAGTGTGTACCAGGGCCAGGCACAGTGGCTCACGCCTGTAATCCCAGCACTTTCAGAGGCCAAGGCGGGAGGATGACTTGATGCCAGAAGTTCCAGACCAGACTGGGTGACACAGTAAGATCCTGCCTCTACAAAACAAATTTTTAAAAAATTAGCCAAGCATAGTGGCTCACATCTGTGGTCCTAGTTATTCAGGAGGCTGAAGTGGGAGGATCACTTGAGCCCAGGAGTTGGAGGCTACAGTGAGCTATGATTGTACCACTGCACTCCAGCCTAGGTGACAGAGCAAGACCCTGTCAAAAGAAAGAAAAGGAAAGAAGGAAGGAAGGAAGGAGGGGAAGGAGGGGAAAGAGGGGAAGGAAGGAAGGAAGGAAGGAAAGAAGGACAGAAGGAAGGAAGGGAGGGAGGGAGGGAGAGAAGGAAGGAAGGGAGGGAGGAAGGAAGGAAGGAAGAGAAATATGTTCCAGGCAGAAGAAACAGCATGGATGAAGACCCCAGGGTGAGCACAGACACAGCACAGACTCTCAGTCCTCAGTTATAAGAGGAACCAAGCCAAGTTCCACGTGACTGACACACAAAGTAAGAGATGCCAATGAGTGGCTTCCATGTTTTCTGTCATCTCACTGCCTCCATTATTTGAGATGGCCAATCGAGGTTGTCTCAGCCTTATGCAAAGCATAATGCAAGTATAGTTTGAGGCAAGGGTGCAGTCATAGCTCATGGTAACCTCAAAACAGCCTGCCTTCTACACAGGAAAACCTGAGCCCCCTCTGGAGAGAGGAAGAGTGGTAAGAAGTGGTGGGGGAGGAGAGCAGCTCATAATGGGTCTTGCAAGTCAGGTTAGCTCATTTGGCCTTTTTTGAGCAAATGGCAAATGGCAAATCATTAAATGTGTGGTGATAGGACACTAGACCAGCTTCTCCTTCTCACTGGAGAACTCTGGGAACAGAGAGACCGCTTGGCTGCCTTTAGGTTCCTAGGAAGCCTGGACCAACAAATGCATGCTTCTCAGTTTGGAACTTGTAACTGAGTCCAGACTTGGACCGCTCACTGCGTAACAGCCAGTAAGTTGAGAGACAAGTAGTCAGAGCAAGGAAAGCGACTGTATTTTGGAAAGCCAGCAAGCTGAGAAGACGGCAGACCAATGTCCTAAGAAGCTGCCTTAAAAGGCATGAATCTGGGCTGGGCACGGTGGCTCACGCCTGTAATCCCAGCACTTTGGGAGGCTGAGGCAGGCGGATCATGAGGTCAGGAGATCGAGACGATCCTGGCAAACACGGTGAAACCCCGTCTCTACTAAAAATACAAAATTAGCTGGGCATGGTGGCACGCACCTGTACTCTCAGCTACTTAGGAGGCTGAGGCAGGAGAATCGCTTGAACCAGGGAGTCAGAGGTTGCAGTGAGCCAAGATCGCCACTGGACTTGAGCCTGGTGACAGAGCGAGACTCCGTCTCAAAAAAATAAAAAAATAAAAATAAAAAAGGCATGAATCTGAAGCTTCTTTTTATATTGGGGAAGGGGGAACAAGGTGGGGTTGAGCTCAGTGGGAACTGGTGACCACAGACATCTGGGCATCAGCAGGAGTCCGAGGAGGTTGCAGAACTTCTTTGTCCTTGGTCAGATCACGATGCCCCTATAAATATTTAATTCAACATTGTTGTTTGTATGTACATCCTCATCTCCTTGGGTTTTAGTTTTGGGAAGGGGCCACTCTCATCCTTGCTTTGAAATTAAATTAGAAACAACATTTGTCCCATAGTTAGCTTGGCCTATGTGCAGGATTGAGCAAAGGCAGTTCTCTTGTGAGGTTAGAAGCAAGATGGAGCCAGCTACGTCAGATTTCTGTCACTGTTACAAAATCATATGACTTCTTTTTTCGAGGGCGGAGGAGGATGTTGAAGGCAGTCGCTCTAAAGGCCAGGAAAGGAGAGGATGTTTCTGCCCATTGCCATTGGTCTATCAGCACCCATTGTCCCCTGGAGCAGGACCCGAGGGAAGGACTCAGTCCAGAGCTGCTCACACTTTGCCAACCTTGCCCCAACCATCTCCAGCTGCCTCATAAGCCTCCTTCTCCTAATAGAGACCAAGGGGCCCCTGCAACAGAGATACCCCAACTTCCTCCTCTCTGCAACCAGATTCTTGAGCATCTTCCTGCTCTCCTTCCAGACCTCGTCTCCACTCCAGGAGAAGCATCTCCTCTTTTCCTTTGAGTCTAACTTCTCTGTCCTGTTTTCCAAGACTGACTTCCACCTATTGTCCCATCTCTCTTGAGTCTTCAATATTTTTTTCATCCTCCCCCTGCCAATGGGCATACTTAAGTTTCCAGAATTAAACAAACAACTCTTTTTTTCATCCTGGCCACCATCTTTCCTTTTCTCTCTCCTTTTCTCTACTGTCACACTTTTCTCCACAAAAGCAACCTCTGTTCATGGCCCTGCTTCCTCATGCTAGGGAAGTTTGTGTAACATCAACAAGGCTACCACTCCTTAAGCATTCCCTATCTGCCAGTTCTGTGTCACTTTGTATACATCGAGCTCATTCATTTCTAATACAGCCATGTGAATTTTGATCATCCTCATTTTACAGATAGGGAAACTGAGGCTCAGGGGAGGGACAATGAAGTCAATTGCTTAGTCATACTACTGGCTCCAAAGCCTGCCTCTAACCACTCTGCTCCACTGCCCTAATGGGCATCCTATGAGAGTAGCCGCCTGTCATTCCTTGATGTATCCCTAGTATACTTGAGGCATTCAGTAAATATTTAGTGACTGAATCAATGTTCAAATACTTTAATGACTTTTTGCCAGCTTGTCTAGAGGCCTTTCCTGCAAAGTTTTATAATTTAGTCATAAATATATTTGGTTGTAATGTTATATGTTTCATTATGTCTCGTGATCCCAAAATTACTTTATGAATTAAATATCTTGAAAAATAGAGTGGAATTCAATACAATTCTGAACCCATCTACCACATGTCTTCATCCTTGCTGTCAAAATGCCAGTGCCTTCTTAAACAGGAGAGAACATTGACTACATACAAACTTGGTTTAGCTCATGAAGTTTACTCAGACATGCATAGTACAAAACAAAAAAAAATCAAGGAGACAAAAATAATCAAAAGGGATGAATTTAGTAAATCCTGTACAAAATGCTGCAGGTCTGAAAATATTTATTGGAAGAAATATACACATTCAAGAGAGGTTATTCAGCAGACAGAAGAGAAAAAAGGCACCACAAAGATAAAGTGGTACAAATTTGGAAAAATGTTTCACAGAAGTAAAAAATTGTTTGAAATTCCTTTAGGCAAAGTGAAGAAAATATCCTTTCATTTATAAGACCAGGAAACCAAGTGACTGGCTGCAGATAAATGAGCTAGTGTCAATCAGAATGGGTTAAGTCCTGCTGCAGGAACAATCTCAAATCTTAGTGGCTTGACACAGCGAAGGTTATTTCTTGTTCATTTCACATTTCCAGCACAGGTTGATAACTGCTCCATGTTATCTTAATTCTGGGACTCTGGTTGATAGCACATCCTCTACTTAAAATATTACTAAGAGAGGCCGAGCGTGGTGCCTTACGCCTGTAATCCCAGCACTTTGGGAGGCTGAGGCGGGAGGATCACAAGGTCAGGAGTTCAAGACCAGCTTGGCCAACATAGTGAAACCGCATCTCTACTAAAAATACAAAAAAATTAGCCAGGCATGGTGGTGCGTGCCTGTAGTCCCAGCTACTAGGGAGGCTGAGGCAGGAGAATCACTTGAACCTGGGAAGCAGAGGCTGCAGTGAGCTGAGATCAAGCCACTGCACTCCAGCCTGGGTGACAAAGCGAGACTCCATCTCAAAAAAAATAAAAAAAAAAAAGAATACGACGAAGAGGTTCTTAACTGTGTACTAGCTTTTAATGGTTCTGCTTAGAAGTGACACAAGTCATTTCTGCTTACATTTAATTGACCAAAGCAAATTTCGTGGCTAAGAAGGAATGATTGGGCTCCTGGCAATCTCTGCAATATTGTTCTCCACCTTGCTGCCACAATCCTGAATGTGGACACATCTGCCTTCTCCTACCCTCCCCTACTGGCCTTTGTGGTGCTACCCTGTCTTGCTATGTCCATCTTTGCATCAAGACTTCTGGGTCTTGGAGGCTGGCCTCTCTTCCTCCTCCTTTACCCCAAAGTGCTTCTCAGCTTTCTGCTCTCCTTGCCCAGAGGTGACATGTAAGCCACATCCAGCAAAAAAGATGTGTTTTGTTTGGCCCATACAGGGTTGCTCATATTGTTTGTAATTTGTTCCCAATATTTAAAAACCAAACTGAATGCTCTTCTTCAATTAATTGGAGGATCTGGCCACACTGGACCACATTCCTTTGTGGACACAGGTAGCTCAGCTGAGTAAAGCTGGCCCTGTAGAGGAAGCAGGTGCTTGCATCTCTCCCTGGGCCCACCTGGTCCGCTGATGCTACTTATGTTACTGAATAAGCCACCCGGGAGCTCCAGATTTCCCCCCTGGGAAGGGGGAATCGCCTTAATTTAGTTGGTATCTACATGCAAATGACAATTTAAATCACAGTGCAGTCATGATCTCTTACCTGCATTTCAAGCCTGGATTTCTAACATCTATTAATCCTTCCTGCTCCCAAGACCATTTCGATGTGGCTCATGATTCTGCCATGTTCAAAACTATGGGCCTCAGGTGAGTTACTTAATCTCTATAACTCCTTAACTCATATGTAAAAATAAGAAAACGAAGTTACTATAAGACATAGGAACTTTACGACCCCCTGGTAGGATGCACTGAGATGAACACAACCTCATGTTGGTGGAATCCTTGTCTAAAATGCACAAGCACAATTTAATCATGAGAAAACATCAGACAAACCCAGATTGAGAGACAGTCTACAAAATAACTGACCAGTGCTCATCAAAAGTGTCAAGGTCATGAAAGACAAGAAATGGCACAGCCTGGAGGAAACCAAGGAGGCACAACAATTAAATGCAGTGTGGGCTGGGCGTGGTGGCTGACGCCTGTAATCACAGTACTTTGGGAGGCCAAGGCAGGTGGATCACTTGAGGTCAGGAGTTCGAGACCAGCCTAGCCAATGCAGTGAAACCCTGTCTCTACTAAAAATACAAAAAATTAGCCTGGCATGGTGGTGCACGCCTGTAATCCCAGCTACTCGGGAGGCTGACACAGGAGAATCACTTGAACCCAGGAGGCAGAGGTTGCAGTGAGCCGAGATCGCACCACTGCACTCTAGCCTGGGCGACAGAGTGAGGCTCCATCTCAAAAATTAAAAAAATAAAAAAAATAAAACAAATGTAATGTGGGATCCTGGACTGGATCATGGAACAGGAAACAAACATTAGGGGAATCATTGGTGAAATTTTAGTAAGCGCTATTACAGTTGGGACAATTCTATTAAATAAGCGACTTAGCTGTTTCATAATTTCTTAATCTTAATTTCTTGGTTTGGAAAATTGTACTATGATTAGGTAAGATGTTAACATTAGGGGAAGTTGGGTCAAGGGTATACAGGGAACTGTCTACACTATTTTTGCAACTTTTCTGTAAGTCTAAAATTATTTCAAAATAAAAACTTAAAAGTAAAGTTATTGGCTGGGCGCAGTGACTCATGCCTGTAATCCCAGCACTTTGGGAGGCCAAGGCAGGCAGATCACCTGAGGTCAGGAGTTCAAGACCAGCCTGGCCAATATGGCAAAACCCCGTCTCTACTAAAAAAATACAAAAATTAGCCAGGCATGGTGGCAGGCACCTGTAATCCCAGCTACTCAGGAGGCTGAGGCAGGGAGAATTGCTTGAACCCAGAGGCAGAAGTTGCAGTGAGCCGAGATCACGCCACTGTACTCCAGCCTAGGCAACACAGCCAGACTCTGTCTCAGGAAAATAATAATAATAATAATAATAATAATAATAAAGTTATTATAAAAAATTTGTGTCATGGGATCATAATGATGTGAAAGAGATCATATACATGAGGAGCATGGCCCTGCAACCGGTCTGCCTGTCTACTCCTTCCTGCATGGCGGCCTGCCTTCTGCAAATGCTCTGTAAGTATTTGACATATTGAATTAGCTTGAGAAAAAGAAAAGGGAAAGTAACTGTATATAAGTCACACTATTTAATTCTTACAATAACCCTCCGAGGAAGGTATTATTATCCTCATTTTACAGTTGAGGAAATTGAAGTACAAAAGGGTTTATAGCTTATGCACTTGAGCACAATTTGTTTCTGCCAGGTCTGCAGTGAAATGTTTCTTGCCCACAATGCTTCCATCCCAGGGGAGCATCCCTCCGTTCTCCCAATGCCCCCAAGCCCCCCCTTTCCAGCTTCCTGGTTTGTGCTTACAGAAAACAGGGCCGCTTCTGCCAGCTTCCTGCTCCAGCACTTGGATTTCATTAGCAAGCATAATTCTAATTGAACTTTCATTCACTAGCCTTAGCTTGGCAATTAATCAAGCTTCTCCCAAGCTCGGAGCCTATCTTTACTTCCTTTCAGAGTGAGAGAGGAAAGCAAATCTCAGTCCTCATTCCTGGGGCAATGTACCCTGTGCTTATGCTGGTTTCTGTGTCTCTGTGCGTTCCCAGGACACTGTACGCTTAGTAATTTCTAAAGAAGGCTGTTAGATTCAGATGGTAATCTCAGCCCCCTTCTGGCTCATTCCCTGGACTCTTGGCCTCATTAGAAATCCTCTCATTGCCTGCCTCCAGTCTCTCACTTACAAGTAACTGTTGGCCTCTGCTCTCCTGCCTGCCAGAATCTCAGAGCACCTCGTTTACTTTTTCCTTAATGTAACATTTATTGTCATTTCCTCCCTGTTCTCTGATTAAAGAAGGAATAAATGTTCATTGCAGAAAAATTGGAAAATGTGAAAAATCACAAAGATGAGACCAAAACTCAATCATAATGCCACCAGCCGGAAATAAACACTGCTAATACATGCAGGTGCAGGTGATGCTTGTCTTTCTTAAAAGCGGCTTTAGTGCAAATTACATATTATATATTAGAAGCCCTAATTCAGAGATCCAAAATGCAAGTTAAAAACAAGGCAGGGTCACTACATTTCACAATTCCAGGGGGTACCATTCATATTGTAGTCTACAGGAATGGCTTCCTCTGAAGTTTATGCAGTGCACGTTCCGTGTTGCTGTACTTGGTGGCCATGTGCAGGGCCCAGGAAGATAACACAAAGTGAGTTGTAGGTAAACTAAAGGGCCAGGGAAGCTCCTGGGAACTGATACAAAGTAGGGTTGTGGGACCACTGGTGCCAGAATATGTGATTTTTCAAGAAGAGCTGGAAAACAAACAGACCCAATGACTCCAGTGCATCCCAGGGCTCTTCTGTCTCGTAGCCCAGCTTTTCCTCTTCCCATCATCTTTGTTTTTCCCACAGAGTGACCCCAGGAGCCCTCTTATGTAGAAAGCGTTGCTCTGATTGTCCTCTGGTTGGGCAGTGGCAGAGGCCATCAGCAAAGCCCTTCTCATCCCCTGCCACTAAGCCCAGGAGGGAAAGTCGTTTCATCTGCCCCTTCCCTGGCACTCCACAACGTGGAGGATCTAAGGCTGGGGGCTACCTAACCATCTGCTGTGGCTCCTGGGGAGAGAGGGAAGAGAGTCAGCAATACCTGGGTAAGGAGAGAGGCTCACGTCCATTTTCCCATCATCACTTCTAAGGGGAATGGCTGTCATGTTCTTTTCTTTGAGGGCACATTCATTCATGTGACTATTTCCTTAAGATGTGTCCCACCGTCCTCAACTGTGAGCTATGTGGGAATAAGAAATGAGTCTGAGGCAGGGCGCAGTGGCTCATGCCTGTAATCCCAGCACTTTGGGAGGCCAAGGCAGGAGGATCACGAGGTCAGGAGATCGAAACCATCCTGGCTAACACGGTGAAACCCCATCTCTACTAAAAATACAAAAAATTAGTTGGGCATGGTGGCACATGCCTGTAATCCCAGCTACTCCGGGGGCTGAGGCAGGAGAATCGCTTGAACCCAGAGGTGGCAGTGAGCCGAGATCATGCCACTGCACTACAGCCTGGGTGATGGAATGAGACTCCGTCTCAAAATAAATAAATAAATAAATAAAATAAAATAAAATAAAATAAAATAAAATAAAATAAAATAAACGAGTCTGGCTCTGTTCCCCAGCATGTCCCTGTGCTCAGCAGAGGCACTGGCACAGAGCAAATACACAGTGAATACCACTGAATGGATAGAAGAGGGGCACGCCCTGTGCTGTCAACATCCTCCTACACTGAGGTGCAGGCGGAGCACTGCCAAAGAGTCTCCCCTCCACAGAAGATCTGCAGCAACCATAAGTCAGGATTTTCATTGTTTTTAGCACTGTAAGAATAGGAATACTTTGTCACATGTAAGCCTAGTGCTGAACTTTCAGAGAGCCCACTTTCAAAGACACTTTCAGCAAAACGTTATGTATAAAAGGGGAACTTTGTAAATATTCTTTCAATCTTTTTAACTATCTCTCCATGTGTGTAGAATACTTAATATTTCATAATCACACCTTTCATACAACACACGTTATAAATATTTTCCTATGACAATATTCTTCTATAACATTAGTTTTAACAACTGCACAGAATTCAATTGCATGAATGTACCATAATTATTTCCTGTTGATGAGCATTTAGATTGTTTCCAATTTTTTGTATTGTAAATAAATTAGTGATAATCATCTTTCTCCAGAAAGGTTTGTCTGTATCTCTGATTATTTTATTTATATCATTTATATTATAAATTTATTTACTTATTTTATGTTAAACTACCTACTCAAATGGTATGCCAATCTGGATGCACAAGTTGCCCTATATAAAGATTGTAACTAATTTCTTTCTTTTTTTTTTTTTTTTTTTTTTTGCTTTGGAAGACTTATTTGACTTTATGTAAATACTCATTCTTGTTGACTGTTTCAATTATTTTTCTTTCATCTTTTATTTTAGAATCAGTGAGTACATGTGCAGGTTTATTATAAAGGCATATTGCGTGATGCTGAGTTTCAAAGTATGAATGAATCTGTTACCCAGGTAGTGAGCATAACATCCAATAGGTAGATTTTCAACCGTTGCCCTCCTCCCCACTCCTCTGTCTGATGTACCCTCGTGTCTATTGTTCCTATCTTTATATAAGATTGTAAAAAATTTCCACATACAGTATATAAGTGCTTATTTCCTAATCCCATGATCCACTATAGACTTAGTGCTAGATCATAGGATGAGACACCTAAACAGTCCTTCAAATGACTGTTTAGCATCTAAGTACTTTGAAGCATCACTAAAGTACTCAAATATTACTGAACATTGTATTCACCAAAATTCCTAAGGAACAAATAGATGGTCATTGAACCACTGTCTAAGAAGGATGGTCCAATTAACTATAGGGATATGATTTTGCTCAGTGGGACATTCATGCAAGTTCTGGGTCAGAACTGAATTGTTGGGGCATCTGTGGAGAGGCTGAAGTCTACTCCTTTCCCACTCTTCCCTACCAACACCCAGCCACTCTGCTTTATAAGTACTACATAAATGTTTAATGAACATCAATTTTATCATATAGAGTATTGTGTATTAATTGGAAGATTATCCATGATAAACTGATAACTGATTAAAGAAAGCTGAAGAATATCTTTTGTACTTTCTACTTTTTAAAGAGAAGGGGAAACCTATGTAAGTAGCCATACATTTCCATATGTTTATATAAGCAAAGGAAAATATAGACAGTTACCATACAATAGTTTTAACAGTGTTTATTAGGGATATTAGTTTGGAGACGGGTAGAAAAGATTATTAATTTTACTTTAGATGCTTCAATTGCATCCATTTTTTAACTTGTTTCAACGAGCACATACAACTTCTATAATTCAAATGTTTAATATTTAAATTAGGTTTGAAGCGGCACCAAATTGTAGTATGCTGACAAGAGCCCACATCTCATTCATCTTTGACTAGATATTGTTATCTTTTAAGATTTTTTTTTATTGTTTTTTGTTTTTGTTTTTTGAGATGGAGTCTCGCTCTGTTGCCCAGGCTGGAGTGCAGTGGCATGATCTCAGCTCACTGCAACCTCTGCCTCATGGGTTCAAGCTATTCTCCTGCCTCAGCCTCCCGAGTAGCTGGGACTACAGGCATGCATCAGCATATTCAGCTGATTTTTGTATTTTTAGTAAAGACAGGGTTTTACTGTGTTGGCCAGGCTGGTCTTGAACTCATGACCTTAGGTGATCTGTCCACCTTGGCCTCCCAAAGTGTTGGGGTTACAGGTTTGAGCCACTGTGCTGGGCCCTTTCTGCAATGTTTTCATCAGATTTTGTTGTCAGTTATGCTAGCTTTATAAAACTATTTGAGAAACATTTCTTCCTCCTCCTCCTCCTCCTCCTCTTCTTCTTCTTCTTCTTCTTCTTATTCTTCTTCTTCTTCTTCTTCTTCTTCTTCTTCTTCTTCTTCTTCTTCTTCTTCCTCTTCTTGTTCTTCTTCTTCTTTTTTGCTCTAACTCTTCTAGGAGTCTGTAAATAACCTGCTCTTTGCATGTTTAACAAAACTCATCCATAAATTGTCTGAGCATACAATATTTTGGGGAAGTGGGGTTTTGTTTGTTTACAACTTTTACTATTTCTTTCAGGGCTACTTGTCTATTTACATTTCCCACTTCTTTCTTTAGTCAATTTTATTCATTTGTATTTTCCTTCAAAAAATCTAGTTCATCTAGTTTTAAAATTCATTTGCATTATCTTATAGTATATCCTTTGGTAATTCTTTTAAAATAGCCTCTAAGTCCATAGTTCTAACTCCTTTTCCATTCTGAATTTTGACTATTTTCTTATTTTCCAGAGATTTGTCTATCTCACTGGCCATTTAAAGAACCAGATCTGGGATGTAGCTATCAATTTTTATTGGTGTTAGGTTTTCAGATTCAATGTATGATTCTTTAAAGTCCTCCTTCCTGCTTTGCTTAGGTTTATTTTGTTCACCTTCTCTTTCTAATGCTTGAGGTCAATCTCATTTCACTTATTTTCACTTTTTACTCATCTAATGACTAAAATATTCAAGACAAGTATTTTTCCTGAATTCAGCTTTAGCTTATCCCATAAAATCAAAGATGTTGATTTCATTTCTACTTTCTTTGAAATGGTTTATATCCACAACTGAGTTTGTAAGAGACAGTTTTATGGTTGTTTTTTAAAGAACTGTTTTAAAGATTATTTTAAATTAAAAGTAGGTTCATTATAGAAAATGAAAAGAAGGGGAAAATTGTCCAGAATTCTACCACTCAGGTGGCTGCATATGTCTTTCCAGTCATTTGTGCCTATGGTTGCTTCTTTCCTTTTTAAAAAATTGTATTATCTATTTTATCTTAAAGGCCACTTTGTTCCTGAGACATTATAAATGCCATTATTAGGGCCTCTTGCTAGTTTTGAAGGTTGTGACATTTTGGGGTCCCATAGTAACTTACCTGAACACAGATTGTCAGGCAGATTTTAGGAAATTTCATTGATATCTTTTTTCCTTCCTTATGAGAGTCAGAAAGCGAAACTGTGACAAAGATTTCATATGAGAACATATCACTCTGCCTTCATCTCCCCTGAAGAACTTCATCTCCTTCTCATCAAGCTTGAAGACAAAGAGAGCATGAAAAGGTTTCCCATGCCCTCCTGTCCAGGACCCCCGGCTCTTCCCTAGCTTCCCATCATTTACATCCATCTTCTGTCAACTGGACAAGTCACATCACTTCTTCTGAGCCTCACTTTCTTCATCTGTACAATAGGGAAAATAGTAGTCCCTGTTTCATATAGTGGCAGTGAGTTTTAAATAAAATAATGCTCATAAAGCACTTCACACAGAGCCTGGCACATAATAAGTACTCACTAAATGAGAGCTGTTGCTGTTGTTGTCATTACTCCCACCCCTTTTCAAGCACACAAGATGAATAAAGAGCTCACTTCTCAAGTGAGACTCAGGGGGACCTCAATGCCTGCTACTCATCTGCAGTTTTACAAAAGCAATTAAAGCTTGCCTGTGATTGTGTGTCTCTTGATCGTCCTTGAAGCTGAGATGCCCTATTGAAAGAGGAAGTCAGTGCCCTTCCCTGCATTCTGGTGCTGTTTATTATGCCAGAAAGGCTGCTCAGGCTCATTACTGCTGCAGAATACAGGCCCCCAGGGGCTGAAGTGGAGCCGGATAATTACCAACAGATCCCTAATACGTATGGACTCAGTGGAAACAAGTCAATCAGGAACACGGCATTTATGTCTAAACTATTCCCATCCATGCTCAGGGGCATGAGAGACTGCTAATGAGGGCCACACTTCTGAGGCTGAGGGCCATGACCATTAGCTCCACCCTGAGAGCTCTGTGCCTAAAAGAATCCTAACAAGTGGATCCTCTCTAAACCTCCTGTGTTAGTCTATTTAGTGTTGCTATAAAGGAATGCCTGAGGCTGGGCGGTTTATAAAGAAAAGAGGTTTATTTGGCTCATGATTCTGGTGGCTGGAAAGTTCAAGACTGGACATCTGCATCTGGTGAGGGCCTCAAGCTGTTTCCACTCATGGCAGAAGGTGAAGGAGAGCTGGCTGTGCAAAGATCATATGATGAAAACAAGATGCTAGAAAGAGAGCAAGGGGAGGTACCAGGCTTCCTTTAACAACCAGCTTTTGCAGGAACTAATTTAGTGAGAACTCACTCATCCCCAAGGTAGGACATCAATCTATTCAGGAGGCATCTGCCCCCATGACACAAACACTTCCCATTAGGCCCCACCTCCAACACTGGGAATAAAATTGCAGCATGAGGTATGGAAGGGATAAATATTCAAATTATAGCATTGTGCCCCTGGACCCCCAAAACTCACATCCTCCTCACATGCAAGATACAATCATTCCATCCCAACAATCCCAAAAGTCATAAATCATTTCAGCATCAACTCAAGAGTCCAAAGTCTCATCTGAGACTTAAGGTAAGCTCCTTCCAGCTGTGATCTTGTAAGGCCAAAAACAAGTTATTCACTTCCAAGTTACAATGGTTGTACAGGCATTGGGCAAATATTCTCATCCCAAAAGGGAGAAATCAGCCAAAAGAAAGGGGTAACAGGCCCAACGCAAATCTAAAACCCAGCAGGGCAGACATTAAATCTTAGAGCTCCAAAGTAATCGCCTTGACTCCATGCCCTGCATCCTCAGCATACCAATACAAGGGGTGGGCTCCCAAGGCTTCAGGCAGCCCCACCCTGATGGCTTTGCTAGGCATAGCCTACATGACTACTTTCATGGATCAAAGTCTAAGCCAGAGGCTTTTCCCAGGTGAGATGAGAAGTGGCCGGTGGCTCTACTATTTTGGGGTCCTGATGGTGGCCCCATCCCTGCAGCTCTGGTGTACAGTCCGGGTGCCCAGGCAGGAACCTGCCTCAGTAGTGGAGTCATCACTAAGAGTTCCCACCTAGGCAATGCCTAGTAGAGCTGCATAAGCCTTGCAATGCCTCGTAGAGCTGCATAACAGATTCCACATAAGCCTTGGTGGCTTCCACCTCTGAAATCTAGGTGGAAGCCACCAAAGCTTATGGCTTGTGCCCTCCAGAGCAGTGGCTCGAGCAGTACCTGGGCTGCTTGGAGCCAAGGCTGAAGAAGAAATGGCCTGGATGCAGGGAGCAACATTCCAAGGTGGCACAGGGCAGTAGTACCCCAGGCCTGTCCCCTGAAAGCATCCTGTCCTCTTAGTCCTCTGGGCCTGTGATAAGAGGGGGAAGCCTCAAAGTTTTCTGAAATGCCTTCAGGACCTTTTCCTCATTGTCTTGGCTATTAGCACCTGGCTCTTTTTTAGTCATGCAAATTTTTTTAGCAACTTGTACTTCCCACCAAACCCTTGAATTTCTCTCCTGAAAATGCTTTCCTTTTCTACCACATGGCCAGGCTGTGAACTTTCCAAATTTGTATGCTCTGCTTCCATTTTAATTATAAAGTCTGCCTTTAGCTCATTCATTTGCTGCTGTAATTCACTGTAAGCTGTTAAAGTAATCATGTCACTCCTTGAGTGCTTGGCTGCTTGGAAATTTCTTCCACCAGGTATGCTTGGTCATCACTCTTAAGCTCAGCCTTCCACAAAGTCTAAGGTCATGGACACAGTGCAGCCAAGTTCTTTGCTACAGTGTAACATGGGTAACCTTTGCTCTAGTTCTCAATAAGTTCTTCATTTCCATGTGCGACCTCTCTGGCATTGCCCATAATTTGCTTTGCTTTGCTTTGCTTTGCTTTTTTTTCTTTCTTTTTTGACAGAGTCTCGCTCTGTCACCCAGGCTGGAGTGCAGTGGTGCAATCTCGGCTCACTGCAAGCTCCGCCTCCTGGGTTCAAGTGATTCTCTTGCCTCAGCCTCCCTAGTAGTTGGGATTACAGGCACCCACCACCAAGCCTGGCTAATTTTTGTATTTTTAGTAGAGGCAGGATTTCACCATGTTGGCCAGGCTTGTCACAAACTTCTGACCTCAAATGATCCACCTACCTCGGCCTCCCAAAGTGCTAGGATTACAGGTATGAGCCACCATGCCCAGCTGTATACTGTCTATATTTCTATTAGCATTTTGGTCACAACCACTTAACCAGTCTCTAGGACGTTCCAAACTTTCCCTTGTCTTCTTCTGAGCCCTCTAAACTCTTCCAGGCTCTCCCCATTACCCAGTTTGAAAGGTACTTCCACAATTTCATGTGTGTTCCCCACTCTTCTTCCCCACTGAGAAGACTCATTTATTTTTTTGAGATGGAGTCTCGCTGTCACCCAGGCTGGAGTGCAGTGGCACGATCTCAGCTCACTGTGGGCTCTGCCCCCCCCCGGGTTCATGCTATTCTCCTGCCTCAGCCTCCCAAGTAGCTGGGACTACAGGCGCCTGCCACCTCACCCGGCTAATTTTTTGTATTTTTAGTAGAGACGGGGTTTCACCATGTTAGCCAGGATGGTCTCGATCTCCTGACCTCTTGATCTGCCTGCCTCGGCCTCCCAAAGTGCTGGGACTACAGGCACGAGCCACTGCGCCCGGCCGAAGACTCAGTTTTCTGTCTTATTCCGTCTAGTGTTGCTATAAAGGAATACCTGAGGCTTAGTAGTTTATAAGGAAAAGAGGTTTCTTTGGCTCACAATTCTAATGGCTGTAAAGTTCAAAACTGGACATCTGTGTATGCTGAGGCTGCATCCATTCATGGTGGAAGGTGAAGGGGAGCTGGCTATGCAGAGATCACATGGCAAGAGAGGAAGCAAGAGAGGGAAGGATCACCAAGTTCCATTTAATAACCAGTATTTGTGGGAACTAATAGAGTGAGAACTCATTCAACCTAAGAGAGGGTATTAATCTATTCATGAGAGATCTGCTTATAAATATGCTCTGCTTCCCTCCATGACCCAAATGCCTCCCATTACACCCCACCTCTAACACTAGGCATAAAATTGCAACATTTGAGGTTTGGAGGGAACAAATATCCAAACCATAATACTTCCCAAGGGCTGATACCAAGGGTGAACTACAAGGCAAACTGGTTTAATTTGATGTCAGAATCTTCTCTGACTTCTGACCTGCCCTCTCTAGTAATAAATCTGCTTCTTTCAGAAATGCCACATTTAAGGGAACTCTGAAGCAAGCCTCCCTCCTTTTCATCTTTCTTTCCCTCTCCTGCTCAGCTCCACTTCTCTTCCTCCATTATTATCACAGGTAGTGTAATTTTTAAAATCAGCAGTGACTTCTGAAAGCCATCTCACCTCCACTCACCAATTCTCTCGGGCTGCAGCATTGCCTTGAGCTAATGTGGCTTCATTTCTAATGTTTGCTATCAGTACGGCATGCAGGCACACAATTAAATCTAAAAACACAGTTGATTAGAATTCCTGACAGATTGCCTCCTCCAGAAGTAAGAATTTCAGTCCACAAATTAGAGGTGCAGTAAATCGAGCCTTCTGGATGGTTCTATAGCTGATCCTTATTGGTATCCCAAGCCCCATTTGCTTTGAGTGGTGAAAACACGATCTCAGCTGCTCAGGGAGGACCCCTACTTGTTCCCCGGGTGGGAGGGGCAAAGGAACCAAGTGCCAGAGGGTGAACTGGTCCCTTATCACTGCCTGCTGCCCACGCTGGCATGCCCCAAGCTACCCTGCTCTCTTGCCTTGGCCATCGTCCATCATCCATGCATAGTCCTTGCTGAGATCTGCTCATCCCCACAGCAAAGTCACACTGGGTCCAGTCAACCAGGTATTTCCAAACCCTTCTCTCCAAATAGCAAACAGTCACATGCTTCTCTGCTGTACCATCCCTCCTCTGGAGCACTAAAACCCACTAACTTGATGGACAGGAAAAGCAATGACATATGGGGATCCTTGGCTAATATCTAAAATGATTGCTCCCCTCCAAGTGTTACAAAGGGAAAATGGAAAATGGTTGAGAGTCAGTCAAGCCATCTGATAAGGAAGACCCCTATCACTTGGGAAGTGTCTGTAACACAGGTATGACAATTTTGGACACAGCTGCTGCTCCTGAAAGGAACATGATAGGGTGAATCAGTAGAGAAGATATTACCTGTGGACATTAGCACCAGGGAGGGAGCTTCATCTGGACTCAGGGCCAGCAGTGGCTTTCTTCATCCCAAAATTCTACAGAAACATAAAGCATACCTATGAGGAGGAGTAAATAATTCCACAGAGGGAATTAAGCAGCAAGACTTTTTTTTCTCACCTAAGGCTGTAGTTGCATGTGTGATTATGTGTCACCCAGGTAACAGTTGAGTCCACCATGCAGTTGAGTCCACCATGTACCTGCCCATCCCCACTCCTGGATTGCAATTTGCTTTTGGAATTAATTATTTGTTTGTCAATACCTACAAATTATGGCAGACCTTGTGCAAACCTCAGAGGCAGCTAGGGCTTCTTGGGCTCCTGTAAATCTATAGCCTGACCTGGAAACTTGAAGGCAGTTCATGCCACCAGGCAGCTCTGTCATTCTTGGCCATCTTACAAAATGCAAGCAGCTTGGAGCATTTATTCTCTGGAACTTTCTCATCCCCACAGTATCCTGAGCTTCTTCCTCATCAACTCTTCCAAATTCAAGCAAAAAAAGAAGTCCATGGCATCTGGTCGTATCTCCCTCCAGCCTCATCACTGACATCCAAAACCTCCTCGACACTCCCCAGCAGCTTGGGTAATTTCAGTGTCTATGGAGAGGACCTGTCCAACAAGAGGCTCCCTGTTCTTTGATGCTGCAACTTTCCCCATTTCAACCAAAGCCATGCCTAGAACTTCTTGGCATCTCTTATAAGTGTTCCATGCCATAAATGCTCAATTCCCCAGCTGCAATATCTTACCCTCCCCACTGCTGCCTCGTGCGTCAATGACATTGAAGCCTTTAGGGTCTTGTCCTTCTCTTTTTCTCAGACTGTGAACTGCTAAGCTTCACATTCTTCCCTAACCAGCCTAGACCCCACAACTCCCCATTTCAACTACTTGCTCGCTACCCACACTCTCAATCCCCTTGTCCCTCTGTCACCAACTGCCTATACCCAGAATTTGTTCAGGCTGCTAAACACCTCTGCAGAAACTCCTATGGCCAATCAGTTCACTGTCACTACAAATACATGATCTCCAGCATCAGCCTCACTCTTGAGCCTATCTATCTAGGGATCATTTAAAGAAGGAAATCAAGCATAAGTATGTTTTGGTTTACTTGTCAAGCTCAATTAAACCTTTTAGCTTCCCTGAAATTTTGATGCTTGTACTTAGGAGAACCTGAGGCAAAGGTAAGATCAACCTTTGACTCTGACCGAAGTAGTAGTAAGGTCCTTTCTTTAACAGATTCTGCAGGTTACAGCACTGCAGCCATTGTTCCATTTAAGAGACCACAATCCTTGCCCCAGGGACAGTTTCAGAGGCTTCTGAAATCAATTCCTGACTATGCTGCAGTGGAGATTGCATTGGAGATTGGTGATAGCATTTCTCACAGACCCCCTCATTGATCACTGTGTCCTTGCACTGTGACCTATGGAAGCAAAGGGTTGTTCATGCATGGAGAAATCAGCATTCAGGGCAGGAGCAGCCCACATGTCCAGAGGTGTTCTAATCTCTACAGTGAGGAGGGGCTAGTCTCTTTGACAACAGATCTCCCTATCTTTAGAAGCTAAGAGCAAATCAACATCTTTGCTCATGAACAAAATTTACTAGCCTGATCCATGGAAGTGGTGCATGAGGCACTCATAAAGAGTCAGCCTTTTCCTAGTAGGATGAGCACGTATAACCCTTTTTATGAAATGCATACAGCTCATTGCATTATAATTCCTTAAACAATGAGACAGCTGTGCTATCTAGATCTAATTTAGCTCTAGCTGTCAGGGCATGAATTAATCCAGCCCTTGGCCCACATGGCTGCCTTGATAAATGCCTGAACTATGGCCTCACCTTGGTGGCCTGTGTGGCCTGAGTGATGGGGCTCACTTGGCTTGTCTGCTTCTAGAACTCACACTGTGATGTGGTCACTCACCCATCTCCCTGTCAGCAAATCCCAGGCACAGGAAATGGGAAATGAATAGCATGGGAGAGCTCAATCTGGTGCAGTTAATGGGAATTATACTAATTGATAACCCAGACCAGAGTTCCAGCCATACTCCTATTTTCCATTTGGAACTAAATGAGATAACAAAATATAAAGGATTTAAAACAGGGCCTGGGACATAGCAAATTCTCAGCAATTGCTAGTTGGGCAATAAAATTAGACAGTGTAGTGTGGTGGCTCAAAGCATGGACTCTGGAGCTAGATTCTTTTGCTTAAAATCCAGCTCTATGGCTTGTAAACTGTATGACTTTGGTCTAGTTACTTAGTGTCTTGTGGCTCAGTTTCTCTTCCTTGAAATGGGAATAATAATAGTTACCAACCCATTAGCTTGTTGTGGACAGCACTTAGCACATAGAAAGCACTTGATAAGTGATAGCTACTTTTATTAACTAACTGATAGAAATGAAGGGCCTTTTGGAGACTGTCTCATTGTCTTCCATTTTTTTTTCCCTATTATTTTATCCCCGCCCACCTTGCAATACCCCAACCCAGCATCAACGTACCCTCTGCTGTCTCTGCTGGGGCACTGGGGAAACATTTTCATACCTCTTTAGCTTGGCCTCTGTGATGGATTAGAAATGAATACAAATTCTTTGAAACATCTCCCTTTGGAAGGTAGAGCTTAATGCCCTGGCCTATAAATCTGGAATGATCTTAATGACTTGCTTAGCCAATAGAATGTGGCAAAAGTGATGTTATGAGACTTTCAGGACTAGGTCAAAAGCAGCCTTTCAGCTTCCGCTTGGATCTTGCAGAAGGCTTGCTCTTGGGATGGACTTTCTCAGAAACCAGCCTCTAGGCTGCGAGAAGCCCAAGCCACATGAAGAAGCCATGCACAGGCAGCCACAGAACCAGAGCCAAATTCCCAAGTGTCACTCAGCATCAACTGCCAGACATACAAGTGAGCCATTTTTTATATCTGGCCCAGTCGAGCCTTCACATGACAGCAACCCAGCTGCCACCTACCTACAACTGCACAAGAGACCCTAAGTAAAAACCACCTGGCTGAGCCAAATCAACCCACAGAAACTTGACAGATCATACTAAATAGATGTATCAGCCATTATGTTTTTGGATGGTTCATTACAGCAGAAATAAATAACCAGAACAGTGTCCAACCTGAAAGAGGTTTTCAGTACCCCTGGATGTCCTCCCACCTGTCTTTGCACCATTCCTTCCTCCTCATCTGAACCTTCACCCCTCGCCACCTGCCCCTCCCTTTGCAGCAGTGCATCTCACGGTACAGATTAGAGTTTAGCCTGCAGAAAAGGCAGGGAGAGGAGGATTGCTTAGAATGCCCATGGGGCATTAAGGGTTGCAAATCTCTCAGAAATCCAACAGCAGGAATCACTCCAGCCAAGTGGATGAGGCTGGGAAATGGCAGGTGAACAGAATTCAAGGAAGTTCGAAGTATTTCTCTTCCCCTGCTGTCATCCACCATACATTCCAAAAATACTTGCCAAGTGCCCATTCAGGTTTGCTCTCAACTCAACCCTCCAATATGTGCCTCTCTTGGCTCTTCACATCTTCTGATGCTTCCCACCAGTGTCCACATCATCTACACTTTATCTTTAGTTTACATTATAAATCCTGTTGCTCCACAACTGCCCCTTGTTCATGACACACACTTTCTCCCTTGCAGGGGCCCTATTCAATGTGATGACCTCTCAAAATGCAATTTGGCCACTTCAGCTTCAGCTTAATGTCCCAGGCCAAATTCCTGAAAGCAAGAACTGATGGGCCACCCCTTGGGCCAAGTGTCTATCTCTGGTCCGATCAGCATTCAGAAAAACACACGTGGTTGTGGGGTGTTTCCTAATAGGAAGGGCGGACAGAGTGACAAGGCAGGTGCTTGGAAAGCATAATGACTCAGTGATTCTTGGCACAACCAACTTCCCATCTCAGGTTTTTTTTGTTTCCTCCTGTGTAGAATGAAATTGTTCCATCAAGTGGGTGGAAGGAGGGATTGCACCTGGTAGATGTTCCAGAATCTAAAAGTAGTTGAAGCCTGTAAAGTTTGGGAAAGAATACCTGCTTTATTTTTCAATCCTCAAGCAACCCTACCCAGTAGCAACTGGTATTATCTTCATTTTACAGTTGGGGAAACTGAGGTGTGGCAAGATTAAGTGGCACATTCAACTCACACAGCCAGTAAGTGACTCAGCTGGGACCCAGACACAAATCTGCTTGCCATCAAAGCCTGTGTTCTTATTCATTCCCTGTACACCCTTTATCTATGCCACAGTCTGTGTGCCCAGGAGGAAAAAAATGATATAAAATGAAAAGGGTTGAGAAATACTAGAACAGTCTGTAATATTTCTTTCAGCACTCCATCTTCCTCTCTTATGCTGTAATATTTTGTTCTGTTAAGCATTTCAGGACACCAGCGGCCTGGTAAGTAATAATGAGCTGGATGTAAACCAAAGGCCTCAAGGAGAGATGACTGCTCACAATGACATCTCCCCCCATGGGACAGTTTCACGATATCACATAACACAAGGGTGGGGAGATGCCTCCATCCCTTTCTATTAATACCATTCAGTGGAAATTTTAAAGAAACAGGACTTCATCAGCTGCGTGGGTGGAAAACTGGCCAAAGGACTTAGTCTCTGTAACCCTGAGCGCCCTCCAAGGCTGTGCATTCAGAGCATGTCAGGCCAATGAGCACCCCCATTAGCTGAGCAGCCCCTCTAATTAGCATAGCCCCTGAGGAAGGAGGGCAGAGGCCTGGGTCAATGCAGAGAGGGTCCTGCCCTCCCTGTGGATCATGGTCTGGAGACCAGGTTTCACAGGGTCTCCAATGTGCATTTGAATGTCTTGCTCTGTGCTGTCACTCCCTGGCTTGAATACAGATTAACCCTGCTGAAAGACAGCAGCTGCTGCAGGGAGGGGGCTGACTGGAGCCTAATGTCTGCCAGAAGATGGAGAATTCCTCCACCCAGGGGCTCTCAGCTGGGGCTCCCTGAAACTAGAACACACTTAAGATATCAGTAACAGGGGATGGCACCCAAAACGAGGGAGGAGCGCATGCTTATGACACTTAGCATTCAATAATTTCCAGAAAAACTTTGTAGAGGTCTTTACATTTACCAATTTTGTTCAAGCAGTTTTTGTTTTAATTACACATGGCATAGGTGGTGGAAATCATCATCTTTCATGATAGCTGTGCTCATGTATAGCAGTTACTATATCCCAGGCACCATTCTGAAAATTCTTAAAATATTAACTCATTTACTGTGTACATGAATGCTGTAAATTACATAATCCATTTTTGTCATTATTTCACAGGTGAGGAAACTAAGACACAGGCAGGTTAAAGAACTTTTCTTTCAGGCTAAACAATTAAATGATGAGGCTTGGATTTAAACCTAAACAAGGGTGCATTGCGGTTTTATCAGTTAGCTTCTGCTATGTAACAAACATCCCAAAACTTAAGGGTTTAAAATGGCATGTTTATTATTCTTAATGATTATGTAAGTGACATGGTTCTTTTGGTCTGGGTCATCTCAGCTGATCTCTTTGGTCAGCTGGCAGCTCTACCAGGGCTGGATGGTCTAGGACGGCCTCATCCATGTGTTTGGTGGGTTGGCTTCAGGTTGGCTAGGGTGCTGGGAATGACTTGGCTGTGTGTCCCTCATCACCCAACAGGCTGTCCTGGATTTATTCACATACGGGTGTCACAGGGTCCTAAGATGAACAAGAGAGGGAAGATTCTCAATAAGCAAGTGCTTTTAGAGCCTCTGCTTGTGTCATATTTGCCAATGGTCCATGGGGCAAAGCAAGTTACCAGGCCAGCCCTGAGTCAGTGTGGGAGGGGAATACCCAAGGAATAAATAGTGTCTATTTTTACGATCTCCACAATAGTCTGAAATCTGAACCATTCATTTGTCTGCCTCATAGGCTTCTAATAGTCTTAACCCAATTTTGGTTCTCAGCGGAGCCCAGAGCAGGAATAATTGAGAGAAAAATTTCAACTATTTTCCGAAAGGGGTCACATACTCCTCACCCATGCCCAAGTCATTCGTGCCTTTCTTCCATTGCCCCCACCTAATTGTCATCCCCGCCACCACCACCACCATTGTGCGGAAACAAAATCTGATTAAGTGCTCATGGATGGAAAAGAAAATGGATTGTGATTCAGGGAATTTGAATTTAGTTACTCGAAACTAGCTGTGGGACCTCGGGCAGGTCACCTCGATTACTCTGACCCTCAATGATTTTTACTTTTTCAATGTAATAGCCCCAATTTTTCTATAAACATGAATTCAGTTCCCACTGTGTACTAGGCATTGCACTGAACAACACAGATACCATTGTGAAAACAGACACAGTCCTTGACTTTATGAAGCATATAGCATAATGGGATAAACAGATGTTTATCAAATAATCTCCATAATGGCATATAATTACAGACTGAGATAAGTGGTCTGAAGGACAAGAGCCCAATTCTATGAGAAGTTACTACAAAGGAGTCTGGTGTAGACCATGAGAGAGGAGCATGAAGGAAAGTCCCCGTCAAGTGAAGGACAGTTGAGATGAAATTAACTGGGAGGACCAAGGCAGATGACATTGAACCCAGAGTTATTGGGAGAAAATTCTCCATAGATCTCTTGTATTTCTGCATGTTTCGAAAGCAGAGGGCCTGTCTGCCTTTGTCTTGGGCTATATTTTCAAGGATATTTGGAAAACAACCTTGAAAGATAGAGATGATATCTTCCTCTACAGTGATGGGTAGGCATGCTCACTGCCCAGTGTAGAAGATTCAGTTTCCAGCTGGGTATGGTGGCTCATGCCTGTAATCCCAGAGCTTTGGGAGGCCAAGGTGGGAGGATTGCCTGAGGCCAGGAGTTCAAGACCAGCCAGGGAAACATAATGAGACCCCGTCTCTAACAAAACAAATTTTTTTCCAATCAACTGGGCATGTACCTGTAGTCCTAGCTACTCATGAAGCAGAGGCAGGAGAATTGCTTGAGTCCAGGAGTTTGAGGTTACAATGAGCTATGATTACATCTACTGCACTCTAGCCTGGGCAACAGGGCAAGACCCTGTCTCTAAAAAAAAAAAAAAAGAAAAAAGAAAAAAAAAGAAAAAGATTCAGGTTCCCTTTTCACATCACACTTTTGGAACTGGGGCTTAGAGAACCAACACAAAAATGATGATATTCTGGATTCTGCTATTGCTATGAGTCATAAACTATCCTTTGTCTCTGACCCAGGTGTCTCATGTCTTTTGCAGCATCCTTGAAGTTATGGCCAACTAACAGGTTAGCTTGCAAGGAAGCTAAAACTCAGATCCTTCACAGTTCTTAATATTTTCAGGTTCCCTGAAAAAAGTGACATACAAACTGGAGCTTAAAGGATGAATAAAGCAGGAGGACAGAGGGAAGGAAAGGAATTTTAGGCAGAGAATATATGCAAAGACTTGGAGGTGATGAAAAGCAAGGACACACCAAACAAAATTTGCTCAGTCTAGCAGGACTACAGAACCTGGTGATGAAATGGAAAGAGATGAAGCCAGAGGGGTGGGAAGGAGTGGGAAGATGGTGTTTAGGTATGTTAAGCAGGGAGACTTTATCCTGAAGGCAAGTGTAAACCACTGAAGGCTATTTGGGGCAGACTGGACTCAAAAGACATTGAGGGAAATTTTGAATGCCCTCTACCACCTTAGCCTCCAGAACATTTTCTACCTCAATACTGCCCATGAAATAGCCTTGGTTGCAACTTAGGTTGGCATAGCAACTGATGATGTGGTTGTTTTCACCACAGCTTTATTTTTATTATCTCTATATTGTCAAGCTGGCCCTAAGTGTCTGGACAATCACAGAGCACTGGATGTGGGGAAGAGAGCTAGAAAGCCAGCCTCCCTCTGGCTGAAGAGTGAACAGCAAAAAGAGGTAATTTCTTTTACAAGACTGAGACCACTAACCAGTCCTCTGTGGCCTGACTAGTGACTACTTGTTTAAGCCAGTCAGGCCAGGCAAAATAACCTCTTCCCTGCAACTTATGCAATACATAGTGAGAGATATTACACTTGGGGCTTCAGAAAGAACTAATTTCTCTTATTTGAGTGTATGTGGGATATACAGTATATTTGAGTGTAGAGTCAGACCACTTGGGTTTAAATCCTGGCTTTATGACTTCAGGTAAATGAATTAATCGCGCTGTGCCTCAGTGTCCCTACCTGAGAAATGGGACCTAGTTCAACAGGCTGCCATGAAGATTACACATTAAGTGTTCAGAACACTGTGTGGCACCTTATATGCATTCAAGAAATATTGACTATCATTATTAGTGTTTATTTGAAATATATCTCCTCACAACCTCTATCGTTCAAAAACTTCAAATATTTACATCATTCCCAATAGAGTAGGTATCATGCAGCAAATTAAACACCTGTAGCTACTGCATCATTTTCAAAGAAACTCCCTCTTAGAGTCCGTGGGAATCACTAAGCTTTGCTATTCAAAACCTGCCAAAATACCATTGAATGGCCCTACTTCAACACAATTTGTTGATGGCTCCCAAGTACTTACAAAGTTTTCTTCCTGAGGGAGACCTGGGGCTTGTAGATTATGGGGCTCATCCACAATTGCTGGTGCAACCCAGAGTCTTTAAACTGGGGAAGATCCACAGAACATGAAAAGCAATAAACTATTGTTGTTTTAACCCACTGTTTCAAAGTGGTTAGTCAGGAAGACACAACTGATAGAGGGAACAGACAGATTCCTCGCGACGCCTCCAGAGATTCTGACTCATGAAGTCTGGGGTAGGGCCTGGGTAGCTACTGTTAACTTATCTCCCCAGGTGATTCTAATTTACTTGGTTTCCATCAGGGTTCCCCCCAACCCTTCCTGATGATAAGAATCACCTGGAGATTCCTAGACCCTCACCCAGGCCTTCTGAACCAGAAAGTCCAGTGGGGAGCTCTGGGAATTGAGAGACTGAATATACAGGTGGACAAAGGCTAGACCATAATAAAAATTGAATTCTGACCCATTCTCTGTAGCAAACTCTCCAGGAAGCCAAACAACAACTCCTGTAGCCATCGGCTCAGACGAACCAGGACTTAATCAATAACTGACAGTTTTCCTAGTTCTTTTTATTTATTATTATTTTTTGTAAAGATGGGAGTCTTACTATGTTGCCCATTCTGGCCTCAAACTCCTGGGCTCAAGCGATCCTCCCACCTCAGCCTCCCAAAGTGTTGAGAACTCAAGCTCGAGCCACTGCACCTGGCCCAATTTCCTTAATTCTTGGCCTTGCTTCCAATTTAAGACCAACCAGAGAAAGTCAAACATGCCCCCTAACAAATCACATAGGATTTCCTGCCCCTAGTTAACTTGCCTCTAGCTTCCTCTGGCCAGCAGCCTCCACTCAGGGCACACCTGAAGTCTCCCCTGCTTCCCGCCTCTACAGCCTCCCCACTCCTCTGCCTACCTTTGAGCCTCTACCAAACAAAAGTGAGGATGGCTGACTCCCTTGCTGGAGCAAGCCCCAAATAAATATCCTTTGCTTGTTCTCATTTAGGTGGTCTTTTAAAAATTACAACTGAATTTATATATTTGATAAAAACAAGTGATTCTCTTATCATATGGAAAATTTGGAAAACACTCTCCCAGACCCTTGCTGCTCAAAATGTGATTCCCAGAACAACAGCAGCAGCATTGAAATGTAGAATCTCAGTCCCCTCCCCAGACTTACTGATTTTTAACAAGAACCCCCAGGTGATCCTCCAGCACACCAAAGTGTAAAAAGCATTAACCAGGAGCATTGATCAAGTCAGTGGGTCTCAACCCTGGGTGCACATTAGAATCCTCTGGGCCTGATTAATTGGTCCTGGGTAGGACTTACACATCAGTGGTCGTAAAAGCTCTCCGGTTGATTCTTATGTGCAGCCGGTGCTGAGAATCATAGATGTAGGACAAGGGTTCCCACACTTTGGGCTATGTCAGAATCATCTGGAGAACTCACCAAGTACACAGAGGTCCTGACTTGATAAAAGAGGATGCGCCTGGGCCTTGTTTATCTTACCAAGTTCCCAGGTGATTCTGAAACTGACCAAAGTATGAAAACTGATCTAGGAGAAGTGCTCTAAGGGAAAGAATCCCATGGTGACCTCCTTGGAACTCCAAGGAGGGTGAGACGGTTCTTGTTTCTTCCCAATATCTTCTCCTTCCTCAATTCGACTTGGCCAGCACCATGGCTCATAAAGTTTATGGAATGAAAGAACTCAGAACTGGAGGGAACTGAAGGCATCTTCAAGTACAGAAAACAGGGATTTGTCAGCCAAATTCAGCTCATGACTGTGCATTTTTTTTAATTAGATAGTTTTATGGTTTTTAAGGTTTAAATCCATTGCCAACACTTTTTTTTTTTTTGGAGACAGAGTCTCACTCTGTCGCCCAGGCTGTAGTGCAGTGGCACGATCTCGGCTCACTGCAATTTATGCCTCCCGGGTTCAAGCGATTCTCCTGCCTCAGTATCCCGAGTAGTTGAGACTATAGGTGCATGCCACCACACCCGGCTTATTTTTTATATTAGTAGAGATGGGGTTTCACCATGTCAGCCAGGATGGTTTCAATCTCCTGACCTCATGATCCTCCTGCCTCAGCCTCCCAAAGTGCTGGGATTACAGGCATGAGCCACCACGCCCGGCCACCAACATTTTTTAAAAGGAGATTGAATTTTCAGATTCTTCTGGAAGATCAAAGACCTAGCAATAGTAGACTACATTCCTACATGACTGCAATTGGCCAGAACAGCCCCTTAAAATGCAGCATGTGCTCACCAGTTTGCCACCGTCCCTGCCTGATCCACATCACTCATTTTTGTTACCCGCTTGGCCCTGCGAGCATCTAATTTGGAGTCTTTCTTTATATAGAGAGAGTCCAACCTCGCCTTTTGTGGAAGAAAAAACCGAGCCCTATACTCCAGTGGAAGCTGTTTGTCCAACGTCCCTCACTTATGGCCAGAGCTGAGACGGGTCAAAATTCTGACTGCTTTTTGCTTGTAGGGGGTTGGGGATTCTGTTGGGTTAGTGTCTCCCTTCCTGAGATCCCAGCCAGAGGCCAAAGACCTAGAGATCCTCAGTTCCCACTTAGAATCCAGGGCAAAGCTCTCTGAAGCACTTTGCTCTTGGCTTTTGGGCTGTCACCTACTAAGACACACCTATGCAGCAATTTACTTAGCCTCTCTACGTGTCAACAAACTCATCTACACAATGAGAGTAACAACAGTGCCTGATCTATAGGGTTGTTTTGAGGGTTAAATTACACTGTGTTTGTAAACCATTATTCTGGCACTTGAGACATAGGAAGGGCTCCATAAGTGAACGTTAAATAACATTAATGATTTTTTTTCAACATATGTGCTCATCTGAGAGCACCACCACTGTCCAGCTTTAAAATGGTCTTCAGTTTCTGCCTGTCTCAAACTGACTCAGAAAGCAGTGTGTTGAGAGAGCCACCTATTGGAGAATAGCATTAGGCAAAGCTCTTAAAATGTGCTAAGCCTCAGCTTTTTGTCATCTGTAAAGTAGGGATAATAATAGCACTTACTCCTTAGAGTTGCCGTGAAGTTTAAATGAGATAATGCATGTAACAGCGTTGCTTATCAAGTGCCTAGCTCCCAATCAATAACCTTGGGGTTTTGACTCCTTGAAGCAGAGTCACCACCTAGTGGCATTAAGAGAGTAAGTAACTCCAGGCTTTGCAGGGCATAAGAGAAAACCATCATTCTCAGCAAACTATCGCAAGGATAAAAAACCAAACACCGCATGTTCTCACTCATAGGTGGGAATTGAACAATGAGAACACATGGACACAGGAAGGGAAACATCACACACCGGGGACTGTTGTGGGGTGGGGGGAGGGGGAGGGATAGCATTAGGAGATATACTTAATGCTAAATGATGAGTTAATGGGTGCAGCACACCAACATGGCACATGTATACATATGTAACAAACCTGCACGTTGTGCACATGTACCCTAAAACTTAAAGTATAATAATAAAAAAAAAGAATGGCAAAAATACAGCCCCCCATGAGTGGTGGGTACAGAGGTCTGATTTGACTGTGGAAGTCAAATTCAGGAAGTGACTGGCCCCTCCATGAGCTTAGGAGTTGTCCCCAAGTTCATCCCCGGACCACTCTCTGCCATTGCACTCCATTCTCCATGAACACCCTGGCTTTTCAGCTTGTTTGGGAATTCTCCTCTTGACCTTGGAGTCTGGAATGAACTTCCTGGCACCTGGGTTTGCTTCTTGGTTGTCTCAGTCATTGAGGCTGCTATCACAGAGCACCATAGACTGGGTGGCTTAAACAACAAAGTTCTTGAAGCTGGAAGTCTGAGATTAGGGTGCCAGCATGTTGGGTTCTTGGTGAAGGCTCTCTTCCTGGTTATGACCTTACAGGGTCTTTCCTTGGTGAGTGCAAGGAGACAGAGGGACAAGGGAGGAAGTGGGAGGGGAGGGAGGGGGAAGGAGAGAATGGAGAGATGGAGAGATGGAGGCAAGGAAGTGGAATAAGAAGGGGCAGAAGGAAGGTGAGGGGGAGATATCTTCTGTGTCTTTTAAATTTTTTTCATTTTTGTGGGTACATAGCAGCTGTATATATTTATGGGGTACATGAGATGTTTTGGGATAGGCATGCAATGTGCAATAATCACATAACAGAAAATGGGGAATCCATCCCCTTGAGCATTTATCCTTTTTGTTACAAACAATCCAATTATACTCATGGTTATTTTTAAACGTGCAGTTAAATTATTTTGACTATAGTCACCCTGTTGCGCTATCACATACTAGGTATTAATAATCACAGCATGGAAAATGGGGTATTCATCCCCTCAAACATGTATCCTTTGTGATTACAAACAATCCAATTATACTCTTTTAGTTATTTTAAAATGCAAAGTTAAATTATTATTGTGTGCCTTCCTCTTTTAATAAGAACCCTAATCTCACCATGAGGGCTCCACTCTCATGACCTAATCTAACCCTAATCACCTCCTGAAGCTTGGGAGACATGGTATTTAACCATGTTCAAATACCATCACACTGGAGGTTAGAGTTTCAACATATTAATTTTGGGGGGTATGAAAACATTCCATCCATAACAATGGTTACTTGGCTTACTGTTTGACCACTAGCTTGGTTAAGGTGGCCGGTTTCTGGACCCAACTATTTAGCTCATGGGTAGACCCGAATTTGACTGTGTGCCATTCTCATGGCTGAAGCCAGCTGGTCTTCCCTAGCATGGATAAGAGCTGCTCTTCTCCACTTCACAATGTGGCCAGCTAGAGATGCTCTTGCCCTTCCATAAGAGCCCTGGAAACTGCCCCTGTCCTGCCCAGAAAAACCCAAACCACAGTAAGGTGGCATCATCTACTCACTGTAAGCCACTCATCAGTCTACAAAAGTCCCCTGTGCTGGTTTCTAACAAGGTCACTTGAGGCTCCCCTTCTCTTCCACTATCCTCACCCTGTTTCTTACTTCTCCCCAAGCAGAAGCCATCATCAAGAGCAAGATATTCTTTCTGCAAAGAGAAAGAGTGCTGTTAGGATGAGTTGAGTTTGAGGATATCTTATTTTTTCCCACCATCCAAAAAACAGACAGGGAGAGCCATGCCATGTGAATGGTGCCTCTCTCCACCCTTTCTCTTCCTCCCAGTTTCTTTATTAAGACAGATAGAGGGGACTATACCCACGAAGAAGAAAACAGAAATTCATTCATTTCTTTCTTTCAATAAATATATAATAATCACCTACTATGAGCCAGGAACTGTTCTAGCTGCTAGAGATCCAGCTGAGAACAAAACAGACAAACATCCATCATCCCTGGACCTGAATTTCAAAGCAGAGATGGACAACAAATCAGATAAATAATGAAAACACATAGTGTGTTAGTGATAGGTGCTAAGGAAGAAAAAAACCAGGGAAATGAGAAGGTGACATTTGGATACAGACCTGGAAGTGGCAAAGGAGCCAAACATATGGATATTTGGGAGAAGAACATTCCAGGTAGAGGAAAGAGCAAGTGCAAAGCCCTGAGATGAGACTGTGGGTTGTTCCAGGAGCAATAAGGAGGCCATTGTGTCTGGGGTGAGTCAGGGTAGAACTGTGGTCAAAGGGGGACTGCATGGGCTGGAAGGTGAAGGTCTTGTCACCCTCTGAAATGGGAAGCACTGGGGAGATGATGAACAGAGGAGTGACATGATTAAATTAAGCAAAATTAATTTAAATTAATCTAAATGTTTAATTTAGATTAATTATGCTTAATTTAACTGGAGCCAGAGTGACAGGGGTCACTCTGCTTGCTCTGTGGAGAATGAATTGAAGGGAGCAAGAATGAAGCAAAAAGTCCACTTAGGAGGCAAAAGGTGATGGTGGCTTAGACAAGAGAGGATGCAGTGGAGAAGGTTAGAAGTGGTAGGGATCTGAAAATGACTTTGGCAATGAGTCTTACAGAGGAGTCAACACTTCTCATGCGCAGTGCTTACTACTGGTGCAATTAATTGCACAATCATTTGTTTTCTATCCATTTCATCTGACAGACTGTGATCTCTTTGTTGTCAGGAACCATGCCTGTCTTTTTGATTCTGTGTCTCAGAGCCCAGCACAGTGCCTGACACTGAGTGGGTACTCAATGAATGGATGGATGGGTAGATAGGCAGATGAGTAGATGGACAGATGGATGAATGGATAGCTAGATGTGTGGATGCATGCATGGAAGGATGAATGAGTGGATGCATGGATGGATGGATGGATGGATGGATGGATGGATGGATGGATGCATGGATGGATGGATGCATGGATGGATGCATGGATGGATGGATGGATGCATGGATGGATGGATGGATGGATAGATGCATGGATAGATGGATGGATGCATGGATAGATGGATGGATAGATGAGTGGATGGATGGACGGATGGGTGGATGGATGGATGGATGGATGGATGGATGGACGGACGAATGACAAGGATGGTTTCCCCACTTCCCCTTGTTCAAACTATAGAGTTTTGAGTAGTCCATTTTAGAACAATTCATGGAGCTCACCACCGACATAAGGATATTCCAGCAATGCCCCAACTTAAAAAAAAAAAAGAAGAAATAAATAAATAAATGTTGTGGGCATAGCTGAAGCCCTAAGGAGGCAAGGAGCCTCATCAGATGCCTGGGAGAAGCTAGAACTGGAGCCTCTCTTCCTCTTTAGTCATCCCAACTGAGGTGAGAGACATTCTAAAAACTGAGATTTGGGCACTCAGGGGAATTTTTAGTTTGTGTGAAGCATCTGCTCACTTAGAGCTTGGTGCATGGATCTTTTTGTAAGCACGTTTTACATAACCTTGCATAAATAGGACTCTCGGGACCATACCTGTCCCATATATAGTAAGTATTCCCAGGAGACCAGGGAGAAGGGCTGCCAACCAGGGGGAAATACCTGAAGGGCTTGCTGTCTGGGTGACATTGAGAAAAGTTTGTGCCTCATGTGGGTGTTATATTCAAAAACTTATCCAAGGACACCTTCCTCCTCCACTGCCCCAGGAAACAACCTTTTTATTGTTAAATGCCCAGGCTCCCAGGGGACACCAAGCCCTGCCCAGACTGTTTTCCTGGCTGTACCTTTCCTATAGCCACAAGGAGACTGGAGAAAGAAAGTTTATCAAAAATAAAACCCACTTTGACTACTTCAGCAGACGATGTCCCAGGAATGGTTAGTCATGCAATTCCAAGTCTGGATTTAGTCTGGCCACAAAAGCTTCTTCTATTCCGCACAGTCATTAGCAACCCTGAAATCAATAGACTGCCCATGCCAGCCCTAAGAAATGCAAAAACAGTCATAGCCACAGCTCTAGTTAAGCTACCGTGGTGTTTTAGGAGCTCACAGAGGGAGGCGGTGGGGAGAGCGGCAATCAAATGATTGGATATTTTCCCCTTTATCATAAAGATATTTGAATTGCAGTTTAAGTGGCTGTGAGGGTCTTTAATCTCTCTTTCTGTTTCTGTCCCTCTCTGTCTCTCTCTGCCTCTCTCTCTCTCTCACACACACACACACACACACACACACACACACACACACTTAGTCTGTATATCTCTTTTGCTTTTATATGTTGCATTGGCAAGCATATACAATGATAATGGTGCCTGAGACTGTTAGCCAAAGAGAGAAAAAAAGTCTGCATGAGGAAAAAACAAAAGATTCATAGCTGGATCAAAAGTTCAAGGGGGTATCTTAAGTTATGGTTAAGATGCAGCAACAAGAAGTAATTGCCTGCTTGCCATACCAAAAAAAGACAAAAATGCTTACTTTCAAAATGGAGAAATCAGCCCATATATTTTAATTTGCCTGTAAAAAAAATTTAACAAAACAAAAACCTCTCATAGAAATCTACAAAGAAATATACAAATAAGTAAATACTTTCATTTATAAAAATATGTTTTAAATGAGTATTTATTGGTACCAAATATGTTATATATTGTTAAGGGAAGAAATGAAATAAAACAACATGAGACTTTCGTTTCTAATAATCTAATAGGTTGGACATCTTGGGAAAACCCCTGGCACAAAACATGTAGAAATTCTTCTAAATGAATATATGAACAGCATCCAAATAGCATAAATTCCCAGATGTCAAAATATGAAGTGGGAGCTGAAAAGCAGAGTGACAAGTTGACACTGAGGCTATAGCAGGCCTAGAGGCATTTGCCAATCTCAGTAATCAAGAGGTTTTTTACAGTTTTACAGATTTTAGCAGTCAGATGAAGACAAATGACCAAAGTCCTTGACCTGCCCATGGTAGGAATATACCCACACAAGGTCAGGACCCTCAAAGGGCTATTCTTTTGATGAGAGGTTTGCCTAGAAAATAATTCACCCACTGGCAAAGGAATAAGACTGAGGACACCTGTTGAAATCAGTTCAATTCAAAAGGAAAAATATTTCCCTGACAGTTCTTTACCATAGAGTCATTCTCATGTGGATCTGAGATTCAAATTATGCTTTCCACATGGCCTGGAAAACCCCAGCAGAAAAATTAGAAGAGTAAGTCCACACTGGTAGCCCTTCAGAGTACCTAGAAGAAAAAAGTGCAAATTCTCCCTGGAGGTACCCACCCTTAACCCAGGTCACCCAGGAATCCACAGATAATACCTTACTAAACATTAGCTCAATAGCAAAAACTAAAAAATACACAAAAGAATAACCATGAATGAAAATAAGTAGAAACAATGAAGAACACAAGAACTTTAGACCCCAAAGAACTCTGCAATGTAGAATTATCAAGTTCAGAGTATGAAATATATATTTTTAAAAAGGAGAAAAAATGAAATATTCAAAAACAGAGGTAAGAGTGAAAAATAATCAAATATAACTCTTGGAAATTAAAAATAATTTAAATTAAAAACCCAGTGAACAAATAAACCAAAAGACTGTAAACAAATGAAGAGAAAATAATGGCCTAGAAAATAGACCTGAATAAACTACCTAGAATATTGCACAAAGAGATAAAGAATATAAAATTATGGAGTGGTTAAGAGACACTGATTCTAGAATACGTATTTAATCATATTGCCTAAATAAGGGAATATAATGAAGAAAAACAACCCTTGCAGAGAGAATAAATGAGGATTTTCCAAACTGACAAAGAAATTAACCCTCGGACTCAGAAAGCATACAAATACAAACTGTTTTTTTTTTAAATTCACACCTGCGCACATTGCAATGAAATTGAAAAATACTCAAACTACTCCCCATTGCCAAAGAAAAAGATATTAAAGCCAGCCGAAATTAAAGACAAAGCAATGGAGTTTGAGTAGCAGAAGACTTTCAATAGCAGCAATGGAAAATTGAAGATAATAGAATGAGATCTTAAATGTGCTGAAAGAAAATAGCTGTCAACTTAGAATTGTATACCTAGCTAAACTATCATTCTCTAACAGGAACTAAATAATGCCATTGAAGAAAAATAAAATATCTTCATTAGGAAATTAAAGGAAGTATTTTAGGAAGAAAGAATGTGAATCCCAAAAGAAAGGACCAAATTAAACAAGGAAATCCACAAACAAGTATCAGGTTTGTGGATTTAGTGGTCTTATGTAAGTTTGGTCAAAATCATAACAGCATAAGACATCTCAATGGTGTCATAAAGTGGAGATGAACACTTGCTCCTTTTGCAGATGCTAATGCATGCAAAAGTTCCCCTCTGATACATGCTGGTCCAGAAAATCTTTTGCCATCAGAACTTTAGAAAGTTTTTTTCTGACTATGTTATACAGTTCCTTCCATTGCTCCTAGGGTACTCTTCCCTCTGTATGAACTCAATCTTAAACTTTATCCTCCCTCAAAGCTACAGAACTGTTAATTTTCCAGACAACCCTTCAAATCTACACGCCAGTTTCCTACTCAACTGATTGCAATTCTGAATAAATCAGCCTGATATCTAAAATGAGTAGAAAGTGGGTTCAAGTAATCTGTTTTGTATTAATCACAATTTCTTTTGCCTTATGAAGACATTTGCCAAGAGAAAAGTAAGACTGTTGGCAGCTTTTATTAATTTTTCCCCATTGGTCTTTGATTTCATGAATAGAATTGCTAAAGATCAAAGAACTTGAGATAAATTTTCCAGTAATAAGTCATCTAAACGGTCTGTATCTTTATTTCACTAGAGGAACAAGAAAAATTAAGACAAGTTTGGGGACAGATCAAATCTCTCTCCATTTTTTTAAAAAACAAGGTTGTATTACAGCCAAGTCCTCTAACTTAGACATTGGTAACTTGATACTCTTCTCCATGAATTGAGTCCATGTCATTCTGCTATAAAAAATAGGAAGAGAAGCATATGCTCATATGCTGAGGACATGGTTGTAATACCCTATACCAAGATTTACTGCCATGAATCTCATGAGACAAGTAACTCTGGTGCTTAACTGCAATAAAAAGAGATAGCTTGATGTCAGTCTTGTAAACCTGAAAATTATTGTCTTGGTAGACATTCCCCAAATTCATTAGATCAATATTAAATGACTCTCTACAGCAAGTTAACATGTTTTAGTACCTGTGAATATTTTGCTGCTAACTCAACCTGGCATACTCATAGGGAGATAGTGTTTGTTAAAGTCAAATGTTTTTTGGAAACATGACTGAGGTTTTTCTAGTCCATGCAAAAATAACAGTATGAACAAATTCATAAAGGTGAGAAAACATGGCTTGTTCAAGAACTGTGAATATTGCTACTAAATGAATTTTAGGGTGGAAAGCAGTATATTAAATTGGAGAAATAAGTAGGAATCCATTCACAAAGACTGTATTAAGCCATGCTGACAAATTGGAACTTTATCTAATAACTAGATTTTCCACCCAAAGGGTTTTGCTCTGGGAAGCAGCATAAAAACACTGCATGCCAGAAAGTATGGAATGTATCCAATGCAGTATACAAGGTAAATTTATAGCCTTAAATAATACTAATGTTTAAAGAGAAGAAAAAACATTTCATCCTAGAATTTCGAAAGAGAAAAATAATTATGCTCAAACAAAAATAAAACCAAAGAAATAACTGGGCTCTCAAATCACATTTTATACCTCATGTTTTATCTGTGTCCTAGCTCTCAAAATATTCTTACCCCTTTTTGCCATATGCAAACTCCTACTCATCCCTCATGACTCAAATCAAACATAAGTTTTGTAAAATATGCCCTGATTACCTCTATAGTAACATTATAACTTGAAATATTATACATAATATTTCAGTTTTTCCATAATTTCTACGTGTCTGTCTCCACCTCTAGACTGTGACCCTCTTAAGGGTAAGAACTGTCTTTTCTTAATTTTTATCTTTTTTATTCCCAGCTCCTGAACAGATTCTGGCACATAGTAGGCATTCATCATACCTATTTCATATTCATTGAATGAATGAATAGCCCCATGGCTCTAGATTTATAAATGAAGTTATCCAACAGATAAAGACTATCCAATCATTAGGTAATCAGGTCCTGCATCAATGTTCTGGATCCTGGGATAAGTCTAACTCACAAAGTGTAAGACCCCTAGTAAATGCTTTTCTAATGAACTGGAAAAATGTGATCCACTACAAAGTAAGGAACCAAGCCTTAGTAATATCACTATATTGATGTCCCAGTAGGATCTGGGGTCAAAGATCTCTGGCATGGAAGTAACACAAAATTGAGAACTGGGCCTGCAAGAAATATCAGAGGATTTCAGACCTTATAAACAACCATGGCCCTAGGGAAATTTATTGAGAAATGTATTTATCAGGGTTGGTGACATATAGATTTGAATTTGTCTGCCCACTCTTTTTTTTTTTTTTTTTTTTGCCCAGGCTGGAGTGCAGTGGTGTGATCTTGCTCACTGCATCCTCCACCTCTGGGGTTCAAGCAATTCTCCTGCCTCAGGCTTCCGAGTAGCTGGGATTACAGGTACCCACCACCACGCCTGGCTAATTTTTGTATTTTTAGTAGAGATGGGGTTTCACCATATTGGCCAGACTGGTCTCTAACTCCTGACCTCAAGTGATCCACCCTCCTAAGCCTCCCAAAGTGCTGGGATTACAGGCATGAGCCACCAAGCCTGGCCTGTCTGCCTACTCTCTAAGCCACTCATATAGGATGTTTTCTGAGCCTTGATCACTACTGTCTTCTTAGCATATCATTAATTTCTGTGTAATGTAAGGTTCATAGACCATCACTGTGACACAGTAATTCCCCAAATGTACAGAACTGAATTATTTGAATTTCTGAGCAGAACTGGGAAGATTATGTCTCAAAAACTTATTCAGTGATAACAGAACAGAAAGCATCCTTGAGTCAGAAATGTCATTTTGTAGAGTAGCAAAGAGAATGTAAAAAATTCCAGGTGAGGATCTCGTTAAAAATGTAAATGTCCAGAAAAGGCAAATCTTTAGAGAGAGAAGGTAGATTCGTGGTGCCTGGGGCTGGGGGTGGAGGTAGAGATTAAGTGTAAATGGGCTCAGGGGATCTTCTTGGGTGATGAGAATATTCTAGAACTAGATGTGATGGGTGCACAACTCGGCCAAATTGCTAAAAATCATTGAATTACACACTTAAAATGGGTGAATGTTAGGTATGATATGTTAATTATGCCTCAACAAAGTTGAAGTTTTTTAAAAAGGCAGTTTTAGAACATCAAGGCTGCAACAGTGTTTGGTCAGATAGAATTCACAGCTTATTTGGACACAGCCACATCAAGAATTAAGGAGATGGAGATCAGGGAAGACCTAAGAAGGGGTTTATGATAGGATATTCACTGCAGCACAGTTGTTTAACTTTTCTTTAGAAAATGTCAAGCACATACAGAAGTAGAGAGGATGGCTTAACAAATCCAGCACCCAGCTTCAACAGTTATTCAATTGATGGTTAGTTTTACTTCATCTAAAACCCCACCCATTCCACCCTGCCTCACACGCAAGATTATTAAGCAGTTTTTAACAATGTTCTCATTGTGGAAAATGTCAAAAATATACTAGCAAATACAATACAGTACAATATATCCCCATAAGCCTCCCTCCCAGTTTCAACAATTATCACTACATGGCAGCTCTTTTTTAAAAAAATCTTTTTTCTGAGGGTACATAGTAGGTGTGTATATTTATGGGGCATATGAAATGTTTTGGAACAGGCATGCAATGCATAATAGTCACATCGTGGAGAATGAGGTATGCATCACCTCAAGCATCTAGCCTTTGTGTTCCAAACAATCCAATTATATTCTTTTAGTTATTTTTAAATATACAATTAACTATAGTCACCCTGTTGTGCTATCAAATACTAGGTCTTAATACTCGTATCAAATACAAGGGTGACAGACAATAAGCACATAAACAATCAAAATGCATAGAATGTCAGATGGTGGTGCCTACAATGAAGAATGGTAGACACCATCCATCAAAAGAAAGTCAGGTAAATAAATGAGGCTATCACTATGCAACAGAATTCATAAAAGTGATGTGATTAATTTACATCAACCAGAAAGATGCAACAAATATTTATTTATTCTTTCTATTTTTTTGTACTGTTAACCATTCCCACTCCCCGCCCCCGACACTCGCTACTACCCTTCCCAGCCTCTGGTAATCAGCCTTCTATTGTCTGTCTTGATGAGCTCAATTGTTTTAATTTTTAGCTCCCACAAGTAAATGGGAACATGTAAAGTTTGTCTTTCTGTCCCTGGCTTATTTCACTTAATGTAATGACCTCTAGTTCTGTCCATGTTGTTGAAAATGACAAGACTTCATTCTTTTTTATGGCTGAATAGTACTCCATTGTGTATATGTACCACGTTTTCTCTATCCAACACATGGCCATTCTTATTTCATCTACACTTTTCTCACTTCTCCCATCTTTGTATTATTGGCAAGTATACCTCATACGTCATATCATTTCAATTGCAAATATTTCATTAAGTATGTCAAAAGGTGAGGACTTTATTCTTTTAACATGGCCACATACCATTATGACATCCCAACAAATTTCCAATTGTATCATAAATGTCAAAAAAAGAAGTTTTTTAAAGAGTTTGTTTATTTGAATCAGAGTCCATCACATGTTGCTATTTGTTGATATGTCTCTCAAGTTTCTTTTAATCCACAGACCCGCTTCCCCATCACCACTCCTTTCTCTTTTTTCTTGCAATGTCTTTGCTGAAGAAACCAGATCAATTATCTGTAAAGTTTTTCACAGTCTAGATTTTGCAGCATTATATTTAATAACAAAACATTAGAACCTGTAGACACCATCCATCAAAAGAAAGTCAGGTAAATAAATGAGGCTATAACCAGGCAACAGAATTCATAAAAGTGATGTGATTAATTTGCATCAATCAGAAAGATGCAACAAATACTTATTAAATATATACCATGTGCCAGGTTCAATTCTAGGTGTTAAAGACATAGCTGTGGACTAAACAAAATCCCTGCCCTCTTGGAGTCTGTAGTTTAATGGAGGGTGACAGACAATAAGCACATAATCAAAATGCATAGAGTGTCAGATGGTGGTGCCTACAGTGAAGAATGGTACAACAGGAAAAAGGAATAAGGAGTCTGAGGAAGTGGGGAACAGAGAGCTGCAATTTCAAACACCAAGGTCAGAGAAGGCTCTAATGAGAAGATGACATTTGTGCAGATGTGACAGAGGTGATAAGCTAGCAAGTTGTGGAGATAGCAGAGGTAATCCAATGCAGAGGTCACAGTCAATATGCAGGTCCTGGAATGGGAGTGTGCCTAGTGTGTTCAAGGAACAGCAAGGGGGTCCACATGATTGGAGAGAGTGAGGGAGACAGGAGCAGAAATGCATCCAAGAGGTACCCAGGACCAGACTGTACAGGGCTTGGCAGCCCATCACATGGACATTGGCTTTCCTGTCCCAGACATTGCTCTGGGTACGATGGAGCCACAGGAAAGTTCTGAGCTGAGAAGTGACATGATGTGATAATGCAACATGAATAAAGAAAGTTGCTAAATTTCCGATGTGGCTTGATCCCATTTGTGTTTGATACAGAACTTAATATGCAAGGGAAAAAGTCGGAGCCCTGATGAACTCTTTCCCCATCACCGTCTCAGGTCCTGCATGTGACACCACATGCTGATGACAGATCATCTTTCACTTATCAAACCTTAGGGGACCAGCTCAGGGTGCCCTAAGCCCCTTCACTGAAGCTGGGGACAAAGAGGTGTTGCGTGGGTAAAATTCACTAGGAGGAAATTTCCCCAGAAACCTCAGTTCTATGGGGAAACCCTGACTTTCTGAACTTTAGCCTGGGTGTTAACAGTTAGCACTAAGTCTGTCTCTCAAAGTCCTTCTAAAGCAGGGGTCAGCAAACTACAAGCTGTGGACAAACTCTGTTTGCTGCTTATTTTTGTAAATAAAGTTTTATTGGCAGGCACCCATGCCCGTTCATTTATATATTGTCCAGGGCTGCTTTTGTGCTACACCAGTAGAGTTGGGTAGTTGTAGAAGAGACCACGTAGCCTCAAAGCCAAACATATTTACTATCTGATCCTCAATAGGAAAAGTTTACCAAGCCCTGCCCTAGCAGAAACTAAGCCTTCCAAAGCTGAGGATTTCCCCAGCAAGGTGGCCCTGGGTCCTTGGAGAGTCACAGCCTGGTTCCACTGTGACTTCACCAATATGTCTCCACCACTCTGAGTGGCTTTGTCCATTAGGTCCAGATGGATTTCCAGAGAGTAGGTGATACTCACACAGGGTTCCTCTGTGGCTCCCCCTTTTTTATGCTTGGAACTCAGGCAAATGGGCCCTGCCTCCCTTAACAGCCTCCTCCCACACCCAGGGTGAGCCCCACATGCAGTGTGCTGTATCCTCATGGATTCAGACTCATAAAACAGTCCTGGGCCCAAAGCCCAGCTCTGCCACTTACTTGAACACATCACTGAGCCTTGAGTCCCTCAAATGAAAAACAGCTTCTTCAAAGACTGCTGGGGGAATTAAATGCAATTGTGCACGTAAAGAGGCTTATTACAGTGCCCAGCACACACTGTGTTCAATGCATGTTGACTGGCATCACATATGCCAGCCTGTTAGCCTATATGCTTGGCCAAAGTACAATTCCACCAGGAGGCAATTGTGAACACTTTGTCCCTGACAGGCTTTTGCAATCACAAGGTTCTATTGACCCATCTCCATCATTATATCATACATTCAGCTTATCACACGGTCCAGCTGTCACTGGGGAAGCCCTGACCTCTTAGGCACTAATAGACATCTCAAGCTTTCCTGCTCCCTTCTCCCTTCTCCCTTCTTTGGATAAAACCACCATGATTTTCCTTTTGGGAAACCACACCCACTATCAGTCTATGTGGTCTGAGTGGGGCTGACGACACCCCAAAAGAGGTCCAGCAGGAATGCTGAGGACACCATGAGACACCCCAGCATACCCACCAACCCAATCCAAGAACCTCTTCTTCAGCAGCTGGAGAGACTCCGGTATCTTCCAAAAATCAAGCCCATTTCCCAGCAGAGATTTTTCACTATGTTTGTCAATTTTTGAAATGCCCATGCCCATGTTGGCACAAGCTAAAAGCAGCTCCTTACTTCTGGCGCCTGCACCATCAGACTCTCAGAGTGTCTGTGGTCATCAAGCATACACCATTCCTTTGCTCTCTTTCCTAACCTCCACCTCAGGGGCTTGTGTCCATATTCACATCACGTTTCTGGTCTTTCATGGTCACAGAGGCTTCTGGGGCTAGAAATAATCACCATAGGACACAGCACCCTTTCCAGACTCAAACTGCATTACACCCTTAGGTGTGAGCAGAAAGTGCTCCTTGTGTCTCCTTAAACAGGAGACAGAAAAAACTGTATGTGCCAGGAGGAGGTGGGGAGCTGGAGTGATTAGATGGGGGTCTCCAGGGCCTTCCAGAATAATAGCCGTGCTCCAAAGTTGCCACTCTCAGAGGCAACTGTGCCACTTTTGATTATAAAGTAATGAGAGGAAGCCAATGGAGGGACGATAATCAGAAACATCTCATGGGAAGAAGGGGGATCCCATCCTTTCCTAAGTCTCATTATTTTATCTAGGATAGGATCCAAAGGAAAGAAAGTGCAACAACACAAGAATCAGCAATCATAAAAGAATGGCCAAGAAAGACTTGATATGCCCAGGTCCAGCTTGTGCAACCTACCATATGATAAAGAATGGGTTTTCTGTCTTTGGAGGTGTGGAAATGCTGTGATGGAGATGTTGTTTTTCTGTGCAGAATACTATCTCCTCTCTTTTGACAAATCCACCACAGTTTTCTTTTGTGAAACTACCTTCCCTCTCTGCACTCCTTTATCCCCTGAACAAACAATAAGTCCATGAGGTTTAGATGGGACAGATCCCACCCTCTTGCTCCAGGAATCAGCAGGCAGCCCTGGCCAACCAGGGCACTGCATGTCCTTGGTTGTGGTGAGTGGTTCAAAGGTGAGCAGGTGGCCCAAACTGAACCAATCAGAGTCAGCAAGCATTATTCCTGGGGCTTTAGCTAGAACTATGGGGCAAGAGGTTCCTTCTGACAGATGAACCAGGTAGTCAGATGCGAACTTGCAGCCATGGGAGAGCCATCCTTGCCAATACTTAAGGAGGGCCTGCCTGAAAATGAAAATATCCCAGACAATTCAACAGAGCCAAGAGACAGAGATGAGTCCCAGTGACATTGTCTGAGCCCCTGAACTCAGCCACGTCTAGAGTTAACTGTACTCTGATCTTTTCAGCTTATAAATTAATACATTTTCTTTTTATATCAACTAAATCAAGAGCGCAGCCAGATGCAAATATCTGCCAGCCACCAGGAAGTTAGTAAGGGATGTTTTAAGCATCTTTTCTTTCTTTCTTTTTTTTTTTAGACGGTGTCTCACTCTGTCATCAAGGCTGGAGTGCAGTGGCGCAATCTCGGTTCACTGCGACATCCGTCTCTGGAGTTCAAGTGATTCTCCTGCCTCAGCCTCCCGAGTAGCTGGGATTACAGGCACACACCACCACGCCCAGCTAATTTCTGTATTTTTAGTAGAGACAGGGTTTCACCATGATGGCCAGGCTGGTCTCAAACTCCTGACCTCAAGTGACCCATCCGCCTTGGCCTCCCAAAGTGCTGAGATTACAGGCTTTTCTCTTTTTTAATGAGACAGGGTCTCTGTCACTCAGGCTGGAGTGCAGTGGCACACTCGGCTCATTGCATCCTCAAACTCCTGGCCTCAAGGGATTCTCCCACCTCAGCCTCCTGAATAGCTGGGACTACAGGTGTGTGCCTCATGCCTAGATAATTTTTTTAAATTTATTTTTTGTAGAAAGGGGGTCTCATTATATTGCCCAGGGTGGTTTCAAACTCCTGTGCTCAAGCAATCCTCCCGCCTCAGCCTCCCAAAGTGCTGTGATCACAGATGTGAGCCACCATGCCCACCTTTATTTTTCCTTTTTTTTTTTTTATTGGCACTGAAAATTCAGTATACTACATTTTTTCCTTCCCCTTTGGCATTCTCTAATAAAATGAAAAATGAACCAGGGAAAAACATTCCTTGACTTGGGTCAAATGAAGGTCTGTATTATCTAAGTAGTTCATTGAGTTTGATAAGTAATGCAACAAAATCCCAATAGAGATATGGAGGAAAGGCAGAAAAACTTTATGCAAATGTCAGGCAGAGAGAAGGAAATACACATGGCCAAGCATTCCTTTTGAACTGTGATTCCCCTCAATCAGCCTGACACCACTCAGCAACACTGTACATCAGAGGGTTCCTGAGCCCACAAGAAGACAGCTCCCCAGATGACGCTGTTAAGGAGAAACATCTCCAAACTGGGGAGGAGATTTCCTCAGTAACCTTGCTTCTCATACCTGATAGCATCCCTGCCACTGTTCACAGGATGTGAGCTGTTATGGAGGTGGTGGAGAGGGCTGGAGAATGGACTGGGAAAAAATTGTGAACATTTTCCAATGTGAAGATGATTGCTTGCTGATATGGTTTGGCTCTGTGTCCCCACCCGAATCTCATCTCAAATTGTAGCCCCCATGTGTTGACGGAGGGACCTGGTGAAAGGTGATTAAATCGTGGGTGTGTTTTCCCTCACGCTGTTTTCATGATAGTGAGGGAGTTCTCACGAGATCTGATGGTTTCAAAGTGGCAGTTTCCCCTGCACACGCTCTCTTTCCTGCTGCCATGTGAAGACATGCTTGCTTCCCCTCCACCTTCTTCCATGATTGTTAAGTTTCCTGAGGCCTCCCCAGCCATGTGGAACCATAAGTCAATTAGGCCTCCTTTCTTTATAAATTACCCAGTCTCAGGTAGTATCTTTACAGCAGTGTGAGAAGCGACTAGTAGACTTGCTTTACATAAGTTTTACGTGAAATATATCCCTTTGAGCGAAGCTTGCAGTTTGGCCACATGCACTTCCCATTTCCTTGATGCCAGAAGTCACTATGAGGCCTGTAACATTTGCTAAAATTCTTTAAGCCAGAGCTGTCTCTCCCTTTTCCATTTGACCCTGAGAGCCAGAGAGCCCCCTTGACTATGAAGGAGAGGGTCACCACAGAAATAGCACACAGCTAAGTGATGTTCACCATGGTGAACATCACTTAGCTGGTCCAAATCTCTCCTATCCCTCTTGCCATCTCACTCAGCCTTGGTTACGGAAGTAAGGTGCTCTTGGATGATTGACTGCTATGGACTGAGCTCCAGTCTCACCATTCCAAAACTGTGTATCAGTTTTTCCCCCAGAGATGGACAATCCTTGGTAGCTCACCTTCCTACGGTTAAGGAAGCCATTATACATAAACCTATCATCTACACAGCCACAAATGCAAAAATAATTTATTCACACAGTAGCAACAACAAGCTTTATAATAATATAATATGATAATAATAATCCATGCAACTACAAACTTTTTTGAGCATCTGCTTGTGGCAGCACCCACTTAGGCATGGAGAATACAAATATAAACCAAACTTGGTCCTCGCCCTCGAGGAGTTTGTGGAAAACGTAGGCAAATAGTAAAAGGATGTCACTCAATGAAATCATCAGCTGTGAACAGGATTCCATAAGACGTTTACTGTCCAGTTTGGCCACCTGCCTCTTTTCACCCCTCTGTGTTCCCCCGGAGTGCTCTGTCATTGTCTGACTCTTCTCTGCCCCCAGCCCTGACTCCTCCACCCGTCCACTCTTTCTTCCATTTGCAGTTTGGATTTGTTCCATTTCCCCCAGGATCTGAACCAATCTTGACAAAGCCTTCCTTCCTCTGGCTCTGAGCGTGGTTGACTTTTTCTGAACTGAAGGTCTTCAGCAGCCTCTACCTTTCTCTCCTGCACCCACTCCTTTTCCTCTTAGAATACAGCCTTAGTCACAGATTCAGACTTGGGACCTGGGTACCCCAGTGCTCACTCCCAGGCTGTCTCCCTATATCCCATCTCTTTTTCTGCTACTTTGATCTGAAATCAGGAGCCAAGGATAACTGCTGGATGCTGTGCCATGCCCTGAGTTGCACCCTCCCCGGTGTTTATCCGCAGCACCTCATCCTGCCTCTCTTGGCCTTGCATCATCCAAGGAACAGAAGCATTTCCCTGAGTCCTGCCTAGAGCCCATGTCAAGAAAGGACTTCCTCTACAGAGACAAACAGGATTGTCCCATGAGTAATCCTAGAGGTTCAGATTTCCTGGCGGTGAGCTAGAGGAATCAGTTTCCATCTCTCCCAGAGGTGCGGCTGCAGCTCACATCCAACTTCCACAAGGCTTCCAGGTGCAAGAAGCCGGCAAAGTCTTGTGCAATTTCTACACAGCTGCCATCTAAACCTAGATTCCTGGGCCAGAGGCCTATTTTTCCCACATCCAAGGCCACATTCATGCTTGCACTATACCAGGGTAAAGGAGAGGGGCAGGGCTCTTCCCTGGAGCACAGGCCCACATTGTGTCCAGCACCTGTGGGGTCCTGAGAGAATGGGGTGGGGTGCAACGTGTTCATCTTGGTGGCTCTTGGCTTATGAGTTTTACTAACAAAGTCTGCTCCTCACCACATGATGTGGGCAGATTTGCCCTCACCCACTTGGCCACAATTTTTCTCGGTGAGGGTGTACTGGTTTCCTGGGGCTGCCGTAACCAAGTACAGAGGCGCCTCAACTTATGTTGAGGTCATGTCTTGATAAGCCCATCATAAGTTGAAACTCTTCTAAGTAAAAAATGTGTTTAGTACACCTACCAAACATTATAGTTTAGCCTAGCCTACTTTATTTTTTTAAATTTTTTTAACTTTTAAGTTCAGGGGAACATGTTCAGGTTTGTTATATACGTAAACGTCGGTCATCAGGGCTTGTTGTAAAGATTATTTCATCATCCAGGTATTAAGCCTAATACTCACTGGTTATTTTTTCCTGATCCTCTCCCTCTTCCCACCCTCCACCCTCCAAAAGGCCCCACTGTGTGTTGTTTCCCTCTGTGTGTCCATGTGTTCTCAGCATTTAGCTCCCACTTATAAGTGAGAACATGCATTATTTGGTTTTCTGTTCCTGTGTTAGTTTGCTAAGGATGATGGCCTCCAGCCTACTTTAAATGTGCTCACAACACTTATGTCAGCTACAGTTGGTCAAAACCAAAGCCTATTTTATAATAAAGTGTTGAGTATCCCATGTAATTTATTGAAAACTGCACTAACAGTGAAAAACAGAATGGTTGTGTGGATACTTGAAGTATGGTTTCTGCTGAACACGTATGGCTTTGGCACCATTGTAAAGTCGAAAAATCAGAAATCGAACCACCATAAGTAGGGATCTGCCTATACCCACAACTGCGTGGCTTAAAACAACTGAAATGTATTGTCTCGCAGTTCTGAAGTCTGGACATTCAAAATCAAGGTGTCAGCAGCTATATGCTCTTTCTACGGCTCTAGGGGAGAATCCTTCCTGGCCTCTGCTGGCTCCTGGTGTTTGCTGGCAATCCTTGGTTCTTTGGGTCATAGCTGCGTGACTCCAGACACAGGCCATCTTCTCCCTGTGTGTCCAATCATCGTCTTCCCTCTGAGTGTGTCTGCCTCTGTGTCCAAATCTTCTCTTCTTATAAGGACACCAATCATATTGGATGAGGGCCCACCCTGATGCCCTCATTTTAGCTTGATTATCCCTGAAAAGATCCTATTTCCAAATAAGTTTACACTCTGAAGTACTGGGGGCTAAGATTTCAACATATCTTTTTTGGGGGACAAAACTCAACCTATAACAGAGTCTCCCTGACAAGACCCATCTGCTTCCAAATGGCCTCTCTAGTATCATCAGACCTGTCTCTATGACCACCTGCAGAGCCCCAAAACTTTATGTGAGATGCCCCAGAGCACACGCTCAGGCCCATGGAACCTGCCCTGCCTTGGGACACTTAGTGCCTGGGACACTTAGCCATCCCATTGTCAATCTTCATAATCTGTCTAGATTCCAGTTGCGTATTTGTCTAATATGTTATTGCTATGTAGACATAGTGAGACTGTTGGGTCTAAGCTGCTGAATTAGCCCTGGAACCTTCTAATAAACTGTCCAATATACTCAGGATATGCTGAATGTCTTAAGTCACGAAGATCTCAAAAACAGGAAATACAAAGAAATCATGCGAAACTATCATGTACATGAAATTTGCTTAAACGGCCTCTTTTGATGAGTAGGGTCCCTCCCAGACACTTGACACAATAGTAGGTCATTAAGATGACGAGAAGAATGGCGGGATTGGTTAGTGACTTATTAAACACTGTTAAAATGCATGTAACTCCTTTGAGTTTTCTGGGGACATCCAGAGTCTTGTTCCCATACTGTGGGAAATACCATGACATTAATACAATTTCAAAGGTTTTGTGGGTCTCACTCTGGTCTCTGCTTTTCTGTGTTTAGCCCAGGAGTCCAAAGGGATGCAGTCACAGCATTTTGTCACATTCCAAGTAGATCGTTCTCTCTCTGCATTCTAGATGCTCCTCCAATTCCTAAGTCAATGGGACCCTTCCTGCCACTGCCCTTGCACCTTACACTGTCTTCATCCAACTGGAGTAGGACTGGTAAAACCCCAACAGCTGCAAGTCTAGGAGACAGGCATGCAATAGACATAAGCCATTCTAGCTGGGTAGAGAGTCTAGAACCAGGACGGATCTGAAATAGTTCAACCCTAAATTGATAGTCCTTGTCAAGAGCCTATGTTTGGCATCCCTTGTTTTATCTTGTTCAATTATTCACCCATTAGAATAATACATGAATTTTTTTTTTTTACTAAATAGGGTTGAAACTCTAGTTTGAAACCCATTATTTTCCTTAATTATTCCCCTTTCTTCTGATTCCTTTCTCCAGCCTATGTATTCTAGGTCTTGTGTCTGGAAGGAATGCAGCAAAATATATTGAATTTTCCAACAAATTTCCATCTTATAAAATCACCGACATACGATAATGTTGTGGGCCAGGAGACCAGATCAGCAGTGCTCAACATTCACTTGCAGTCTGCTTTTCAGGTAGACAAAGTCACCTGGCTTCATAGCTAGGAGTCTTAGCAACTTATTGATTTAGTATAAGGTTGCTCACTCCCATGCCTACATTTCTGGGAGCTTCTCTGAGGTCGGCCATCTCTAACCCAAAGAGTGTTTCCATTACCCATTTTGTGGAGTCTACCCTGAGAATTTCCCACACATAAAGGGAATTGTTAGCTATACTTTCTTTCTGCTAAATTAAACTCAAACACCACTTACAAAACACTTTTCATGGGTTGAGCATTACGGAGGTCACGATAATGGGGAAATCTTTGTTCCTGTTCTCTCTAGGGGCTGATAAATTGACAGGAAGAGGTAGACATACATAAATAAGTAAATACTATAAGGCACATTTTGCTAAATACTATGCATGGGGTGTGTAGTGGACCCCATCTGGGCTGCCCAGACCTTCATTTTGTGACCCCATTCCCCCAGCTGCCAGGGGTGCTGGTTGTCATTAGCTCACAGCTGTATCCTTCTCAGAGCAGCCTTCAGCTGAAGGAATCTTCCCTGATTAAAGTTATGCCTTCTCCTAGGGTAGCCTAATCCAATAGACATCTGATGTGGGGCTACAAGAACCTTGCCTAATTAAGGAAATCTCTGCAGGGCCATCTCAGCTATGAAGTTCCCCCAGATCAGCCGATGTCTCTCTTGCAACTCCTTCTTGCTGCAACCTCTGTCTCTGCCCATTCTTGCTTCTCTGGCTCCCTCATGGGTGTTTTGTACCTAAGAGCTGTGCCCGGCACATTTCCTACTTGCCAATCTCTGCCTCAGTCTTCTCTAGATCCTAACCTATGACAGAGTACAAAGGGAAAAGGAATTTGTTTGAACTAGAAGATATGGAAAGGCTCTTAAATATTTATTCAACTATTTATTTAATGTCTATTCTGACCTGGTATTGACTAGCTACTGGGGGGTGCGGCAGCTAACACGACAGATCTGGCCACTGCTCTCAAGCAAGTTTTAAAAAAAGTATTTTTAGCTAGTGATAAGTGGAAAGAGAAAGGAGAAAATAAGCATGCAAGCAAGAAGGAAGGAAAGAAGGAAGGAAGGAAGGGAGGAGGGGAGGGGAGAGGAGAGGAGAGAAGAGAGGTTATTAGCTCATAGTAAGACAGAAAGTGACAGGAAAGGGCTCCCTCTTTGGGGGTAGGGTGATCTTCACCCAAAATGCCAAAGTGGTCGGCCATGTGCAGATCTGGGTATAAAAAGTCCAAATGGAGAAAATGGCAAGTGCAAGGTCCTGAGACAGGAATGAGCTGGGTGTGTTGAAGAAACAGAATAAGGGACAGGTGTGTTTGCTCACCCCTGTAATCCCAGCACTTTGGTAGGGTGAGGTGGGAGGATCAGTTGAGGCCAGGAGTGCAAGAGCAGCCTGGGCAACACAGTGAGATTCTGCCTCTACAAAAACTTTAAAAATTAGCCCAGCATCGTGGTGCATGCCTGTAGTCCCAGCCACTCAGGAGGCTAAGGCAGGAGGATCACTTGAACCCAGGAGTTGGAGGCTGCAGTGAGCTGTGATCACATCACTGCACTCCAGCCTGGGGAACAGAGTGAAACTCCATCTCTTAAAAAAGAAAGAAACAGGATGAACACCTCCATGACAAAATGAGAGTCAACATGGAAGAAAGATAGGTAGGGCTCAGATCATGTAAGGCCTTGAAGATTAAAAAGTTTGAATTTTATTCCAAGTACAATGGACAGACATGGGGGGATTTAAAGCTCAGGAGTGATACGTTCTGCAGTTTAGAAAGCTGGTTCTAGTTGTCCAGTGAAGAAAGGATGGAAGCAGGGAGGTCTTGTTAGGAAGTTTCATCATAGTGCAGTTGAGAGGTGACAGTGCCTTGGACTAAGGAGGTTTCAGAGGAGACAGAATTGGATGGATCATGAATAATGTTGGAGACAGAGGCAGCAGGACTTGCTGATGTATTAGATATGAGTGAGAGAAAGCAACGAAGCAAAGATGACTTCCTGATTTGGGGCTTCCACAACAGAAAGGCCATTGGTGCCATTTATTGGAAAGGGGAAGGGGGAAGTGTAGGCAATTTATGGGAAGACATTACACAAAAAAAATTCCAGGTGCAGGTTAATAATAAAGCCATTGAGATAGGAAAATCCAGCATGCATTTGAGCATCTGCTATTAGTCTAATGGGGTTGGAGTGCAAGGTATGTCGGGGTGTGAAGAAGTTGTTCAACAGGACGAGACACACAGAGAAAATCGGGTTTGAGAGGGGAATATAATTGAGTCTGTGTTGGGCATATTAAGTTGGAGATGATGAAGTGGCACTTGGTGGAAAGCACTTTTTGCAATTAAAAGTGCTTATCTGGAGTTCCAGAGAGGACTAAAGGCTCCACACAGCTGGCTGGTGGTTAAAGTTATGAGCATGGCAGGCAGACTTGAGTGATAAGAATGACTGAGAGTGGGGTCCTGAAAAATAGTGTTTCAGGGTAGGGAAAGAAGGAAATGTGAAAGGATTCTTCTGGGTCAGGGAAAATCACGACAGCTCAGGATCATGAAAGCCAGAAGAGGAGAGAAAGACTTTTGCAAGCTACAACCTTCTATTATTAAGAATAGTGATTGGGGCACAGTGGCTCACACCTGTGCTCATCCCTGTGCACACCTGTGCTTGGCACATTGGGAGGCCAAGGCAGGAGGATCGCTTGAGGCCAGAAGTTTGAGACCTGCCCGGACAACATAGCAAAACTCTGTCTCTACAAAAAAATTTTAAAATTAACCCAGCACAGTGGCATGCCTGTAGTCCCAGCCACTCAGGAGGCTGAGGTGGGAGGATTGCTTGAGCCCAGGAGTTCGAGGTTGCAGTGAGTGAGCTATGATTGTACCACTGCACTCCAGCCTGGGCAACAGAGTGAGGCCTTACCTCTAAAATAAAAAAAAAAAAAGAAAGAAAAAAAGGAAAAAAAGGCCAGGTGCAGTGGCTCATGCCTATAATCCCAGCACTTTGAGAGGCCGAGGCAGGCGGATCACGAGGTCAACAGATCAAGACCATCCTGGCCAACATGGCAAAACCTGGTCTCTATTAAAAATACAAAAATTAGCCAGGCATGGTGGCATGTGTCTGTAGTCCCAGCTACTCGGGAGGCTGAGGCAGGAGAATCACTTGAACCTGGGAGGCAGAGGTTGCAGTGAGCCCAGATCGCGCCATTGCACTCCAGCCTGGGCAAGAGAGCGAGACTCCATTTCAAAAAAAAGAAACAAGGAAAAAAAAAAATAGCCACCCACCCTCCTCCTTTGCATGGTGAATCTTCCAGAGAGGGGTGTGGCCTCTGGAGTCTGCTCCTACCTCTAGGTCCCAGTGGCCAGAGAGCAGCCTCAATGCCTCTCTCCTCGGATCCCGTTGCTTCTCTTTTGTCTTCCTCCTTTCCATCATTTCTCACAACGGCAAGCTGTGGCTTGGTAACATCGCTGCCTGGAGCTACAGTTAATGTAAAAGCACTTTAAGATGGTGGTTCCCAAACTTTTCATGCAGGTAAATCACCAGAGAGCTTGTTAAGCTGCAACCCCCACTCTTGAGATTCTGATTCAGAAGGTGGAGCCCATGAATCTGCATTTCTTTTTTAAATTTTTTTATTTCAATACTTTTTGAGTTTTGGTTTTGGTTACCTGGATGAGTTCTTAGTGGTGATTTCTGAGATTTTAGTGCATCTGTCACCTGAGCAGCGTACACTGAAACGAATATGTGGTCTTTTATCCCTAACCCCGCATCCAAACCTTCCTCCCCACAAGTCCCCAAAGCCCATTATATTATTCTTATGCCTTTGCATTCTCATAGCTTAGCTCCCACTTATAAGTGAGAACAGACCATATTTGGTTTTCCAGTCCTGAGTTACCACTCAGAATAATGACCTCCAACTCCATCCAAGTTGCTGCAGAAAGCATTATTTTGTTCCTTTTAATGATTGAGTAGTATCCCACACTGTATATATACCACCTTTTCTTTATCCACTTGTTGATCGATGGGAACTTAAGTTGGTTCCATATCTTTGCAAATGTGAATTGTGCTGCTGTAAGCACATGTTATGCGTGTCTTTTTTAGATAATGACTTATTTCCCTTTGGGTAGATACCCAGTAGTGGGATTGCTGGATCAAATGGTAGTTCTACTTTTAGTTCTTTAAGGAATCTCCATACTGTTTTCCACAATAGTTGTACTAATTTACATCCCCACCAGCAGTGTAAAAGTGTTCCCTTTTTATCACATCCACACCAACATCTACTGTTTTTTGACTTTTCAAATTATGGTCAATGAATCTGCATTTCTAACAAGCTTCCAGCTGATGCTGACACTTCAGGGTCTACAGACCCCACTTTGAGTTGCACTGTCTTAAGCCATCCTGGATTGAAAAGCTGACTTTTGTAAGCCAGGCTCTGGAGTTGTACTAAGATAATAAAAATAATGGTGAATATTTATTGGGCTTTTACTATGTGTAGTCACTGCCAAGTGCTTCCTAGGCATTATCTTATTTAATCCTAACATAATACTATGAGGGAGGCACAATTATTAGTCCCATTTGTTCTCAGAGAGAATAAGTAATTTGCCAAATGTTACACAGCTTTGGCAGCCCTGGGGTTGCAACACAGGCTGTCCTCTTTCAAGCCTGTGATCTCAGCCAATGTTGCTCTCAGCTGCCCACACAGGTGGGACTTGCCCAGAATGCAGCACCTTGAGAATTATGCCAGCCCCACCAAGTGTCCCTGAGACCTCTCATGATGGAAAATGGCTACCTGTCCCTTGCAACAATGGTTCTCAGTCATTTCCTTCCATTGACACACCCCAGATGGAATTCACGGTATTCTTCCACTGAGACAACAAAGTTTCTACTTTGCCCATGGGTGAAATGTAAAAGAAACTTGAAGCAACTGTAAATCGCAACTCACAAGCAGTATAATAATTCCCAGCTATCACAGGTAAGAAAACAATGGAACAGTAACAATCGATCATTATGAGCTATCACCAAGACAAGATCGTCTGCAGGTGCATGTAATTCTTAATACACTAACTGTGATGCAACGGAGTGAGAGCAAAGAATTATGAACACTGTCTTTCTTTCTTTTCTTTTTCTTTTTTTGAGACAGAGTCTCACTCTGTGGCCCAGGCTGGAGTGTAGGAGCACAATCATGGCTCACTGCAGCCTCGACCTCCCTAGGCTCAGGTGATCCTCCCACCTCAGCCTCCCAAGTAGCTGGGACTAAAGGCATGTGCCACCATGCCAGGCTAATTTTTGTATTTTTTGTAGAGACAGCAGTCTCACTATGTTTCCCAGGCTGGTCTCAAACTCCTGGGCTCAAGTGATCCACCCACCTCAGTGAGTTACTGTTTAATCCCAAAGTGCTAGGATTACAGACAAGCATAAGCCACTGTGCCCAGCCAAATGTAATCTTAAACCCATTCTAATTTGGGGAGTTGGAAAGTAAATCAGTTGAAGACCTCATCTCTCTCCACCTGGTTGACATCTGTGTTTTTGCATACCTGGCATTCATTCCACCTCCAATTTTGCCTGAGAAATAAGTTCTCCCTCCTTCTAATGTGTTTTGGGAAGAGCTGACTCCAGTCCTGGTCTTGGAGATGAGCATTTAACCCATGCTTGGCTAATCAAACCATGATATGCCCCCAGCCAGACTATTGCTTCCAGGTTGGGAATCTGACTCCATCAGAGCCTGTCAGGCTCAGTTTGGAGACTCTTGTCGGAGACTCTTGTCAGAGACTCTGTCTCTTGCTCTTACAGCTGGGAGGAAGTGGGCCCGGAACTACTGAGATACACACAGAGAGATTGGGTGGCCATGTAATGTATCATCCAAATCAGGACACTTTTGAGAGCAAAAGGGAAACTATTAATAATTATGCTGGACAGCAGACAAAAAATGGAACTGTGTCAGGCAAACTGGAGTGACTGGTAGTCCTACCCATGAGATTTGCTCACAGCTAGTAAGTCAGAGCTCAAAAATAGAAACTTTATTTGCAATAGCCAAAAGGTGGGATCAATTCAAGTGTCCATCAGTGGATGGATGAGTAAACAAAATGTGGTCTACCCACACAATGGAACATTACTCAGCCTTAAAAAGGAAGGGAAATCTGACACATGCTACAACATGGATGAAAATTCAGTACCTTATGCTACATGAAAGAAGCCAGTCATAAAAGAGCAAATACTGGATTATTCCACTTAGATGAGGTACCTAGGGCAGTCACACTCATAAGGACAGAAAATAGAACGGTGGTTGCCAGGGGCTGGAGGAAGGGGGAATAGATAGTTATTGTTTAATGGGTATAGAGTTTCAGTTTGGGAAGATGAAAAAGTTCTCGAGATGGATGGTGGTGATGGTTGCACAACAATGTGAATGTACTTAATGCCACTGAACTCTGCACTTAAAAGTTAAAATCACAAGTTTTGTTATGTGTGTTTTACCACAATTAAAAATGTTAAAGATAGTAAAAACATTAACATATATTTTTCCTAATAAATATACAGGTTTTAAAAAACAGAAACTGGGTCTTGATGATAGTTTTTTAAATTAGCTATTTTGAAACAATGTTAGAGTCACAGAAAAGTTGCAAAGAAAGCGCACAGAGTTCCCTGACAGCCCTCACCCTGTTTTCACTATTGTTAATATCTTACATTACCACGGCACATTCATTGCAACTAAGACACCAACACTGGTGGATTGCGATTAACTAAACCCACACTTTCCTCAAATTTCACTCCCTTTTCCACTAATGACATTTTCCGTTATGGGAGCCAACCCTGAAGACCACACTGCATTTAGTTGTCACATCTTGGTCTGCAACAGTTTCTCAGTCTTTCCTTGTTTTTCAAGGCATTGAGAGTTTTATAGAGTCTTGATCATGTAGTAAATGAACTTTCCCTCAATTTGGATTTGTCTGATGTTTTTCTCATGATTAGACCTGGAGTTATTGGCATGGGGAAGAACACTACAGAAGTGAAGTGCCCTCCTGATCACATTATAGCAGGGGCTGCATGTTGTCAAAATGATTTATCACTGGTGATGTTAACCTTCATCACCTGGCCAGTGTTGGCCAGGTTTCTCAACTATAAAGCCACTTTGTTTTTTCCCCTTCCCATACTTCATTCTTTGGAAGCAAGTCCCCAGATCCAGCCTATGCTCAAGGGAGGGGGGTAATTAAACTCCACATTTTGGTTAATGATAGTTTTGAGCCCCTGGATCGACCTATACCTGAAGCCAAGCACTTCCAGCCTTCTCCGTTACCTGAGTCAGTATGTTCTTTTATTTTAATGAGTTTAAAATGAAAGACGCCTAACTCTTTTTTCCTTCCAGTCCGTCTTCCATGCAGAAGCCACCATGATTTTTTTAAGTGAATATATGACAAGTTCTCAGAACTACCACTAGGTCATAGCCTATTTGTACAGTCTGCATGATGAACATCCTTTGAGGTCTCTAACTGATGTAGCCCTGAGGCTTCAACCCCATCTGTCTCTCTGGGATAATATATTCTGTTGACCCAACCCTGTCAGGGAAGTAGTCTATTTAGACTTGCTGTTTTACCACACTTGAAGAGCTTAAATGCCCAGAAGTATTTATAGACACGATCTCTATCAAGGGAGAAAGGGGGACACTTTGTCAATCTCAGTGACCCAAATTTGAGGTTAGTGATCTTGCTGGGCTGTTAAGTTCAATCTTGCAAGTCTGTGCATTTCACAGTAATGAGAGGAGTCCTGAAATATTGGAACATCCAGTTCCTTGATTTGTCCATCCATCCATCCATCCATCCATCCATCCATCCATCCATTCAGTGAATATTCACTGATTTTCTGTTATGTGTCAGGGACTATGCCAGGCTCAGGGAAAGCAATAGCGAAGAAAACAAAGTCACTACCCTCGTGGGTCTTATTGCTAGTGGGTAAACAGATGATAAAGCAGTAAACAAGAAAATAAACTAGATAGTTTCAGATAATAAACACCACAAGGAAAATAACACAGAGAACTGATAAGAGAGTAAGTGATGAGGGAGGTGAAAAGACAGTTTTACTTGGGATTTCAATGGAAGATGTCTCTAAAAAGCAAAATGAGGAAAGGAACCAGTTACGAAAAACACCAGGGGAAGATCTTTCCGAGCAGATGGAACCGCAATGCAAAAGCCAGAAGGCAAGAAAGAGCTTGGTATGCTCAGGAAATAAGCAAGAAGCCAGTGAGGCTATAGCACAGTGAGTAGGGAGAAGGGTAGTGAAAGATTATGGTGAAGAAGTAAGCAAGGGTCAGATCATGTAGGACCCTTGTAGCCATGGAAACGAGTAGTTGCAAGGAAGGGAGTGACATGATCCAATTTATGTTTTTTAAAGACCTCTCTGGCTGCTCGGTAGAAAATGAATTGTGAGATGTCAGATTGAAAACAAGGAAGACCAGCTAGCTGTCTCTGCAGCCCAGGCAAGAGATGATGGGGACTAGATCCAGGGTGGTGCTTATAGACAAGAAGAGAAGTAGGCATATTTTAGTTTCATTTTGGATAAAAGGACTTTGTATTAGTACATTCTCACACTGCTATAAAGAACTACCTGAGATTGGGTAATTTATAAAGAAAAGAGATTTAATTGACTCACAGTTCCACATGGCTGGGGAAGTCTTAGGAAACTTACACTCGTGGCAGAAGGGCAAAGGGGAAGCAAGCATGTCTTCATGTTGGTGGCAGGAGGGAGAGAGAATGAAGGGAGAAGTATTACACAATTTCAAACAACCAGATCTCATAAGAACTGTATCACAAGACAGCACTAGAGGGATAGTGCTAACCATTAGAAACCACCCCCATGATCGAATCATCTCCCAAGAGGCCCCACCTCCAACAACTGGGATCACAATTCAACATGAGATTTGGGTGGGGATGCACAGCCAAACCACATGAGACTTGTTGGTAAATTAGAAGTGAAGAAATAATTAAGACTGAGTCAGGTTTTGGCTTTGGTGATGGCACCATTACCTGCATTGAATGGACTGGGGGGTGCAGAGCTTCATTTTGGATATATTTGTGACATCGGTAAGTGAATAATGAAGCCAGGGCATCTGCTGCAAGTAGAGGTCAGGAGAGGGAGGGATAAAGGAGATTTGAGAAGAGACAAAAATATATGAAATAATAATCTCAGAGAGGAGAAAAGCAAATTTAACCAGATAAATGTGTTAAGGTTTCTGGGGAGCATTATATGTCCATTTGAAATGTGTGACCATGAAGTGAAAGTGAAGCAAGGCTTCACACACCAGAAAATCCAGATGTGTGATTTTCTGCTGTAATATTCAATTGCATGGGTACAGACCAATGGTTTGGTCCAAACAGTAATGAGTTTTTTTCTAGATGAAAAAGTAAAGAGTGGAGGACACTCTTGGAATACTATGATGATAGTAATGGGATATGGAATCTACACTGGATAAGAATGAATAGAAGGACATTGGACAGGATAGATGAAACCTAATTAAATCAACAGACTACAGCTTCTCTGTCCAATATGGTAGCCACTAGCTACGTTGAACACTTGACATGTGGCTGGTCTGGATTGAGATGTGCTGGAAGTATAAAGTACATGGATTTCAAAGACTTAGTATAAAAAGAATAAAATGTAAAATATCTCATGAATAATTTAATATTGATTATACATTGATAATATTTTGGATCTATTAAGTTAAATAAATTATATTATTAATTTTAACTGCTTATTTTACATTTCTTTTTTTTTTTTTTTTTTTTTTTGAGACGGAGTCTCACTCTGTCACCCAGGCTGGAGTGCAGTCGCGCGATCTCGACTCACTGCAAGCTCCGCCTCCTGGGTTCACGCCATTCTCCTGCCTCAGCCACCTGAGTAGCTGGGACCACAGGCGCCCACCACCACACCCAGCTAATTTTTTGTATTTTTAGTAGAGATGGGGTTTCACGGTGTTAGCCAGGATGGTTTCAATCTCCTGACCTCGTGATCCACCTGCCTCGGCCTACTAGAAAATTTTAAACGACATGTGTGGCTTGCATTATATTATTGGATAAGGCTGAACTAAAGGTCTTACTGGGTTGGGGAAATGTTTAGGGTGAAGACTATCACAGAAGGAGAGTGGTCAGAGAGTGGGAGACTTGAAATCCAGATTTCAGGGGTTGTACAGTTACCACCAATGGCGAGGTCCAGGATGTGGCTATGGAAAGAGTGGGCTGGTCGGGGAAAGATTATGGCTGGGTGGGAAGGCCCAAGGATGGAGAAATCAAAGGGTTACACGAGTTATCTGTGTAAATGTTGAAATCATCAGAATGATGAGCAACGTGGGGTGGGAAGAAAGATGGTGGTGACGTAGGCATCAGAGGCTTTAATAATTGAGACGATGATAGATGACCACTTTTAGGAGGAGCAGCTGATGACATGAACCATTCCGAGGAGAAGCAGCTGATGCTATAGCTGTTCTGTCCAATATGGCAGCCACTGGACCACTTTGAGGAGGAGCAATTGATGCCATGAACAACTCTGAGGAGAAGCAGCTGATGCTATAGCTGTTCTATCCAATATGGCAGCCACTGGCCATTAAGCACTTGAGATGCAGCTGGTCTGAATTTAGATGAATCTGAGGACTTCACTTGAAAGGGTCTGGGATTTTATTTTTTAGGTAAAATGGGAAGAAATGTCTTGAAAGTGGCAAAAGCAATGCCTGAGGTACATGGGGTGAGGAGAAAAGCAACCTACACTTGGGAAGGCTGACCTTAAGCCAGTAAGAAGGATAGGGGACTACTAGGTTTAAGCTAAGACAAGAAATGAAAGAAAATGTTTGGAGAAGACATTAGGAATGTAGGATGTTTCCTGGTTATAAATTGGGAATTCCATTGGTGATGGAGGAAATAATTGGGGAGGGAAGTGAGGGGAGGCAAGAGGAGTGGGGCAATCAGAGATGTAGCGAGCACCATGGGTCTAAGGTTCTGAGTGATGACAGAGGCCCTAGGAGACTTCCATCCACTGCTTCTGGAGGTGAGCAATGTCATCAGATATGTGTGGCATGATGCTATTGGTCCTGGAATTCTCCTAGAAACAAGTGGGTAATCAGCTGAAGCCATAGTCCTGAATATTTAGCTTGATGTTTTGGAAGTAAAGTGACAGTCTTCAGGCATCTGCCATCCTCATTGATTCTGAGGGATGTTTTAAAGCAACAGGAATTAGTAATGACAAAGAAAGAATAATTATTGTAATGAGAAATATCAGGAATAATTAGAACTTGCAATGACGTTGCTGTTGTGGAGAAGAGTTAGAAAAGACTTCTCATTAAACTAGATCAATGAGGAAGGATATTGGAAACAATGAGTGAGAATGTCTGTGAATGCATGTCAGAAAAATGCTGCTGATGGAGAATCTAAGAATGCTTACCCAGGAAAATTTGCTTACATAGAGATTTATTTCTTTTTTTGGTACTATTTTAGAGATATGTATAGGTTAGTTTATGCACAGAAAAGAATCTGTAGGAATCTGCCCTAGTTAACTAGGGTAGGACACCAACAGGAATTAAATTAAAAGGGGATGGTTACTATTGTCACTACGTATTTCCGTGATGTTAACATTTTTATAACAAATTTATATTACTTTTGTAAACAGAAAATATACATCTGTAAATTTTGAAACTGTATATTTTTGAAAATGGAAATATACATATACTGTATAAAAGTTGAAACTATGTGTAAATGTAAATCCTTTCAAAAGAAATTGGAATTTTTGATAAATACAGGGGTTGGCAAACGTTTTCTGTAAAGGCCCAGATAGTAAATATTTTAGGTTTTAAAGGCCACACAGTCTCTGTTGCAACTATTCAACCCTGCCACTGTGGCATGAAAACAGCCATAAATAAATGATTAAATATGTATTATTACAGATGCATATAAATTATTAATATATGTGTATATGTATACAATTACCTATATGATAAGTAAATTAATGAGCATGGCTGTGTTCCGATAAAAGTTTTTTTTTTAACAAAAACAGGCAGCGAGCCCAGATTTGGTCCATAAGCCATAGTTTGCCAACCCCTGAAATAATATAATAAACACATAGAACGAACTAGTAACAAAATGAAGGGAAATAAAAAGACAAAAGGCTTAAGCATTTTTCATGTATGCTGAGTAAGAGTAGTTTAATATAATTCCAGGTGCAATTTGTACCATAAGTTAAAATTTCTAAAGAGAAAAATGTAAAAAGCAAAGTAGAGGCAATGAAACAATTATTTGGTACAACCTAGACTGACAGATGCTACTGACATTACCCATAAACTTACCTTGGAGCTACTTTGAGGCCAAGGCAAAGAGGGAAACATGAAAGCTTTCAAAACTGCCATGAGAAGATGAAAGGAAACACCCCAATTTTGCAGGAAAAATGTATTTTGTTATTTTTTGAGCTTCAAGAGAATATTGTTTTTCTTTGGGTCTTTATTTAGGGTAGGGTGATGAACTCATCTCCCTTTTCCTGGAATAGTCTCTTATCCTAGGAAATCCCTCCATCTCAGGTTTGGGTTTTGTTTTTTTGTTTGTTGTTGTTGCTGTTGTTTGAGACAGGGTCTCTCTCTGTCAGCCAGGCTGGAGTGTGGTGGCGCTATCTCGGCCCACTGCAACTCACTGCCTTCCGGTCTCAAGTGATTCTCCCATCTCAGCCTCCCATGTAGCTGGACTACAGGCACATGCCACCATGCTCAGCTAATTTTTTAATTTTCTGTAGAGACAAGATCTCACTATATTGCCCAGGCTGGTTTCAAACTCCTGGGATCAAGCTATCCTCCTGGCTCGACCTCTCAAAGTGTTGGGATTACAAGTGTGAGCCACCATGCCTGGCTCCATCTCAGCTTTAAAACTGTAAATCCTACATCCCAAGAACTCCCTCAGTCCTGAGAAAATTGGTATGGTTGGCCACCCTAACTAATTAAGGGACCTTGAGCAATGCAAGGGATGAGTCCTTTAATAATAGTGATTACAAAGTGTACAAAGTTCTTTTACATATGTCCTTTTCTTATACTATCAAAAAATAATGGCCAATGCATCATGTGTCCAACCCTCAAATATTTATAGAGTGCCTACCATGCACCAGGTACTGTAGACACAAAGGTAAATAAAATATTTTTTTTCTGTCCAGAGCCAGATACTAAGTGCTGGGAAGTGGAACAGGAGACTGTACCATTGCCTGAGTCGATGAGACCACATGAAGGATAAGGAAGAAAAAATACTGGATTCAGGAGAAACAATCAATTAAATTAAACTGTGAGCCTCTAACATGCACAGCAGAAAGGGCAATGGGATTGTTGTCATCATCACAGTGGAAGGGGAACTCTCAAGGAGCAGACACAAGATTCCCTCTGCTGAAATCTAAAAGGTGTTTCTGAAGAACTTCTGAATTGGGAGCCCTGAGATGCAGAGGCCACCTTCACGCTCAGAATTTGTCTTGGTTCAAGCTGGGGGTGGAGCATCCAAAAGACAATTCAACAGCGACAATCCTGAAGGCCACAAACGGCCGTGGGCCATCAACATCTTCACATCCATCACCCCATTAGAGGTCCTTACATTTTAAAAAATGACTTAAATTTTAAATTACTCAGTTTTTTAGAAATCTAAAAGTTTCAGAAGGTAATCTGAATTTTGTTAAAAGCCAGAGAACCTGACAAATTGTCCCCCATGGCATAATCAGCCAGACTAAGTACTGGCAACCCCCTTAGAGAGGAGTCCACGCTCCTGTTTAGTCCCTGATTAATCTCTAATACTGAGGCCGTGGGCCGGTTGCCATTTGCCAAAACACTTGCCAGGTTCTTTAGTTTACACACAGCCTGTTTCTCATATTTATGTTAAATTCCAGCCCTAGTATGCATGTCTACTCAAGTTAGTAACCCCTAGACTGAGCTAATGAGCTAAGACATGGTTTCCTGGTGATCCATGGGACCTGAGGAGAACTCAGGATTCTTAGAGGACTTGGAGCTCTGTAGACCAGATTATAATGGTTTAAGTTCTAACTTCACCTGGGAGTTGGTGTGTTTTCCATTCACCACAGAAGCTGTACTTCAAGCTATGTTGATCCCTGCTCACTTTCTCCTTTCTAACATTCTTGCCTCAGTTTTCCTCCAATGGAACCCTCTACTTCTGCTTGAGGAACAGTCATTGCCCTTAATATCAGCTCCCCACCAGACCATAAGCTCCATGAGGGCATGGACTATCTCTGTTCTGTTGCCTGCCAGATCCTGAGCAACTGGCAATAGAAGTTCTTAATAAACATGGCTGGATGAGTAAATAAAGTGTCAGTCCTTTAACCAAGACTAATTCATCTTCCTGGCTCTTACTCCTACCACCCCGCCCCCGCCCCCCCACAACAAGAACCCTTGAACACCTGGTCACAGTGAGGTTCTTCTCCTAAATCCAGCATCAAGAGATCACCTTCCCTTCCCATTGAGGAAAGGTGAAGGTTAAACATTCTAAGATAAAAGGGGCTGTAGATGTGGTAGGCAGAATTCCAACAGGACCTGCAAGATTTCCTACCCTAATCCCCAGGACTGTGGATATGATGCAGTATCACACCGGGATCATGTTACTTTACTCAGCAAAAAGAATTTTGCAATTGTAATTAAGGTCACTTACCAGTTGACTTTGAGTAAATCAAAAGGAAGGTCATCCATGGGCCTGATGTGATCACATCAGCCCGTTAAGAGCTGAGAGTTTTCTCAAGCTGGCAGCAGAAGGGTAAATCAGAGAGATTTGAAGGATGAGAAAGATTGGAGGTACCATTGCTGGCTTGGTATATAGAGGGGGCATGTGTAAGGACCAGGGAATGCCATCTGTGAGATAAGGGTGACTCCAGCTCACAGCCAGCAAGGTAACCGGGACCTCAGCCCTACAGTCACAAGTTACTGAGTTCTGCCAGTAATAAGAATGAGCTTGGTTGGGCATGATGGCTCATACTATAATCCCATCTACTCAGGAGGCCGAGACAGAAGGATTGCTTGAGTCCAGGAGTCCCTGACCAGCTTGGGCATCATAGTGAGACCCCATCTTTACAAAAAATTTTTAAAATTAGCGAGGCATGGTGGTGCATGCCTCTAGTCCCAGATACTTGGAAGGCTGAGGTGGGAGGATTGCTTGAACCCTGAAGTTCAAGGCTGCAGTGAGCTCTGATCATGCCACTGCACTCCAGCCCGGGCAAGAGATCAAGACTGGGTCTCCTAGAAAAAAAGTTTTTTAAGGGATGAACTTGGAAGTAAATTCTTCCTCAGAGCCTCCAGATGGGAGCCTATCCTGGCTGACACGTTGATTTCAGCCTTGTGAGACCCTAAGTAGAGAATCCAGCTGTACCCATGCCAACTTCTGAGCTACAGAACTTGGAGACACTGAGGGAGTGCCAGTAAGTTTGTGGTAACTTGTTACACTGCAATAGAAAACTAATAGTACAACTTATCATCACCAGGTTTTGTTTAATAGAGAAAGAGATTTGGGATGATCAAGAAGTGAAAAGCTGCCCACCTCTGGAGGACAAAGATGAGATGACACAAGCCAGGGCACGTTTTTTCCAGAATTGCTGCCCATCTGTTGTGGATCTCAGATCCCCAAAGGTGACTGAGTATTCCTTTATAAGCCCCTTCCACACAAGACAACCTGGGCACCAATGTGTAGCCAAGCCTGGGAGGAGAGGACACTGATATAGTTTGTATGTCTGTCCTCACCCAAATCTCATGTTGAAATGTAACTCCCAGTATTGGAGTTGGGGCCTGGTGGGAGGTGAGTGGATCATGGGGTGGATTTCTCATGAATGGTTTAGCACCATCTGCTGGTGATGTCCTTGTGATAGTGAGTGTGTTCTCGCAAGATCTGGCTGAGCAAAAGTGTGTGGCACTTCTCCCCCAATTCTTTTTCTCTTGCTCCTGCCTTTGACAGGTGACATGCCTGCTCCCCCTTTGCCTTCTGCCATAATTGGAAGCTTCCTGAGGTTCCCCAGAAGCAGATGCTGCTATGCTTCCCATACAGCCTGCAGAAACATGAGCCAATTAAACTTCCTTTTAAAATAAATTAATCAGTCTCAGGTGGTTTTTTTGTTTTGTTTTTTTGCTCTTGTCACCCAGGCTGGAGTGCAATGGCACGATCTTGGCTCACTGTAACCTCCGCCTCCCAGGTTCAAGCGATTCCCCTGCCTCAGCCTCCCAAGTGGCTGGGATTACAGGTGCCCACCACCACACCCAGCTAATTTTTTTGTATTTTTAGTAGAGATGGGGTTTCACCATGTTAGCCAGGCTGGTCTCAAACTGCTGACCTCAGGTGATCCACTAGCTTCGGCCTCCCAAAGTGCTGGGATTACAGGTGTGAGCCACCATGCCTGGCCTCAGGTATTTCTTTATAGTAATGCAAGAACGGCCTAATACAGACAGAGATGCAAACATGTTACATGATAGGTGATACAGGCTAAGGGAGCCACTGAGGTCTGTGACAAGTCAGAGAGGACCCTGGGTTTCTGTAGTGCCCCAGGAGCTTCCCTGACTCTCAGATGCTCTATAGTGCTTGACACACCTCAACACAGTTATGTAACCTGAATGTCCCGGGGCCTCAGGGCACAAAATGAGGTCACATAAGTATTTATACCCATGATTTACTTGTTCAGATCCCTTCTTATTGACTGTATTAGTCCAGGGCACTGGATAAGTTGCTGGAACAGAGAGATTCAAATACATAACAGTTCAAGCTGAATAAAAGTTTATTTCTCCCTCATGTAACATCCCATAGATGGATGGTGGTCCTGAGAAGGGAGGCAGCTCTGATCCACCGTGTCACTCAGGGTCCCAGGTTCCTTCTACCATGCTGCTTCATCTGCCCCTGAGGTGTTCTTGTCAGAGCTCAGCACCACCACCAGCAACTTCCTTTTAAGTAAGTGACTCATCACTTCCACTCACATTTCATTGACAAGAACATGGCTGCCCTAGCTGCACGGGAGGCTGGGAAATGTACTTTCCATTGGGCAGCCTATGGGATCCTAAATGGGAAGAGTAAATTTTAGGGGGCAGAAAAGAGTCTCTCCCACAGCACCACCCAAGTTTTGCTGAAAGTCTCTTGGGGCCATTTCACAGGTGTTTCAAGACCAACGAGTACCACATCCCCTGTCACCAGCCCTGTCTGCTGTCAGCACTGTGGCAATCAGTAGAGACAGCACTGCCCTGGCCAGTGGTCCGTCCCCTTGGGCTTCTTAGCTTGAGAGTGACCTTCTTAGCTTGAGCGTGACCTTCTTAGCTAGAAAGCAGAGCCAGAAGCAAGGATTTGGGTGCTGATAGTTGATTTAAGAAGTGATCCCAAGAAATAAAAGTGAGGAAGCAGGGAGAGCAGAAGGAAAAAAGAAAAAGCCATTAAATTGTGTGTTATTGACCTGATTATCACTGTGGACAACTAGGTGATTCTACTATGGACCCAATTCTACTATGGACACTGAGGAACTGTCCCTCTGATGGACAGGAGGCTGGGACATTCATCCACTGACTCCCATGTTCCATTGCTTGAGGACTCTGCCTGGGGGCATTAGCTCCCCTACCTGCCTGAGGGCAGAAAAGTAGAAAGAGAAGGTAGGCACTGGAGATGGGATGCTGTCAGTGTACAGGAGGGCTGTCCACCAGGGCTGCTGCTGAAATCTGACAAGGGTCTAGGGGACGTGGTGGGAAGCACCAAAAGCATCACACGGAAATGTAGCCAAAGTCACTGGAAGTGAGAAGAATGTGCTTCTGTCCCTCACACTCACAACCCGCTGATCCATGGGGCAGGGGACATGCCATGCTCTTTTCTCTGAGCCTGGAAATGAACCCTTAAAATATCTTCATTACAGTTCCTTTGCCCTCATGCAACTCACCCATGCAAACAGTGCCTGGGGATGTCCAATCTGAGCTGAAGCAGAGCCCTGCCCACCCACAAAAGTTATCCATTAATTAACGTGTCTGTCTTCTGGAGATTCTGTGAATCAATCAGGTAGAACTGCTTGGCTCTCAATGAATGATAGCTGCTATTATTATTATTATTATTATTATTAGCTGGAGGGTTTATAAACAATGCCTGGCTCCCAAGAAGCAGGCTGTGTGTAATCTAAAAGCTAACATAGTTTGGGTTGAGATTTCACTGTTGTCAAATGATGAAGCCAGGATTTCAACACAGGCAACACGATCCCCAGTGTGTGGCCTAAGCCACTATGGCCCATGACCTCTCCAGGGGAAATCACTGATGGCATTTATTAAATCATAATGTAATTGTGACTATAATACATGAGCCACCTCAGGAAGTACCCAGGAAGAATGCTCAGGGGTCATAAGGGAGGCTGCAGGAATTCACAACCAAAGCAAGCTCTCCAGGGCTGCCTCATTCTGTCCCCAACCCTGAGCAAGGCCAGACACTAAACACTGAAGAGACCATCTCAGCAGTTATCATCACCGAGTCCTTCGATTGCTCCCAACAGATGGAAAGGGGTAGGAGGCACGAATGAAGCTGAGGCCTCAGAGAACACTGAATAATGGTGCAGGAGTGTTACAGCCATGGCAGAGGCGATTTCAGCTTGGTTAGCTTTTTAGGACACTGCAAAGAAATTGCATGCAGAGGGGGCAGGTGTGGAGGCAGTGGATGAGTCTGGAAAGCTGCCATGCCACCTGCAATGTGAGAGAGCAAAGGAGGAAGCTCATTAACCACCCATGAATCATTAACTCAGGGTCCCCAGGGGCACAGTCACTTAGTTTGCACTTTGCATTTTGTCAGTTTCTTTTCCAGGGTCTCTGGGGACTCCAGTCTGGGATTGGGCTCTCAACTCAGGAAGAAGGTGGCACAAGCAACCCTCCCACAGAGGAGCCTGGTAACCATTGTTTGGCCAGAATAACAATGGCTGCCACTTACTGAATGTATCCTTTACTCAGGTAGGGAAACAGCTCAGAGAGGTTAATTAACTTGCCCAGGGTAGTCAGTTGAAAGTGACAGGGCCAGAGATCCAAGCAAGTCCATCTGCATCCCGAACCCATATTCATATTCTCTCCTTTTTTTAATTTTTTAAAGACAAGGTCTCTGTCACCCAGGCTGGAGTGCAGTGGCGCAATCAAAGTTCACTGCAGCTTTGAACTCCTGGGCTCATGTGATCCTCCTTCCTCAGCCTCCCAAGCATCTGGGACTACCGGTGTGTGCCACTGAGCCCAGCTAATTTTTTTTATTGTTTGTAGAGACAAGGTCTCACTATGTTGCCCAGTTTGGTCTTGAACTTCTGGATTCAAGCAATCCTCTCATTGTGCCCCCACCCCTCACCCCCAAAGTGCTGGCATTACAGGTGTGAGCAACATGCTGGCCCCCAGTCCATATTCTTAACCATTACATTGCCCTGAGTCTTGCAGGATGGATGACAACAGCCCTCCATGGCTAGCAAGAGTACCCAAGAATGCATTAAACAGGTAAGCCGGTCAGAGTGTGTGGGTTATTCAAGTATGCATCAACAGTCCCTTGTTCAGTAAATAAATCCATTCATTGATACTTATTTTTTTTTTGAGACAGGGTCTCACTCTGTCACTCAGATTGGAATGCAGTGGTGTAATCATGGCTCATTGCAGTGTCGAACTCCTGAGCTCAAGCATTCCTCCTACCTCAGCCTCCCAAAGTGCTGGGATTACAGGCATGAGCCACTGCGCCCAGCTCATTGATATTTATTGAATGCCTCCTATTTGTCTGGCCCTGGGGATGGTGGAGCGAAGAAGAAAAACTGAATCTTGGCTCTCATGGAGAGGATGGGGGAGAGCGTTAGCACCAGCAACAGTGACCTCACACAGTGAGGGCACTGGGAAGGAAATAAAAGAGGCAACACAGAGTGATAGTGACACAGGAGAGTGGACTGGAAAGGCCGTCCTGAGGAGGAGACATTTGGCTCAGCCGTGAATGGTGAGAACATACTTTTGGAAAGATCTGGGGAAAGCAACTCCAAGGCATGGGAACAGCAAAAGCCCTGAAGCAAGAACAGACTTGGTATCTTTGAGACCCAGAAAAAAAAGGTCGTTGAGTTGGGAGGGAGTAGGATGAGAGAATATCAAAGAGACAGGTGGTGACCTGCTCCCACCCCCTCCCCAGGCTGGGTTAGATGCCCCTTCTCTGTCTCTCATACTTGGCAAATTCTAATTTTCTGTGTCGAGTCTGCTGATCAGCCTCTGAGCTTCTGGTGTCCAGAACAAGTTCAGGGACAGAACTGATGCTTAACTGGTGTTCACTGAACAAATCTGGCCTGACCCCACAAGGAGAATGTAGTAACTTGGCAGTTTGAGCTTCTGTAGCCACCCAGCAACAGACAGCAAGTCAAATTTTGCTGCTGACAAGGAGATGAGAGGGATGGCCTAGTACGGCTTCCTTCTGGATTTGGGGAAAGCCTCAGGGCTTTCCACCTAAGGATCAGGGGTCCCGCGTCTTGGCTGCTCCAGGGTTAGGCACATTTCTGTCCCCTCTGCCTGGACCTTCTTCTTCCAGGGCCACGTTGACTCACTTGCTCACCTCTTTCAGGACTTAACTCTTACATTCCAGGAAGCCTTCCTTGATCTCTCCTCTCCCATCTCTGGAACTTCTATCCCCCTTTCCACCTTAGTTTTTCTCCAGAGCACTTATCACCCCTTGCCATATATTTTCTATATTTGCTTTGTTTATTGTCTGTCTCCCCACCACTAGGATGTAAGCTTGATAGAAGCAAAGATGTTTGCCTTTTTGTTAATTGCTGTGCCAACCTCATTAAACGTTGTCACATGAACAAATGAATGAATGAATGATACCAGAGCCAGAATACTTATAGGGCAGAACAAGCATCATCATGGGACACCAGCTAAGCTGTGGCACCCCCAAAATAAGACTGTTTCTGGTTCAATAAATGTATTCAACATTTGCCAATTAGCACATCCACATCTAGAAAGAAGTTATTTCGACATATACACTTGTGTTTTATGCTTTAGTTTTGTTTTTATTCTGCATTAATATTGGCAGGTCTGGGGAACACCATAATCTTTTCAACGCTTAAAGCCTTTAAATCCAGCCTTAAATACCGCAGCTGTCTGTGCTGCTAAACCTTAGCTATGAGATAGAGCCACCTAGTGAAAATTCCAACTTCCATTGCCTATGTATTTTGTAACCTTTCCTCTAAAATTTAGCATCTAAATCAGTAACTCAACCTCTCCTGTGAATGCGTTTTACGAGGCCAGGATATGGTTTGGAGAAATGCAGATTCCTGGGCCCAGCAAATCTGGGGATGATGACAAGGCATCATCGTGGGACACCAGCTTAGCAATAGCACCCCCAGAATAAGACTGCTTCCAGTTCAATAAACCGCTACAAAGAGTCTATTAATGGTGGTATCCATCTGGACCTGCGGCCATAGAGAAGAGACCCAAGCACAGTGGTTATTAAAAAGCCCATATCCTTCAAAAATTATGAGTAGATATTATAAATTCCAAAATGATGAAGAGTTCAGGATGAGAAGATGGGGACTCACCCAGAACAAAGCAGCACACTGATTTATCCTTTGTCTCCTGACAGCATTCCTTCCCCCGCTGGTCATCCCGCCCAATCACACATGTGACAAGTTATAGCGCTGTATGAAAGGATACTGAAAATTGGAAAGATTGCTAAATGTCGCCCTGAAAGGTGTTTCCTGTGGCCCATGAATCTCATGCAAAATCATCCCCTTGGAGAAAAGCTTGGGACAAATAGCTAGGTACCTGAAAATAGTAAACTCCCCCAAATTACTGCTAGCCAAATGAGTCTTTGATATCTCTGAAACTGCCCCAGAACCCAAACTCAATATACTAAAAAAAATGGGCTGCTAGCGAAGTCATCGGCCACGCATTGAGCACTTTTGAGTCTAAGACGTTCCCATGTATTATATCATCGCCTCTTTCCTGCAGGCACCTGAGTCCCGGAGCTCTGGTGGTTTTGCCCAGGGCCAGCCAGGAGACACAGTGTGGTAGTGTGCTCCTCAAGGCATCTGTGACCTGCTCTCCTCAGCTCAGAGAAAGCCAGCGTGGCGTTTGAGGGAACAACCTCAGCTCCAAAGGGAACGCTGACAAAGGGGGCAGTCCAGCCCTGGGCAGGGTCAGACCCCAGCACCCACAAACACCAGGCAGGCCCAGGCTAGGATCACAGGAGCGGGAGTAGGAGTGATGGAGTAACAGCTCGTCTCCACGCTCCCAGCATTCATTCCCTCATCCTCTGGTAGGTAAGCACCCAACTTTTCTTTGGGGATGGGCTCCTCTCCTACTCTCAGTCCATGCAGTTGAATGGAGTCTACGATGAGCTCAGGACCTCCCCACGGAGGCCATTATTCGTTCTCCTTTCTTTCTTTACAATGATTGGTTCAGAGCTGAGCACATGACCTGGGCCTGGCCAATCAACAAATAATATCCCATTTCCTTTCTTTCTCTACAGTGATTGGTTCAGAACTGACCACATGACCCAGGCCAACTAGTATCTAGCTCTCTAACTGCCTTGGGCCATCAAAACTCCCAAATCAAATATTGTTGACCTGGCTTGTGTCAAGTGCCCATCACTGAATTAGTCACTATGGCCAGGAGCAGATGGGCCCTCACTAGACAGAACTGGTCTGTGGCCGCCCATGGTGCCCGGGGTGAGGGCAGCTCCACCTGAACACAGAGAGTGGCAAAGGCAAAGTTTCCTGACATAGACGTTCCTGTTCCATTTGTCCCGCAAACGTTTAAACATCACACATACTTGGTTAAGGTAGGAAATAAAAAACAGCCTTTGTTCATTCTCTCTCTCTCTTTTTTTTTTTTTTTTTTTTTTTTTTTTGAGATGGAATTTAACGCTTGTCGCCCAGGCTAAAGTGCAGTGGTTCGATCTCGGCTCACTGCAACCTCCGCCTCACGGATTCAAGCCATTCTCCTGCCTCAGCCTCCCGAGTAACTGGGATTACAGACGTGTGCCACCACGCCTGGCTAATTTTTTGTATTTTTTTAAGTAGAGACGGGGTTTCACTATGTTGGACAGGCTGGTTTTGAACTCCTGGCCTCAAGCAATCCACTCGCCTTGGTTTCCCAAAGTGCTAGGATTACAGGCGTGAGCCACCACGCCTGGGCTGTTCACCGTCTCATAGAGACATTCACCATTGCTACTGAGTGTGGATAAAACTATGGACACCAGGGTTCAATTTCTAGCTATTCTACTCTGGCTGTTTGCCCTTGGAAGTTATTTAGCATTCCGTGCCTCTGTTTGCTCATCTGGAAAATGCAGAAAACATTCGTATCTGCCTCACTCGTTTAAAAGAATCAACGTTCTTAGGACAGTACCTGGCAAGAGTAACTGCTGTTGGTTTGGTTTGAGATTCTGAGAACCACTCTTCTGGATCATTCGCACATGCTGTAGTTTGAGTGGAAGTCATTAGAGGAGTATCGCTAATAGATAATAGAAAATTGTTTCAATGGCCCCTTCAGAACTAAAGGGTCTCTCTCTTTCCCAATGTCTGTGTTAATTCCTATAAAAAGACTCAGACCCGACATGGCTTCCAGCCCTTCTGGACCCCTCCTCAGTCTTGTGGGACTGATGGGTTCAGCACTCACATGCCCCACCCTGACTGTAAGAGCATGGGCCTTGTAATCTGTAAGAGCCCAGGCTCAAGACATCCCAAAAGACTCCTGTCTTGCTCTGAGTCTGTGCTGCTGGGAGGTGAGCGGAATGCAGTGACATGGAAAAGAAATGAATGGAGCAGAGGGGAAGTGGAAGAGAGGAGTGAGAGGAGCTTGAGTTGAAGTGGGAGGGATGGGGGTGGCCAACAGGGGGAGAGAGGAGGGAGATGGGATGGGATAGGATGAAGGGAGGAAGAGAGAAGTGGTGAAGTGGGGTAAGATGGGACTTATCTCCTGACCAAGCACACGTCTACCCCTGACATAGTCATCTAAACATGGAATCAGGGGATGATGATTTGGGGAGGGGACTTCAAGGTTGTCCTCCTTAGTAAGATCAACAAGAGGGAAGAGAACAGCCACTGTACAGGTAGGTGCAAGTATGGATCCCTCTGAGTGTACCTTTTGGTGCTTACCTACTCAAAGCTCACCAAGCCCTGTGCTTCCCTCTTCCTCAACCTGCAGAGCATCTCCCAGAACCCAGCCATGCCCTTAAACATTCCACGAAGACCTTAGTGAAGCACTATGACTTTCAAGCTTTGTTTTCATCCAGTCATTAGTGGCAGAGGCCACCAGGCTCCCACAGTGAGCCTTCATCAGTGGGAGTCAAATCCCAGGCATCAGGTGAGGACACTGGTGATTAGGTGACTTCCTCCTGTCCCACAGCCAGTGTCAGAACCTTGTTGAAAATCTACATATTCAGATTCCCAATTTAAATCATGTTGGAGATGGGCTGACAACTGAAGTGGGAAATAGACTCCAAGAAAAAAAAAAAGAAGTCTGTAAATCAGTGCCTTGCTACTCCTCAGCCCAGGGGAGCTACTCCCACGTCAGGACATGCCCTCCCTTTCCCTCTCCCCAGACAGAGCTCAGGGCACCCCACAGAGGGTCTCTGAAGAGGGAATGCCAGATTGGAATCCTCAAATATCTGGGGAGCTGGCCAGGTCTTGGCATTCCAGGGTCATAGATTCACTAATGACTCCCGTTGTTGAGCAGAGCTTGGACTGGTGGGCAGAGTGCTAGGAGGCATAATAGCAAGCAAGGTGGGCCAGGCGTGGTGGCTCAAGCTTGTAATCCCAGCACTTTGAGAGGCCAAGGCAAGTGGATCACCTGAGGTCAGGAGTTCAAGACAACCCTGGCCAACATGGTGAATCCCAACTCTACTAAAAATACAAAAGTTAGCCAGATGTGGTGGCATGCACCTGTAGTCCCAGCTAGTCAGAAGGCTGGGAAATACCAAGCGATTCAAGAGAATCGCTTGAACCCAGGAGGCAGAGATATACCTAAGAAGTCCAGAAGTGGATGCTTTGGATATAAATACAGGTAGGTGATATAGAAAAAAGACCCAGACAAGGAGATGTCGATGCTCATGTTTCATCATCAGATTTCTGCCTCTCTTCCTCCATCTGCGGCCTCTGATTTTCTGTGTTTAATTTATTCTCAGGCACACTACTTCTACGTGGTGGGGAAAATGGCACTTGGAAAATTCAGTTTCAATGGTCCTTTCAGAGCTACAGCATCTGTCTCTCAATGTCTATGTTAATTCCTCTAAAAGGACTCAGACCTGATGTGGCTCCCAGCCTTCTTGGACCCCTCCTATCTGTGGTACTGATGGGTACAGAACTCACACACCCTACCCTGGGTGTGAGTAAGAGCATGGGCCTTGTAATCTTGGCTTGTTTGGAAAGAGGAAGGGGAAATTCCAGAAGTGAAGGTCATAACAGTTTTCTGTCAGATGGGGTGGTGGCTCAAAGCAGAGGTTATGAGCCTGAGTATGTAGCTCCATCACCCAGTGTGAACTTGGGCAAGTCCTTACCTTTTCCCCTCTGCATCCTCTCCATCCACTTCCCTCACTGACATTCCAAAACACACACACACACATACACACACACACACACACACACACATTTTTATTTTAAGACAATTGTTGATTCACATGCAGTTTTAAGAAATGCTAGAGATCACAGACCAGGCACAGTGGCTCATGCCTGTAATCCAGGCACTTTGGGAGGTCGAGGCAGGTGGATCACTTGAGGTCAGGAGTTCGAGACTAGCCTGGCCAATGTGGCGAAACCCCATCTCTACTAAAAATACAAAAATTAGCTGGGAGTGTTGGCATGCACCTGTAATCCCAGCTACTCAAGTGGCTGAGGCAGAAGAATTGCTTGAACATGGGAAGCGGAGGTTACAGTGAGCCGAGATCGCACCACTGCACTCCGGACTGGGCAACAGAGTGAGACTCTGTCAAAGAATGAAAGAAAGAAAAAGTAATAATAGAGATCACAGAGCACTTTACTCAACTTTCCCCATAGTAACATCTTGCATACATGTAGTACAATATCACAACCAGGAAATTGACATTGATACCATCCACCAATCTTAGATTTTGCCAGCTTTACATGCACTCATGTGAGCTTGTTTGTGTGTTTAGTTCTATGTAGTTTCATCATGTGCACAGATTTGTGTGGCCACCGCCACAGTCAAGATCTACCACCAAGAGGTCTGTTGTGCTGTCCTTTTATTGCAACATCTACCTGCCTCCCTCCCCTACTCTCTGATCTGCAGCGATCATTAATCTGGTCTTCATTTATAATTTTGTAATTTCAAGAATGCTATAGAAATGGAATCATACAGTAGGTAACCTTTCAGGCCTGGCTTTTTCTTTCACTCAGCATAATTCCCTTGAGATCCATCCAAATGGTTGCATGTATCAATAGCTTGTTCCTTTTTATTGCTGACTAGTAATTCATAGTATGGATGTTCCACTGTTTAACTGTTTGCTTTTTGAAGGACATTTGGATTGTTTCCAATTATTGGCTGTTATGAATAAAGCTGCTATGAACGTTCATGTACAGGCTTTCGTGTGAATGTAAGTTTTCATTTCTCTGGGACAAATGCCCAAAAGTATAATTGCTGGGTCGTTATGGCAAACATATATTTAATTTCGTAAGAAACTGCCATATCTTTTTCAGAATGGCTGTTATATTTTACATTGCCACCAGCAATGATTGATTGATCCCAGTCCTCCACATCCTCACCAGCATTTGGCATTATCTCTATTTTTTTATTTTTACTGTGCCAATAGATGTGTAATGATATCTCATTGTAGTTTAACTTGCATTTCCCAGTAGCTAATAATGTTGAACATCTTTTCACGTGGCTCTCGCCCACTTTTGTAAGGAGGTAAAGCTTGAGAATGTTTTCTCACCTGATAAATGGATAGAACAATAGGACAATACCTACCATCCAGAGATGTTGTGAAAGTTCTCCTAAGCACCTAGCAAATGAGTATTCAAGAAACATTAGGGTATGGTGGCTCATGCCTGTAATCCCAGAACTCTGGGAGGTTGAAGCAGGAGAATCACTTGAGTCCAGGAGTTTCAGACCAGCCTGAGTATCATAGTGAGACCCCGACTCTACAAAAAATTTAAAAAATTAGCCAGGCATGGTGGCACATGCCTGTAGTCCCAGCTACTTGGAAGGCTGAGGCGGGAGGATTGCTTGAGCCTAGGAGGTTGAGGCTGTAGTGAGCTATGATTGCACCACTGCACTCCAGCCCGGGGTGGCAAGAGCAAGGCCCCGTCTCTCAAAAAAGAAAGAAAAAAAAAAAAAAAGGCCAGGCACGGTGGCTCATGCCTGTAATCTCAGCACTTTGGGAAGCCAAGACGGGTGGATCACTTGAAGTCAGGAATTCGAGACCAGCCTGGCCAACACGGCGAAACTTCGTCTCTGCTAAAAATACAAAAATTAGCCAGGCATGATGTCTCACGCCTGTAATTCCAGCTACTTGGGAGGCTGAGGCAGGATACTCGCTTGAACCCGGGAGGCAAATGTTGCAGTAAGCCGAGATCGCGCCACTGCACTCCAGCCTAGGTGACAGAGTGAGACTCTGTCTCAAAAAAAAAAAAAAAAAAAAAGGAAAGAAAGAAAGAAAGAAAGAAAGAAAGAAAGAAGAAAAGAAAGAAACATTAATTTTTCGTATTCCTGCAAGAGAGGGGTTAATAGTATAGACTCCAAAGTCAAACAGAACTCCATTCTATCACTGAGAACCCTCTCCCTAAACCTCATTTTATGTCTCTATTAAATGGGAAGAATAATATTACTTACTTTACAGGGTTGTCATGAAACTGAAATAGATAAGATATGAAAGGCACTTAAAACTGTGCCTAATAAGTGCTTAATTCTGTTTTTCCCTCCAGAACTCAGCATATCGGAGGCCCCCAATTAAGCCTTGTCCTTCCAACTGACACTTCATACCTCTCCCACCATCATCTCCCAGTGCACCAGGGTCACTTGCTGGGGCCAGGATAGGAAATCCCAGATACAAACTCTCCCTTCAAGGATTTTTTTTTTACCCCACCAGAGCTCTCCACTGCTCCAGGAGAAGAAACAAAGGATTGGGTCTGAGAGCTGGGTGAGATTACATTTATCTAAGAAGCTTCCAAATGAAAACTAGCATTTGTACTTATTGCATTTCACCTCCAAATTTGATTACATTTCTCTCCCGCTGTAAATCTGCCTTTCCTTCTGCCAAGTTATTATTAAATCCAGGACAGAATTGGTGGAGTGATACGTAAAATTTCCATCTTGGCTTTGACATTCCAGGAAGTTACAAACCAATTACAGCTGCTGAGCCTCAGGCCTTTATGAATCACAGAGCACAGCAAGGGATGGAGGAGGCCAGAGTGGGGACGGGAGGGAGACAGTGAGGTGGGAATCAAAGGTCAATTAAAATAAAACAGTCAATTTTAATTTGAATGTCTTGCTTATATTCACATCCCATTCCCATAAGTGGAAAAGCAAATGAAGCTTATTCATTTGTGTGGGCATGGTGTGTGTGTGTGTGTGTGTGTGTGTGTGTGTGTGTGTGTGTGTGTTAGGACAATAAAGGCTTTTGAAATGGTTTCAGAGTCCCAGAGATTTGAAATTTGAAATGTCCCAGGGAGAAAACATGCAATCTGGTGACCTGCCCAAATGTCAGGGTAGCTGCCTAAACAAAGAGCCATCAGCGTTAGCCTTGGGGCATGTGAGTCTAAATGACACCAGTTCTAGCTTTGGGAGTTGGATCTCTGTGTTTGAGCCCTCACTTCATCACTTAATATGAGGAATTTCTCTGTGCCTCTATTTCCTCATTGGTAAAATGAGGACAATAATACCTTTCCCTGTTGATTATTTTAGAGATTAAGATAAATAATACAGCTAAGGTGTCAAGCACGACGCCCCACCAGGCGAGTGACATTATTTCCTTTCTCCAAGGAAATAACCGTCAGTGGGTCCCAAGTCCAACTAAGTGACCTCAAACAGCTACAGTTTGACTAGACCTTGATGTACTGTATGCTTTCCTAATGGTGGCATACGTTCCAAGGCAGTTGGTTTTCTTTTCCTTCATGTGAACTTCTTTTCCCTGGCCCTCTCCTAAGGGCAAATGGTTGGTTAGATTCAGCACCGTGGACAGCAGAGATGCTGCCAGCCAAGGTACCAGAGTTCCATTCATGGACCCTCATCTTGTGGCCCCTTCCTGTCAGCTCATGGCTCAGACATCCTGTGAGCCGTACAGTTGATTTGGTGTTAGGTTGCAGTCTTAATCTCTGACTTTCAGCAGTATGGGAAATTTACTTTCTTTTTTCTTTTTTTCTTTTTTTCTTTTTTCTTTTTTTTTAAGACAGAGTCTCACTCTGTCACAAGATGCATGTGGGGAGAGCTCAAGAGAAGCCCTAGCTGAGGAGGAGGTGATGGTGTTAGTGGGATTGAAGAGGGAAGAAGGCAGAAAACAATACCCACACATAACACACCTCTGCCAGACAGTAATCAACACCTGTTAGTTCATCTTCAAGGTTTGGTTCCTGGGAACACCTGCTCCTCTATTCCCTGAGCATCTGATGTTGTCCTTGAAAGCAGAATGCCAGCCTCCCAGGGAGGAGCAGAGACACCAACAAACAGCTGGCAGAAGTCACCCAGCTGGCCCTCTCTCCTACTCTCAGCCCTGGGCCTTTGTTTGCGAGGGCCAAGCCATAGGCTACTTTCTCCCTCTGCCTACCACTGGGACCCCCTTGGCAGGAGTCCCTGGTACTCATGTTTTTTGAGGAATCCAGCCCCACTTTGCCCCATATGCTGAGTGATCAGGTGAGGACTCCAAGCCAGCAAAGGAGAAATCAGAGGGCCCCCTTCCCCAACCCCCATCTCCCTCCTGGACTTCTGCCCAGGTCTCTCTGTGTCTGACAGTACTGCTCCCAGGTCTGGACTAGGTCACATTTGAAGGAAGTTTTCTCATTTGTCTCCATATCCGTGGTTTTCAAAGTGTGGTCCTGGGATTTGCAGCATCACCTGGGAGGTTTTTAGAAATGCAAATTCTTTTAAAAAATTTTTTTTGTTTCCCTGGGTTATTGGGGAAAAGGTGGTGTTTGGTTACATGAGTAGGTTCTTTAGTGGTGGTTTATGAGATTTTGGTGCACTCATCACCCAAGCAGTATATACTGCACTGATTTGTAGTCTTTTATCCCTCACCCCCTTCCTACCCTTTCCCCCTTGAGTCCCCAAAGTCCATTGTCTCATTCTTTGCCTTTGCATCCTCATAGCTTAGCCCCGACTTATGAGTGAGAACACATGATGTTTGGTTTTCCATTCTTGAGTTATTTCACTTAGAATAATAGTCTCCAATCTTGGGCTCCATCCCAGACCTACTAAAACAGAAACTCCAGAGATGAGGACCAGCAATCTGTTTGAACAAGACCTTCAGGTGATTTCAATGCACACCATATGGAATTGTTCTATTGTTCACCTCAGTTGGTGGATGCCTGGATTAGTTCCATTTTTTTTTTCTTACAACAGCAAAAAGTCTGTATTGAACATTCTATCAGGTACACCTTCATGGACCCACGCAAGTATTTCTACATGACACATTCTTTAAAATGATTTACTAGGACAAATGATGTACCTACTTAAATGTTCATAGATGTGCCAGATGGACTTCCTAAAAGGTTGCACCAATTTGCATTCCCACCACAGAGAATGAAGGGGTACATGTCCCCACAGCCTTTCCAGCTTCAATTAAGTATATCAGATGTTTTCACTTTCTGTTCCAATTTGAGAGGTGAAAATTATATCTTGTTTTGATTTGCACTTCTTTAAGAGTGAAATTGAGCATATTTTCCTATATTTATTAGCCATTTTAGCATAGTACTTTTTTGGTTGTCTCTATTTTCAGCAATCAATAATATGACTTGTATAACTTTTTTAAAAAAAGAAAAAAACATGCTAGTCCCCTCTTTTCTGCAAAATACAGTCTTATGAAGGAGCCAGTGCGGGGTCAAGTGTGGGGTGACCAACCATAGTGATTTGCCCAAGATGGAGGTGTTTCTACGGACATGGGACCTTCAGTGCTAAAACTGAGAAAGTCCAAAGCAAATCACAATGAGTTGGTCACCTAGGTGGGTGACTTGCTCAGAGTGTCACACAGAAAATCAGCAGCCAGCCTGAGGGGAGGTTCCCAAATCCCTGATGCCCTGCCCAGGTCTCCTTCTTCTCCAGGCATCTCTCATGGAGAAACAAAAATGGAGACACAGAGGAGTTGGGTGACGTGACTTGTGAATCTCTCCCAACTAGACAAGAAGCTCCTTTTGCTCATTTACCTCTTTAGCCCAGTGTTGATCACAGAGCCTGGCAAAGAGTTGGTAGCTAGATTTACACTAAAGGTATTATCACAGTGTTGAGGAAGGGGAAGAGAGGCAGTACCGCAGTATCCACAAAATCACAATCTGCACACAATTAGGATCCATCTCATGACTTTTGCAGGGAAATGCAGTTGAAGGACCATGGGCTTTGGGAGGACAGACTTGATCTCTAATCATCCCAGTCTCATCACTTACAAGCTGTCTAACCTTGGAAAACAGCTCTTCACAGTCCTTAGTTTTCTCATATCTAAGATGGGACCAATAATACCTACATCTTAGCAGAATGGTTAGGACATGAAGCAGACACAAGGAAGAGATGACGAAGAGGGCAGGTCATTCTTTCTCTCAAGGATAGGAGAATGAGCACCTGGAGTGGCTCACCCAATTGCCACAAGAGAACAAGTGGCCTCTGCTTCAGGGCTCTGCACAAAAGAGCTTAGCCAAGGTCTCCACTGGAGGATAAAATATAGTCCAGTCTCTCCTCACCAAAGAAGGCTCCCTGGCACAACGCTGAATGTGCCTGGAGAAAGAGGTATGTTTTCTTTCTAGAAGGAGCCCTTTCAATGCCAAACTGAACAGCTGTGGGAATGTGTCTACCCAGAAGGAGCACATTTTTGCAAATTCACACAAAGCAGCAAGCCCTGACCTATATTAGCCCCATGTATCGTAGCCCCTCTGACCTCTCCTATCCCTCGGAACACAAAGGAAATGTTTCCCTTCTGAGGACTGCAGTGCCAGGCCAGGCTCACCCTGACAGGTCATTTGAAGAGCGGAATCTTTTGCTCATTATGAATAATAAATCATTTGCAGAATAGGAAGTTGCCTCAATTCTGGCATGAGGTCACTGGGAATCACTACAGGAGGCAGATGGGCTGCCTGTTAAGAAGGGAGCTGGCATCAAGGATTCAGGTGAGCCTCCAGCACAGCTATATGCACAAGCCGAGGTTCAGGATCCAGATGCTGAAGCATCTTTGCCCTGGCTTGGCCATGTGTGTTTACAGACCATCAGGAGCCCAGCTGCCTATCTCAGGGAGGTCTTTGTGCAGAATACCAATCCTCCTGGCAGCCGGCCTCTGCTCAATTAAGAGAAAAAGAAAAGATGACTGCTAAATGTTCAGTTTACTTCCTTCGCTACAAATATCCAACCCAAGGGAGAGAGTAATCTAATATATTCTGAGATGATTTAAACTCATTTGAATAAAAAAAAAATTCTGCAGCAGTGAGCTGCACAGAGAATGGGGGTTTGGTGACTCCACAGAACAAGCTGAAAATGTGGCTCAGAAAAGAGAGAAAACCAACAGAGGTAACTTAAAATCTGACCACTCAACCAGCTAGCCGACCGACTCAACAGACAGGCAAGCCCAGACCAGGAGTAAGCCCCAACGCTGTGTGAAGCCAGGATGGATGGTTTTTATTTCTGTTGTCAATGTTCAACCTGAATAAATTATCCTGGAGGAGGGAGAGCTGCAATCAATTAAACCAAAATAATATGTTGATAAAAGAGCTATGTGATAATAAAAATTAAGTACATTTATTTGGGTGTTGCCCAAATGTTTCACACCCTGTATTCAAGGCACAGGTGCCTCATCTGTCACATCTAGGCAGATGTAATTCATGCATTCCCTCTGTTGCCATCAGATACAAAATACCTTATTCTTCAGCATGCACACCACTCATCCAGAGACCATCCAGAGATGGCACCTGCACACGCAGATCCCCCACACTCACTGACACATGCACGCTCATCCATTCACCCACCTCAGAACTCCACATATACCAGTGGTCAACCATCTGTGCTAACAAGATCGTGAAATATTCTGCAGCTCTAGTGGTGTCAACTCTCACTCCTCAGGAGGGTTCTATCCCCCGTGATCTCTGTGGTGCCGGGTCCAGGTCACCACAACACAAGGGCGGCTCTGTTCTGCTCAAGCTGTAAGGTCACTGCCGACTCCTGGGGCCCCGGGGTGCTCATCTGCAAGTAGGCACCTGTGTTCTACCCCAGACCACTGGGGACCCAAGAAAGACCCACACCTACCTCTGCACTCTGGAAATCCTGCTTGCTCTGTTCCTTAAATCAGAGGATCATTAACACAAGAGGGAACCAAGAGCCAGCCTGGTGATATAAACAAAAGCAGCTGGCCAGGGGGGCTCAGGTGGGTGTAGACCCTAGCCCCACTTCAAGAAGGCAGTTGCTGCTCAAGCCCTAGATAATGAAAAGCTACGGTATTTCCAGATGAACCCACCCATTATTAAAATGCTGTCTAGTAGTTCAAGACCAGCCTGAACAACATGGCAAAACCCCGTCTCTACTAAAAAAACAAAAATTAGCTGGGTGTGGTGGCGGGTGTCTATAATCCCGGTTACTCACAAGGCTGAGGCAGGAAACTCACTTGAACCTGGGAGGCGGAGGTTGCAGTGAGCTGAGATCGCACCACTGCACTTCAGCCTGAGCAACAAGAGGGAAACTCCCCCCAAAAAATGGGGGACAGGCTTTATAGCCACAACAATATCTCTGATGGAGTATTTTCCACACATGATGATTGTCTTGGACCTAAGCACAGAAATCTGCTAACCTGTGCTCTTTTCTAATTCTTCTTTTTCTCTACTCCTGTGGTCCCCCCTGCCTTCACACAGTGGTCTCAGCCTCCCTGCTGCTTGTAGAAAGGAATGTCCTGAGGAAACCCTACACCACTGCAAAGCAGAATTTCCCACTAGTTGTTTGAATGACACTGGCACCAAGGGAAATACTGCT